>NC_000016.10:48804924-49107954 GCF_000001405.40 Homo sapiens
AAATTCTTTTCCCCAGACAAATAAAAACTGAAAAAGTTTGTCACCACTAGATCTGCTTTACAACAAATACTTCAAGAGAGTTCTTCAAATTGAAATTAAAACATGGAAAACATCTCTGGTATAAAAAAGGTGAAGAAGAAAAAAACATGCTAAACAGTAGCATGAAAGCATATGAAAACCTAAATCTTATGGGTAAATGTAAATATATAGCCAAATATAAAATAATTGCAATGGTGGTATTACCCCTGTTAGAATGGCTGTTACAAAAAAGACGAAATATAGCAAGTATCAGAATGGATGGGGAGAAAAGAGAATCCTTCTACACGGTCATTGGGAATGTAATTTGGTACAATGATTATGGAATACAGTATGGAGTTTCCACAAAAATTAAAACTAGATCTATATGATCTTTCAATCCCACTTCTGACTATATATCCCCCCAAAATGAAATCAACATCTCAAAGAGATATATGCATTCCCATGTTTATTGCATCACTATTCATACTAGTCAAGGCGTGAAAACAGCCTTCATGTCTGTTGATGGATGAATGAACAAATACAAAAAATTAGCCGGGTGAGGTGGCGGGTGCCTGCAGTCCCAGCTACTCGGGAGGCTGAGGCAAGAGAATGGCGTGAACCCCAGGGGGCGGAGCCTGCAGTGAGCCGAGATCGCGCCACTGCACTCCAGCCTGGGCGACAGCAAGACTCCGTCTCAAAAAAAAAAAAAAAAAAAAAAGAAAAGAAAAAAAATGGTGGTATATGTACAATAGGGTGTTAGTTAACTTTAAAAAAGAAGAAAATTCTGCCATTTTGCAACAACATGGATGAACCTGGAGGACATTATAAAATGAAATAATCCGGTCACAGAAAGACAAATACTACACGATCTCACATGTGGAATATAAAATAGTCGAATTCATACAAGCAGAGAGTAGAATGGTGGTTACCAGTATCAGGGGCTGGAGGAAATAGGAGATGTTCATTGAAGGGTATAAAGTTTCAGTTGTGAAGGATGAATAAGTTCTAGAGATCTAATACACAGCATGGTGATTGCAGTTAATAATACTGTATTGTATATTATATACTTAAAATTTGCAAAAAGAGTAGATTTTCTGTTTTCTCACCATACACACACACACACACACACACACACACACAGCAACTATGTGAGGTGATGACTACGTTAATTAGCTTGACTATAGTAATCACTTCACAATGCATATGTACATCAAAACATTACATTGTATACTTCAAACATACACCATTTTTTATTAAAAAGGAAAAATTCTAATAACAGAATAATTCTGAAAGAAGATAGAGAATAAACCTTACCCAAAGAAGAGGAAAGAAAGAATTATATCCTACTCTTCCTCAGAAACTATGTACACAAGAATAGAGTGGAGAGAAATCTTTAAAGTATGGGTAAAAAAAAAAACCCTCCATCAACACAGAATTCTGTACCTGGCAAAATTATCCTTCAAAACTAAAGGAGAAATCAAGATTCTTTTTCAAACAAGTATTTAAGAAATTTGTGGTCAGTAGACGTGCCTTGCAAGAAATGATAAAATAAGTTCATAAGAGAAAGGGAAAAAGACCTAAGTCAGAAACTCAGATCCACATAAAGAAAGGAAGAGCATCAGAAAAGGATAAGTAAAGGCAAAAGTAAAACTTTTAACTATGCTTGATTTATCTAACAGATAACAGTCTGTTCAAAATAATAATAGCAACTTTGCATTCAGTTATATATGCATCATTTTATACATATATACATATGCATACATATATCTATGTATGCTTATGTTTGAGTAAAACTAATGGCAACAATAATACCTGGGATGAGAGGGAGAAATTAGGATTTTTTTAAACTATAAAGTATTCACACTACCCATAAAGCAGTATTGTGTTATTTGAAAATGACTTAAATTAGTTGTAAGTATATATTGCAAGCTCTAGGGCAACTACTAAACAAGTAAAAAATGGATATAACTGATATGTTAAGAAAGGCAAAAAAAATGGAATCATAAAATGCTCAATGAAAATCAGGCAAAAAAAGAATGGAAGGCAAAAATAGGAACAAAGCACAAGAACAAGTAGAAAAACACAACAAATAGAGTAGATATTAATCCAGCTGTAGCAATAATTACTTTGAATGTCAGTGGTCCAAATGTGCTTACTAAAAGACAGTGATTGTCAGAATGGATAAAAAAAAAAGACACAACCACATGTTGTCTACAAGTAAACCCTGTATGTGTCTTTGTATTTATATTTAAATATATACAAATATATTTAAATGTAGATTTAAAGTAAATGGATGGAAGATACATGTAGATTAAAAGTAAATGGATGGAAACAGACATATCATGCTAGTACTAATCAAAAGAAGGCAGGAGTAAGTATATTAATTTCAGACAGCAGACTTCAGGGCAAAGAAAGTTATCAGAGATAAAGAGGGGCATTATGTAATAATAAAGGACCAATCTTCCAAGACATAACAATTCTAAATATGTGTGCATATAAAAACAGAGCATCAAAATACATGAGACAAAAATTGATAGAACCAGGAGGAGGAAGTAGCTAAATCCAGTATTATAGTTGGGGACTTCAATATCTGTCTATCAGAAATGAACAAACCTGGCAGGCAAAAAAATCAGTAAAGACATACTTGAACTCAACAACAGCATCAGTCGACTGGATATAATTGACATTCATAGAGTAATTCACTCAATAACAGCAGAACACACATTCTTCTCAAGGTCAAATGGAACATTTGCCATGACAAAGAACATTCTGGAAACAACTTGATATATTTAAAAGAATAAAAATCTTACAATGTGTGTACTCAGACCACAATTGCATTAAACTATAAATCAATAACAGAAAGATAGCTCAAAAAAGTCTAAAATACATGAAGATTAAACAACACACTTCTACAAAAAACATGGGTCAAAAAAACTCAGGAGAAATTTAGAAAATATTTTGAACCAAACAAAAATAAAAACACTACTTACAAAAATTTCTGGATGCTGCAAAAGCAGTACTTAGAGGAAAATTGATAATATTCAATGCATATATGAGATAAGAAGAAAGATCTAGAATAAAAAATCTCAGCTTTTACTTTAGGAAACTAGAAAAAATTAGTAAATTAAATCCAAAGTGAGCAGAAGGAAAGAAATAAAAATTAGAGCAGAAATCAATGAAACTGAAAGTTGGATATCAATAGAGAAAATCAACAAAACCAAAAGCTAGGTATTTGAAAAGATAAATAAAATCAATAAGCCTCTAGCCAGGCTAGTTAAGAAAAAAAAAAGACAGTACAGAAATTACTAATTGGAAATGAAAGAGAAGATATCCCTATAGATCCCATGGACATTAAAATAAAAGAAAACTATGAATAATTTTAATAATTTAATAATCTTGATGAAATGGAGAATTCCTTGAAATACACTGTCTGCCAAAACTCAAACAACAAAAAACAGACAATCTGAATAGGCCTATATCTATTATATGAATTGAATCAATAATTAATAACCTCTAAACAGAGGTCACCAGGCCCAAATGAGCTCACTGGTGAATTTTACCAAACTTTATGGAAAAAATTATACTAATTCTCTACAGTCTCTTTTAGAAGATAGAAGCAAAAGGAATACTCCATTACTCATTCTATTAGACCAGCATTATCCTAATATTGAAAGACATTATAAGAAAGAAAGTGGGCAAACCAATATATCTGTAATGAACATACACAAATTTCTTAACACAATATTAGCAAATTAAGTACAACCATGTGTAAAAAGATTTATACATCAAGACCAAGTGGAATTTGTCTCAGGTATGCAAGGCTGGTTTAGCATTTGAAAATCAATTAATGTAATCTATGATATCAACAAGCTAAATAGAAAATATCATATATTCACATCAATAGATGCAAAACAATATTGAACAAAATCTAACACTCATTCTGATAAAAAGTCCTCAGTCAACTAGGAATATAGGGGAACTTCCTTAACTTTATAAAGAACATCTACCAAAAACCCACAGCTAACATCAATAATATTGAGAAACTCTAACTTTCCCACTAAGATCCAGAACAAGGCAATAATGTTCTTTCTCTCCACTTTTTTTTCAACATTGTACTGTAAGTTCTCATTAATGAATAAGACAAGAAATGGAAACAAAGTGTATACTGTGAAAGAAGAAATAAAACTGTCTTTGTTCCCAGATGACTTGATCTTTAAGTTGTCAACTATATGACATTCTAATGATTTCAACTATATGACATTCTGGAAAAGGCAAAACTATGGAGACAGTAAAAAGATCAGTGGTTTTCAAGGGTTAGGGGAGAGAGAGTGCTGAATAGGTGGAGTATAGAGAATTTTGAGGGCAGTGAAACTACTCTGTATGATACTACAATGGTGGATATATATCATTATACATTTGTCCAAACCCATAGAATGCACACTAAGAGAAAATTCTAATGTATACTATGGACTTTGGGTGATAGGATTATGTCATTGTAGGTTCATTATCTCAGTCTGTTTGGACTGTCACAACAAAATACCCTAGACTAGATAATTTATAAATGGAAATTCATTGCTCACAGTTTCAGAGGCTGGAAAGTTGAAGAATAAGGCACCAGCAGGTTCATTGTTGGGTGAGGGCCTGTTCCTCATAGATGGCACCTTATATGTGTTCTCACACAGTGGAAGGGACAACAGACTGCCTGATGCCTCTTTTATGAAGGCCCTAATCCCATTCATGAGGGTGCAGCTCTAATGACCAAATCACCTTTATAACAGGCATAGCCTTTCCTCCAGTTTCCAATAACTTGTTAGTTATTTCCATCTGAGACCTCATCAGAAAGGCCTTTAGCATCCATGTTTCTACCAACATTCTGATTATGATCACAAGTAGTCTCTAAGATGATTTAGGCTTTCTGTGTATCTCTCCTCTTTTCCTGAGCCCTGACCAAAATCACTCTTAATGCTCTGTTTATGGCCATGTAGACTTTTTTTCTAACATGCACCTCAAAATTTTTCCAGATTGTACCCATTACCCAATTTCAAAGCTGCTTCCACATTTTTAGATATTTGTTATAGCAACATCCCTCTTCTTGGTACGAATTTCTGTCTTTGTCCATTAGGGCTTTTATAACAAAATACCTTAGACTGGGTAATCTATAAACAACAAACATGTATTGCTCACAGTTCTGGTCCCAGAGCACCGTCCTTAACCTCTTGAACCTGTTTCCTCAACGGTGAAATAAGCCTGACGCTACCTGTCTCATAAGTGGGTATTAAATGGGGCGTGAGACTAACCATGTGCTGGCACGTAGGACGTGCTCTATAAATAAGAATGTTGTTGGTATTATTAGTGAGTCCTATTCCTTCCCGTATTTAACACTTGTTTGCCACGCGCCTCTTCACTGTTGGGAATTCTGCGTGGTGAGGTGCATACCACGGTGATCTTCTGAGACCTGGCTCCTGCCTTCAGGGAGAGGACAGGTCTGTAAACAAGGCCCCCTCAGTCCTTTAACAATCGAGGCGCTAGCAGTGTCCCTGTCCCTGAATTACAGAGAGGAAACAGGCTTATAGAGGGCGCAGCGCCCACCCAGGGCCACAGAGCGGGTGGGAGAATCCCTGAACCCTAGCTGTCCTCCGGCCCAGGGAGGGCTGACGCTGGGCTGGGGGGTGGGGGCTGCGCTGCCTCCTCTCCTCTGCGCTCACCTGGGCGGCGGACAGGGTCGAGTGCCCTAAAGTCCCCCTGGCACGCCCGGGTGCGCGTCCCTCCTCGACGCCCTGCGCCCACCCAGGCCCGGGGGCACGAGGCGGCCTCCAGCTTCCCCGCGGGTCCGGGGCGGGCACAGCGGGTCGGGGGCGGCCTGGCTGGGCTGGCAGAGCACGTCTCGGCGGCAAAAGAGGCGCCGGGCATGCTCTCGGATGAACTTGGCAGATTTAGACACTCAGCCCTAATTGCGGCGAGCTCGGGCCGCTGCACCCGCGCGGGGCAGATGTGCCTCGGCGCTGCCCGGCCCAATTGCTCCCATTTATCCCGGCCTCGCCCGCCCAGTTGGGAGCGCGCGGCCGGCTCGGGCCGCCAGGAAAAGCCTCTGCCATCAATCAGAGGCGGCGGGGCGGCCGCGATCGATGGCGGCCCCCGCACTGAGGCCCCCGCCTCCCGATCAATCGGCCGCCTGCCGTGTTCCACCGCGGCCTGCGGACGCCGCGCTGGGAGAGACGGGTCGATGCGTCTCGGGGCGCCGGGGCACGCGGGGACGGCGGCCTTCGCGGGGCTCTGCCCTCACCCTGGCATCGTCCTGCCGGGCCCGGGTGATGCTGGCCCGTCCAGCAGAGGCTCCCAAGGCAGCCTCAGCCGGGCTCTGGGGGACTCCCTGGGACGGCGGGGTGCGGCCCAGAGGACAGCTCTACGCCGAGGTGATGGAGGTGATGGTAGTGCTGGGGCCGGGAAGAGCTCCGACCTCAAGGAGAACTGCCCTCGAGGTTTCTCTTCTCTTCTCATCCGCATCTGACCTCATCGCTTCTGCCCACTGCGCCCTCCCTCTCCTTTCCTTCCCCTCTCAGTTCCCCTCTTGGCCCTCTTCCTGTCTTCACAATCTCCTCTCTTTCTCCCCGCCTTCACTCCGCCTTTACTCTCCTCTTCCTTTTCTCTCCCCGTCTCTCCATTCCCTCTTCCCGGCCTGCCCGCCCCTTCCTGCCTTCCTTCTCCTTTCTGTTTACTTGAACTCCCTTCCACAACTCTTAGAGCACCACCCTCCCGCCCTTCGCTCCCCAGGTTCGGGCTTGCAGGCTCTCCTCCTGCAGATATAGTCTGAGTTTTACCCAGCCCCATCCTTCTTGCCCCGCCTCCCTGCCGCCTTGTTCTAATGCTGCCATATTGTATCCTAATACTGTGGCCAGCCTCCCAGGCAGAGGTGCTGGTCCCAGACACCGAGTAATTGCTTACTAGAGGGTGGGAAGACTCTCTCAACCCTTCAAATAGCATCAGGATAATGTCAGCAGAATTAACTCAAGCTAATTACCCCTTGGTTCACTATCAATGTTTTCATTTGAGCTCGTATTGAATGAGTCTTTGTTAGAGAAAATCAGCAACATTGTGTCTGCAAGGCAGCCAGAAAAATTCAAAGAACTCAAAGATGAGGAGAGGGCTTTTTTGTTTACATCACAAAAACCTTTGATAAATCACCCTCATGGCTGTCTACTCTGCTCCCTTCCAACCCCAATTCTCTTTCTTCATAAGCTCATTAAAAGCATGGCTTCTTCAAAAATTTAAGACGGGTGCAAGAACAGCTACTCACACAGGGCCCACTGGAGAAGCCAAACCCAGCTCTAGGCATTATCCCCTTCCAAAGTGCTGTGTCTGCTCTCATCAGAGAAAGGACGCCTGCTACAATGGAGGTTTTCTACTAGCTATTAATTCAGGATGCTCAAATCCCCATTTCCTAATATGTCCCCGTTTAAAGCCTTAAAACACTTCACTAAAGCTGCCTCTCTTACTCTTGGATTCTGAGTACCTTCAGGCTGTTTCTGTCTTAGACCAATCTGTTCCATTTTCTGCAACCCTTCAGCTTTCGGATAGCAAGGAAGGATGCTCCGGAGTAACCTGCAGGGCCTCAACTGTGTTCAGCCCAAATGTGCCTGGCTGCTTCCTCATCCTGCCCTGGGGTATTTCTGTGTTGAAAAAAATTAGTGAAAAACCAGAACCACAACATTAGCTGTTAAAACCACAGTTGAAAAATAAGAACCACAAAGGTTCACCACTTTCTTCCTCACCATCCAGTTCATCCCCTATTTTTAGTGCCTTTTGGACTTCAGGGATTTTACTATGTGTGTGTGTGTTACTAGGAGCAAGAGGGGCATTTGGCCTTTGCCTCACGTTTACAAACAGGCCTCAAAATTAGACTTTTGATGTAGTCTCCTAATAAGATTAGAATACACACACTAGCCCTGCTGTAAATTCCCAAGACAACTTGGTGTGACTACAGAAAGGCCCTCCTTCTGCAAGACACTTTGCTGCCAATGGCCGGAAAATTGTCATGAAAACCAGACAAATCTGCAATGGCTAGCAGAAGAAGGATGGCCCTGGAGGCCTCGCTCACAGTCAGAGAGACCTCACTGACAGAACTGAGAAATGATGGCCCTCCCTCAGGTGTAAACGTACATGTCATTAATGGAGCACACAGCTTACAGTGCTCTGTGAATTCATGTTTCAGATCAGCTCTGCATTTACTTTGCGATTAGCATTGTTATGTTGTATTGGGTTCTTTATGTGAAAATGTTTGTTGAAAGTATACTTTAAGAATATCTCATAATTTTTGTAGCCATCTTTTGACACATTTATTTTAATACATCTGAACTCTCAAAAAGTGAATTTAACTTGATCTTTTCTTGCTTTTCAGGGTTCCTGGGAGCCATTCCTTATTTTGGGGAAGCCCAGCTTCTACCCTTCTCCAGAATTTTCTTGGAGAACCATTTCTTCCCAGCTCTCAGTCCATGAAGTTGTGGCCTACTACAACTTCAAAGTGGCCTGGACCTTGTTGACCAATCAGACCATCAGATTCCCCTGTGGATAGGCATATGACCAAATTTTCCCAGTGAGACTGAATTTCAGAACTTTGTTTTAGGTTGCTATGGAAGAAAAGAGCTTTTCTGCTGCAATTGCTAAGGACTGGGTTCCTGGCAGCATTTTAACCATGAAGTGAAAGTCAGCCTGAGAGTGCATCCAACACAGAGCAGCAGGAGCTGGAGTGGGAGAGGGACCTGTCACCCACATTCCACTGTGGGTTTTAGCCTGGGCCTTAAGCCAGGGGGAATTGTCCTCCTGTCCCAAATGACAGTGCTGGAAGGGGTTTTAAAGGTCTAAGTCCAGTAGTCTCATTTTACAGATGAGAAAATCAAGGCTTAGAGAGCAGGAAGCTAGAAAGTGTTAGAGCCAGCCTGAGAATCCAGAACTCCCTGTTCTCGTGGTATAGGAAGCCCAGCCTGATGTCCGTGATAAAGCAAAAGGGGCTCAGAAAGAGCAGACTGTGGTAAAACAACTGAAATTCAGACTTTTAATGAAATTAAGCTCACCAAACAGTTTTTGGAGCAGTTTCTAAGTTCATACGGATATATAATAGGTTTTTATTGAAGGCTAAATATGTTGTGCTAGGCACTGTGCTAGGGAATTGTGGGTACAGTGGCATGCAAAAAACAGACTCGGGTATGGGAGCTCATGGGCTGCTAAAAAAAGGCTGTGCAGGTTGTGCACTGCCTCACTCTAGGGGGATCAATAGATCCTGAAGTGAAAGGTACACTCTAGCATTGTGCAGTGCACACAAACATGGCGGTTCTGGGGGCTCAATACATTGCTATTCCTGAACCTGGAACATGGCCCTGAGTATGCGAATGCAGAAGAAAATGAGACAGTGCTCGTGCGCTGCAGAAGTTTGCTCTATCACATGGGCATCTTCTTATATAGTCCACTTGCGGGGACAGCCCTTTCTGAGGCCTAATTCCTTGATTAAAAACAATGAGAAGGGTCCAGGGGCGCATGAGGAGAAGCTCGCTCATGTCCTGCTTAATGCCAAGCTTTCTTAATAATTTTCAGTGATTGGGAAGAGGGGAATGGTGACTGGCGAAACCAGAGGGGAACTGATGGGAGAGAAATGCTGCGGCCAATTAGCTGAAATGTTACAGTCAGTGCATCCCCAGCTTGATGGGCTCATTAAGCCACAGAGCTTCCTGACAGGTTTTGGTTCTAGTTAAGAGCAAGATGTGGACCCTCTGCCTTGCATATGTGGCTCATCAAGTGCTCCTGAGTGTGCGGGTCTGCCTGTTTCTCTTAGCTCCCCTGGTGTCTTTCCCATTTATCCCCTTTGTGGGTCTGTGGCTTGTGTGATTCCACCCTGAAGTCTTCCCCAAATGCCAAATGATTTCCCTGCATGCACAGATTATATTTTCCCTTTGAAAGTTTAATCTGAATCCTCAATGTTCAGTTGCCAAAGGCTGTGAACTAATTTCTCTTGTCATTGCCACTTGGTGGAAATGTCATCATTAGTGAGGCAGGAAACGCTAAAGAAGGGAGAGGAGGGGAGAAGAGGATGGGCAGGAGGGTCTCCAACCCTCCCAGCGATGCCTAAATGCCACAGCATTAGAGAGATCCCGTGCCTGGTGAGGGGAGTTGCCCATGCGACGAACCCAGGGGTAGGCTGCACCAAGGGGGCACACTCTGGGGGCCTGACGGCTTGGCTGTGCTCCCTGGGTGGAGTGGAGCTCATTTGGTCAGCGTGCCCCGGGGACAGGCAGCCAGAGTCCTGTGTGACCTCTGTAATGAGAAACATTCCTGAACAGTGGTTCTGACTTTTGCAAAATCACAGTTCACTCTGTGACCTGGTGTGCCTTATATAAAGGTCCTTGCAAGAATGACTCCTTGTAACTGAGCTGGGGAGACTTTGCAGACAAATTGCCTGCCGCTTGTTACTGGTCAGTTAACTCAGCCAGTTGCCAGGATCTACTAAAGCTAAGTTCCACTCTCAAACCTGCTACCTGTTCTGTGATGCCTGCTTATGTCTATTTATTTTATTCCCTTTAAATTGTTTCTGCATTTCTACCTTACATTTTATGTGATTTTTTTGGTTTAAAAATGTATTCTTGCCGCTGTGGATAGTGCTGCAACAAACATGCATGTGCATGTGTCTTTATGATAGAACAATCAACATAAATGCTCATCAATGGTAAACTGGATAAAGAAAATGTGGTACATATACACCATGGAATACTGTACAGCCATAAAAAAGAAAGATATCATGTCCTTTGCAGGGACAAGATGGAGCTGGAGGCTACTATCCTTAGCAAACTAATGTAGAAACGGAAAACCAAATACTGCATGTTCTCAGTTATAAGCAGGAGCTAAATGATAAGAACACATGTTCCCCATAAAGGGGAACAACACACATTGGAGCCTATTGGGGAGTGGAGGGTGGGATGAGGGAGAAGATCAGGAAAAATAACTAATGGGTACTAGGCTTAATACCTGGGTGATGAAATAATTTGTACAATAAACCCTCATGACATAAGTTTACCTATAGAACAAACCTGCACATGTACCCCTGAACCTAAAATAAAAGTAAATAAAACAGAAAAAATGTATTTTTAAAGATTATGAGATAATTTAATTTAAAAACACTGGAAACATAACAGATACCAATTTACTCTACCTACATCTATCCCTGAAACACACACAGATCAGGTTTGTGTGAAATTTCATAGATTACCTCATATTCACTTTGGGAGTGAACAAGTTACAAACCAAAAAAGAACAAATACTGACTCAGTGCCTACAGAATGTGCCAAGAAATGTGCTAGACACTTTCATAATTATTCTTCCCATTTAATGCTCATAAACAGCCCTATGGGACAGGCACCAGGGTCCCCATTTTTCAGATGCCAGTCAGCAGTGGTCAAAGATTTGCCTCAGGGTTTGTAGTTTAGTAAATGGCTAAACAGGGATTTAACCTAAGACTGACTTTTGGTGTATTCTATGTTTTCTTTTTTTCCCTCCAAATTTCCTGTTAGTGAATTATAATCAGAGTTTGATTAACCATAGTGTTTACTGCCTGAGATGTGGGTAACTCTTTCCCACTCTGGGCCTCAGTCTTCTTATCTGTGCAATGGGTATAATGTTCTGGGCTCTGACTCCCTTGTCAGTTATTGTTAGGACAAAACTGGGCAGCACCTAAGGAAGTGGTAACAAAGCAGTGTTAAGCAGTCTGAGGAAAATTAAGGAGTCATTTAGAGTGTTCCCAACATCCTCCTAATAGCCCAGGGCCTGGTAGTCATTGTAGTCAGGACCTGAGCAAGAGCCTAAGCAGGGGTCTGGAAATCCAAGTCAAGAGCTGAGGAAGGGGTTGTGGGTGGGTTGAAGCTTCCTGCTCTAGAGCCTGGATCCTCTCATCCACAGCATCAGAATTGGTGATTTTGCTTTCAAAACTCAATTCTTTGCTTCCCATAGGAACAGAAATTATATTTCTGCAGCAAAATCTGCCTTCAGAGCTTTCAAAGCAGATGGGCTGCATCCCACCTTAGGCCTGTAATGGAGGTGGGGGTGAGACCCGTGGTGGCTGGTTGGCAAGCACTGCTCAGACGCTCCCCAAGACCTGGACCTTGTCATGGGCCAGGAGGGAAGGTGGGCTCCTGGAGGATGGGTTCAACCCTCCGTGCCTGGCCTGCTGCCTTCGGGTCAGGGCGGCAATCAACTCTAGTTGAACAAGTAGAGTGGAAGTCAGGGTTCTAGGGACTGGTGGGGCCAATGCTGACCTGGCAAGATGCCAGAAATGTATTTTTATAAATTACCGTGGCCTTTGCTTCTATCTGCTGCGCTCAGCATCTTCTAAGGTGTTCAGGGCTCCCAATAAGCCAGGACTTTTCACTTGGCAGGAAAGTCCCTTCCACTCCCAGCCAGCCTGCAGAGCCTGGGGATCCATCTCCCCATGTTGAATGCAGTGCCCAAGGTCACCACACTGGCACTGGTCCTTAAACCCAGGCATACATGATGCCTTCCCTCAGCTCTTTGCTTCTTTGCCTCCAGAGCATTCACCCCAAATACTCACCCTCCAAAAATGGAGCAAAAGCAAAAACTGAAATGGCCATGCATTTGAAATTCCCCAAGATGTCAGCGTTCTTTCACCTTGGCACAGACCTGCCTCAAATTCCCATAACTCTCAGCTCAAGCCTAAGTGAAGTCCCTGGACCCTTGTGCTCACCCAGATGATGTGCCCGGAGCACCCTCTGTGGGGTGAGTTGTTGCCTTATTGCTAAGAGACAGAATTGCGGCCTTCAAGGAGCCCAGTTTCATGGATTCCAAGGGAGTCAGGAGTAAGGGGCATAGTCTTTGGCGCTAACTCTGTGAAGGAGGAAAGGTCGAGAGGCAGGAAAGTAGGATGACATCCTCTTTCTTTTTCTTTTGTGTCAACTTTATAAAGAACTTTCCCCCTCATTACCTCATTCAACTCTCTCAATAGCCTTGTGAGTAATCAGGGAGGATGTGTCCCCATTTTAGCAAACTGCAGCTCAGACAGTCCAAGTGACCTTTCCAAGGTGACAGATCCGCTGAGAATCGAAGCCAAGGCCCAAATGTATTTGTCTGGCTCCAAGTTCAACCAGTGCCTGCTTCCAAGAATCAGTACTTCCTCTGGATGTTTGGGAGCTGTTTGGAGGGCAAGGACAAGCGTAGTCTGGGAAGGCTTCTTGAAGGAGGTGGGCTTAGGCTGGATCCCCGACAAAGGAGAGAATCTGGCCAAGCAGAGGGTAGATGACCCTCTCAAGGTTGCTCCCTGCCCATGATCTCCCTGATTTTGCAGGATCCAGATGCCATTCTCACCCCACTCTTCACCTCTCTCACCAGGGACCAGAGGCTTGAAATTAAAAAGTTGTCATTTGCTGGAACAAGGCAGCTTCGGGCCCTGAGGCTGGGCCTATGAGGCCCACACTTGAAGGTGCCTGTTCACAGCCTGCCTGGGCTGCGGGAATGGAGGAGTCATTACCATCTGTCTGCTGAGCCAGATCAGTAGGGGGGAGGACACCGTGCTTGGCTGCGGTCCTGCCACCCAGGATGGGGCTGGAAGTTGTACCTAGGGCTGTCTTGAACCCTGATTCCACTTTCTGATAGTTTCCTCCAGCTGCTCCCTGACCCACATTCCAGCCTGGGCCTGCGCCTGGGGGGAGTCAGCGAGTCTGTAGAAAGGAAGGGGAGGAAGGCATGGATGAAATAAAAATAAAAATAGACATTTTTAGTTATATAAGAAATTTCCTTAGATTTTTGCCTCGTTGTTCATGTGATGATGATTTCTTGAGTGTCTACCCTGGGCCAGGGACAGTATCTATGCTAAGGGTGCAGAGATGAGTCAGACGCCATCTTTTCCTTTGTAGGAAACTGGGTCTGATGTGTGACTGTGTGATGGGGATTTGATTTAACTTGTTCCTTGTTTGCTGCTCATGTCCCACAACTAAAGAAGGGCCTGGTTTTAGATCTAGGAAGCCAAATAGGAACTGTGGGCAGAGCAAGAGGCACCAACTCAAATGCTTGCAAGGTCCAGGCAGGAAATACCAGTGAGTGAGGCCAGGTGGGGAGTGCAGAAAGCTGGGGACTGCAAGTCCCACCCAAGAGGAGGCGTCCACCCCTCAGTTTGAGTCTCCTGATTCTGTGGAAGAAAGGGACCCAGTATTGCACATCTACTGATTTTTCAACAGAAGCTGGAAATCTGGATTTTAAAACATGCAAATCTCTTAATCGGTTGGCAACTAGTTCAAATAAATATTTTAAAAACCTGGTTTTGGGACACGTGCACACGTACATGAATATGCATATCGGATTTGGCAGTTGGGCCATGAGTCTTGGCTTGGCCATCTCTGTGGAAGAGTCTGGAGGATGAAGGAAAGAGAGAGGAAATGTGATCATAGGTGCTAAGTTGATTTATAAAATAAAAAGCTGAGAATGAGAAAGTTGGACAGAGAGAAAGAAAAACATTTTATATTGGGACTGGAGAGGAAGATGTGGGATTTTGTTTGAGAGACATTCCTGGATAGTAGTCAGGTATGAGAAGTATTGGAAATGGAGGAAGGGAATATTGTAGATTGGTTTTGAGTTATGAATTCAGTCACTTTTACTATACTCAAGTAGAAGAAATAAAGATTGACATTTCTTTAAGCAATCTCTGCTTGACCCCTGTCTGAAGGTTTAAAAAATGTAAATTCTTACAAACCTGGATTAAACGGAACCACAGCTTTTATATAGGCTATAAGTATCATGCATTAGATTCAATTTCTTGACTTATTAGGAGTAATTTCTATGAATTCATTGTAATATGCTTGGTGAAGTAAAGAGAAGAAAAAAGACTAATATAGTTAGTGAGAGTGATTCTGTCAACAATTTCATCCAGCAGTCTAAAAGGCAGCATGAAATGAGAGGTATGAATCTGTGTCCTTTCAGTCAGCCTCAGCTCTTACACACCTCTCACAGTGTGGGGTTTCTACATCAAATGTAAAGTAAAGATGTGTGTGTGTATGTGTGTGTGTATGTGCATACATGTATTTTTTGTACAACAAAGATCCTAAACATAAGCCAACCATTTCATCTAATTCTTAAAGAAACAGTTATCTGTTCCAAAACAGGAGGAAAGCAGGATCTTTGAACTTATTGAGAAATATTCTATGACTTTTCACCCTTCTGAGGAATTTTTAAGGTTGATTTTGACCCTGCATGATATGCGTGATATGTAATGTGATGGTTTTTAAATCATCAAGTACTTGGACTGGAGAAAGTGGTACTTATTGTTTAAGAGTTGGGGAAAGCTTTATACAGGAGGTAAAATTTCTGTAGGACCTGAGTAAAAGTTTGTGAAACTTGGAGGCCTGGAAGTAATAATGCAGGTGTTAAATTAAATTTGGTCTAAAGCTGTCTCCAGAATACCTTGAGTCCTTATGTAGCAAACTGCCACCTCACCTGAGTATATTCTTGTAACAAATAGTTGAGTCTCAGCCAATCACAGCATCCAAGATTTAGGCAATCACAGGCTGTCGACAGATCAGAGACAATGTCCACATAAGGCAAAGGCCTCATCACACCACCCCCAAATAAGGCACATGCCAAACCTTAACCAGTCAAGCTTTTTCTGTACTTCACTTCCTTTTCTGTACTTCACTTCCTTTTTCTGTCTGTGAATACCGCCTGTCCACCTTGCTGGGTGGATCTCTCTGAACCTGTCTTGCTTCTGAGTGCTGCCTGATTCAAGAATTGTTCTTTGCTCAGATAAACTGTGCTAAATTTAATTTGTCTAAAGTTTTTCTTTCAACAAGAGAGAGACATCCAGGGAGAGAGAACAATGTGAGCAAAAGCATGAGATGCAAACTTTTAGACTTATTTGGGAAATGGTGTGTCATTTGGTGATGATAATTATGGTACACAACATGACAAGCAATTTGGACTTTTGTCCCACAAATCTTGTTCTGAAGCAATGGGAGTCAGATGGTTTTCCAAGCTGGCCTTCAGAGTCCAGCTCAAGCAAGTGGGGATGTGAACAGGATGACTTTGAGGGTTGTATTCAAGATTCTAAGCTTGCTTTCCAAGTCCTTTCTCTTCCAGGGAGTCTTCTCAATGGTTAATTCCAAGAGGTAGTTTTCCTGTCTATATGCTGCTGGTATTTCCAGTGTGACCCACTCACGTAGAACCTATCATACACTTTTTCCATTTATTTACTCATTTATTCATTCAGCAAATATTTATTCTGTACTTTCTCCATGATGCACAATGTTAGGTTTTGTGGATAAAGAAGATGAACAAGATGGACATAACCCCTACTCTCATGAATCTTATGGTAGAGGAGGGGAGGCAACATTACACAAATACTGATTTAGGGACAAATGTGATCAGAGCCTGGAATGAGGCTTATAGGCATTATGAGAGCCTGTATATGAGAGTGACTTATGGGTATTATGAGAGCATGACCTGATGGTTTCTGGGTGGTGGAGGAACAAAGAAGACTTTCCTATGATGTGTTTTTTTTTTTTTTGTCTCAGCTGAGAATAAAAGATAAGAGTTAGGAGTAGGAGTAGCAAGAGTGCTCCGAGTAGAGAGAATAGTATGGACCAAGACTTGGGATTGGAAGAGCTTATATGAGGAACTGAAGAAAGGGTAGCATAGCTGAGATGTGGTGAGAGATGAGGGGAGAGGTGAAGGTTAGACTGCAGAAGCAGGCTGAGGGTAGACTGTAGAGATCTGGTAGATCATTGGAAAGATTGTGGGATTTATCTCTGGGGCTATGGGGAGTCACAGATAAATGTTCACATGATACTGTTTGCATTTTACAAAGGCTAGTTGGAGTGAGGAAACTGGATAGGAGGGGCAAGACAACAGTGGGTGTTTAGGAGGCCATTACAGGGGGCCAGGCTGAAGTGAGTGTAATTTGAATTAGGTGTGGCAATGGAGATAGACAGAAGTAGATACATTTCAGAAATATGTATTTGATTAGCTATAGCAGATGAGGGAGAGGGGGATCTTAAAGGACTTCTGGCTTGTGTGTATATACTGCACTCTACCAGTTGTTCACCAACCTCTGTGGCTCCCTTGTCTATAGAATAATTGATTTGATGTATTATAAATACTTAATTTTTTTTAATAACTGCTTTACTGAGATATAACTCATATACCATACAATTCACCCACTTTAAGTATACATTCAATGGTTTTTAGTACATTTCCAGAGTTGTGAATCATTACCACAATCAATTTTAGAACATTTTTATCACCCCAAAAGAAATCTAGTACCTATTAGCAGTCACTACCCATTTCTCCCCTGCTTTCCACAGGCCTAGGCAACCATCCACCTGTTTTCTATCTCTGGATTTGCCTACTCTGTACATTTTCTATAAATGGAATCATACATTATGTGACTTTCTGTTTCTGGCTTCTTTTACTTAGCATGTTTTTGAGGTTCATCTATGTTGTAGCATGTATCAATATTTTATTTTTTTATCACCAAATAGTTTCTCATTGTATGGATAAGGATACATTTTATTTTTTTTCATTTACCAGTTGAGGGGCATTTGAGTTGTTTCTACTTTGTGTCTGTTAAAAATAATGCTGCTGTGAACGTTCGTGTACAAATGTCTGTGTGACCATATGTGTTCATCGCTCTTGAGCAGGAGTGGAATTGCTGGGCCAGATGGTAACTGTATGCTTATGCTTTTGAGGAACTAACTGTTCTCCAAAATGGTTGCACCATTTCATATCTCTACCAGTGGTGTATGAGCATTTCGATTTCTTTACATCCTCACTAAGACTTGTTATTTTTGTCTTTTCGATTACAGCCATTCTAGCTGGTATGAAGTGGTACCTCCTTGCAGTTTTGATTTGCTTTTCCCTTATAGTTAATGTTGGGCATATTTTCATGTGCTTATTGGCAATTTGCATCTTTTCTTTGGAGGAAATGTTTATTCAGTTTCTTTGCACATTTTTAATTGGGTTGTCTTTTTTT
This sequence comes from Homo sapiens, assembly GCF_000001405.40. Classification (NCBI taxonomy): domain Eukaryota; kingdom Metazoa; phylum Chordata; class Mammalia; order Primates; family Hominidae; genus Homo; species Homo sapiens. The sequence goes on from NC_000016.10 coordinate 48,822,950, forward strand.
TCTTAAGTTGTAATAGTTCTTGATATATTCCAGGTACAAGTCCTTTATCAGATATATGATTTGCAAATGTCTTCTTTTTGTGGTTTGTCCTCCATTTTCTTGATTGTGATATCCTAAAGGACAAAAGCTTTTAATTTTAAAGAAGTCCAATTTATCTATTTTGTTGTTGTTGCTCATGCTTTTGTTGTTACAGCTAAAAAACCATTGCCTCATCCAAAGTCATTAAGATTTATGTTTATGCTTTATTCTAAGAGTTTTATAATTTTAGCTTTTACATTTAGTTCCTTGATCTACTTGGGGTCTGTTTTTGCATATGGTGTGATGTAGGGGATTGGTCTCATTCTTTTGCATATGAATATCCAGTTGTCCCAGCACCATTTCTTGAAGATATTACTCTTTCCTCATTGAATTGTTTTGGCACCCTTGTCAAAATCAATTGTCCATAGATGTGTGGGTTTATTTCTGGAGTCTCAATTCCATTAGTCTATATGTATATCCTTATGTCAGAATCACATTATTTTGATCACTATAGCTTTATAGTAAATTTTAACATCAAAAAGTGTGAGTTCTTCAACTTTGTTCTTTTTTTCCAAGATTGTTATGGTGATTTGGGGTCCCTTATAATTCCAAACTAATTTGAGGATTAGCTTATCCATGTCTCATAAAAAGGTCCTTGGGATTTTAATAGAGAGTGCATTGATTCATTTTGCAGATCCCCTTGGGTAATATTGACATACTAACAATATTAAGTCTTTTGATCCATAAGCATAAGATGTTTTGCCAATTATTTAGGTCTTGTTCAATTTCTTTCTGCAATGTTTTGTAGTCTTGGGCTTCTTTTATTACATTTATTCCAAAGTATTCTATTTTTAATGCTATTGTAAATGAAATTATTGCTTAATTTTATGTTCAGATTGTTCATTCAAGTGCAGAGAAATACAATTGACTTTTTTATATTGATCTTGTATCCTGCAAACTTGAACTCATTATTAATTCTAAAAGATTTTTAGGTGATTCCTTGGGATTTTTGTATATGCAAGATCATGTCATCTCAAGATAGAGATAGGTTTACTTATTCCTTTCCAGTTGAATGCCTTTTATTCCATTTTCTTACCGAATTGTCCTGCCCAGGGTATTGCTGAAGAGAAGTGGTAAGAGTGGACATCCTTGTCTTACCCCTGGTAATGAATATTTTTTGAAGGAAACTGCATTTTGATATTGTTTCTTGAAAAACTCTTAAATGAAGAAAAACAAACAAAACTCTCAATAAAACAAAAAAACTATAGATGACAATTTGTAGCCATACACATTCTACTCTAGAAGGTTTGTGCATCTTGAGAGCTCTCCGTTATGGTGCCTCAGTGTTTACTGAGGATGGAGAATGCCTTCTCCTGAAACAACAGAAACTGTTATGCATGACAGATTCCCCTTCAAGGAAGGACTTGTCCAGCTCTGGGAATGCAATGAGCAGATGGCCTCCAGCTGTCAGCCCCTTTAGGGATTATCTCAGCAGCAGAGAGCTGCCTTGCCTAAGGTCATCCCTCTCCCTAGGTGGCCCACATCCAATGACTAATGTGATGTGGAAATATAAAGATATGATCATCTCGGCCTAACTCAGGACAAATCTGAAGGGTCATTCCAGCTGTGGGCTTAGTCAAAGCTGATGTTTGGCCTACATTGCAGCTAGAATTTTTCCTCTGCCCACTGCTGCTTTTCAATCACCCCTTCCACTGGTGTTGATCCCACCATGCTCCATATCAAACTCCACCTCAGAGTTGGCTTTCAAGGAATCCCCCCAGAAGCACTCATGCCTACCTGTTTGTATGTTGATGGGACCTGGAACTTATCAAATACTTACAGAGAGGGGCAGCATAAAAATAACATCCCTTGGGAGATTTAAATGGTTTCTTCTTTTCCATATGTAAGCCCTGGATCATTTCTCTTTTGGGAACTAGTAATGACATTTTATACATTTCTGGACTGATTTTATACATTTTATACATCCATGGGGTGTTTTCCAATCAGTTCTTGAAAGCTGGATGTGTGAGCTTTCCCAGGATGCTGACTAAGGAATGATTATCCCAGGATGGTGGATCCTAGCTTATGTGGGGTTCCAATGCTAATTTTTTCATGGTCAACTTTTTTTTTTTTTTGACACTGGATATAGTAGGCTGAAAAACAGCCAACCAAAAGTATCAGAATCCAATCCCTGGGACCTGTGCATGTTACCTTAAAAGGAAAAGAGTCTTTGAAAATGTGGTTAAGGGTCTTCACATGCGGATATACTGGTGGACCCTAAACCCAATTACAAGTTTTCTTATGTGACACACACAGAAGAGAAGACGATGCAACTTTGGAGGCAGAGATTGGAACAATGTGGCCACAACTCAAGGAATGCCAGCAGCTGCCAGAAGCTGGAAGAGGTGAGAAATAAATTCTTCCCCAGAGAGTCTGGGGGAGATGTGGGCTGGCCAACACCTTGATTTTGGCTCAGGAAAACCGATTTTGGACTTCTGGTCTCCAGAGTTGTGACAGAATGAGCTTTGGCTGGACTCAGGCCACCATGTTTGTGATAATTTTTCCCAGCAGCCTCCGGAGACAAATACACTGGGTTTTACCTGTGCTTTCCACTCTGAGGGGGTCTCTATGCTCCTGACCAATATTGAGGACAAGGAGAGCAACGTAATGTATGTAAATATCCTATATAGGAGAAAGAACCCCTCCATTTCCTGGTCCAAGGTCCTTCCAGGAAACTATGCTAAAGGGAAGAAGATATTGATGTGCATCTTCTTGATTTATTGGTGCATGTTGCGACTCAATTCATGGGGAAAACAACAGATCTGGAGGCTCTGCAGGATGCAAGCTCATTTAAACTCTTTTATGCATAACCTAAAGGTTTCTCCTTATGACCAAAATTTGACTTCACCAAGACAAAGTGAACTAGACTGTGGGGTTTCTTCATTTATATGTAGTTTGTCTCATTGTTCTATCATTATCATAAACTGGGGAACTTGTTTGAAGGAAACTGTGAGTAATGTAAGAATGGCTTAGATTTATATAATATGAACTTTCTTGGTCAAATCCAACTGTGATCTTGGGATCTTGAGTTCCCTTATTGTGGGTGTCAGAATATAAACATTAGACATTTCCCACTTTCTTATGTCTAGTTTTAACCCCAAGATTTTGGTGGTCTGTACTGTTTTCCCTCCATTTACTAACTCAACTGATTTTATTTCTATTAGTCTTCATACTGTTCTTTACTCTGATACAATAGATTCTCCATGGATCAATACTGTCAACCCAACACTTTTCATCAAAGACAGTAAAAGTTTTCTTAACAAATCCACAGATGATACAGAGCTGTAAGGCAGAGCTTTCCAATTCAAGTATGGGGTGACAGAGTCAAGATTTATAAAGATTTATCAAGGTTTGGAAATATATATCCAAACCAGCATATTGAAACAAACAGAAATATAGAATCATATGTTCATTTCAAAATAATCAATTTTACATGTACAGGAAGGATGAGACTTTTCATCTTCCAAATCGAAGCCATTTACATGAGAAAGACCTGGAGGACTGAGTTGACATAGGTTCCATATGAGCCAACTGTGTGACGAGTCTGATAGAAAGTCTGATACACAGCCATAGGCGGCATTAGTAGGAGTATGGTGACTAGATTAAGGGAGGCCATTGTATGTGTTCTGGACTGGCCATGTTGTATATGTGTTCTCTTCTTGTGTAGGATGGGTAGATTATTAAGGGGAGAGTCCAAAGGAAGAAGACCATAAAGGGCTTGAAACATGAAGAACAGCTAAGGAAACTGGGATAGTTGTCCTGGAAGATAACAGACCAAGGGCAGAAAAATCACTGTCTTCAAATTCCTGCAGGATCATTGTGTGGATGAAATACAGCTCAGGGCAGCCCCAGGACCATAGCTGGGCAGATCTCCGCTCACATGAACAAGCAAACTCAGAGCTGTCCAACAAAAGGAGTGTCTGAGCTACCTAGAGTTTCTATCTTTGTGCGGAAGGAGGATGAACATCTGTCAGGAATGCTCTGGAAAAACATCCTGCATTTGGAAGGAAATTGGACCACATGAGCTCTTTCTGACTCTGACAGTCCTTAGTTCTTTGAAGTCCATCCAGTCCTCACATGAATTGTGTGAGGTAGGCATTATGGTGATATGATTTCTCTTCCAAAGAAGAGGGCTGAAATGACTTGTCTTACAGTTGCAGAGGGATGGCTGAGCCAGGAACAATACTTGGGCTCCCTCACTCCCCACCCAGGGATCTTTCCACAATACTCATGCTTGCTTGAGATGAACCATATGGAAACCCATGGAAAGGAAAATTGGTTTTTAGTTTATGCCTGCTGTGAAAGTGTTGGCCAAGAATGAGGAGTTTCTACTGGGCTGGACCCAGTAGAGAAGGTCCCAAGGATCATCTGGGAAGGAAGCTGCCACTCCACTCATTGGCTTTCTGAAATCAGGTTTGCCCTGCTGCTATCTTCCTCTGTTTTCCTAGCCATCCACACCTGCATGAACGGTGAAAACAGTGATCTATTTCTTTCATCCCTCTGAAGGATGGAACACCTGAGGGGTCAGACCAAATTGATCAGGCCTTTACTGTTTGCCCAAATCAAGTGGCATTTCCCATCCTTCTTTACGGTGAGGCAGCAGATCTAACTCAAATGCATTTTATTTGCAACCTTTTGGCTCCTGGTAAGAATCATCCCCTGCCTGGCTGCAGAAATCTCAGTGAACATGAAAGATAGATACGAGACAGTTTTACACTGCTGGTGGAAATGTAAATTAGTACAACCAGTAGGAAAAACAGTATGGAGATTCCTTAAAGAACTAAAAGTAGAACTACCATTTGATCCAGCAATCCCACTACTGGGTATCTATCCAAAGGAAAATAAGTCATTGTATGAAAAAAACACATGCACACGCATGTTTATAGCAGCATAATTTGCAATTGCAAAGATATAGAACTGACCTAAGTACCCCCCAACCAATGAATGGATAAAGGAAATGTGGTATATGTACACAATGAAATGCTACTCAGCCATAAAATGAATGAAATAATGTCTTTTGCAACAACTTGAATGGAGCCGGCGGCCATTATTCTAAGTGAAGTAACTCAGGAATGAAAAACCAAATACTGTATGTTCTCACTTATAAGTGGGAGCTAAGCTATGAGGATGCAAAGGCATATGAATGATATAATGGATTTTGGGGAGTCGGGGTGGGGAAGCTGAGAGGAGGCTGAGGGATAAAAGACTACATATTGGGTACAGTGTATACTGCTCTGGTGATGAGTGCACTCAAATCCCAGAAATCATCACTAAATAATTTATCCAGCCAGGCGAGGTGGCTCATGCCTGTAATCTCAGCACTTTGGGAGGCAGAGGTAGGTGGATTGCTTGAGCTCAGAAGTTCGAGACCAGCCCGGGCAAATGGAAAAATCCCATCTCTACAAAAAATACAAAAATTAGCCGGGCATGGTGGTGCATGCCTGTAGTCCCAGCTACTTGGGAGACTGAGGTGGGAGGATCCTTGAGCCCAGGAGGTGGAGGTTGCAGGGATCCGAGATCACACCTCTTGTACTCCAGTCTGGGTGACAGAGCAAGACTCTGCCTCAAAAAAAAAAAAAAAAGAAAAAAAAAAAGAAAAAAGAAAAAAAGAAAAAAGAACATATCCATTTACCCAAAAACCACCTGTACTCCAAACATTATTGAAATTAAAAAATATATTTTTAAAAAAGACAGGGAGATTGTTAGGAGGTGTTGGCGCTGGCTGCCTGGCATAGGGTGGGTTGGTGGGGGCAAAAAGGAAGAGGTGAATTGGAGAAATATTAAAGACTTATTGCATAGCTGGTCCCAGATAGTCTCTCAGTGACTGGAAGGACTGAGAAGTTAAGATTGCCCAAAGGAAGGATGTTGATCCCCTTTGGGCCATCCAGTGGTGGCTGTGTCCCTGACTCATATCTCTGCCTCTATGTGCCTTCAGTTTCTCTTGCAGGAATGGGCATTCTTCATGGGAAAGGCCATTTGTGACATTCTTCTGCCCAAGAACCAGCTGGCTAAGAGTTACCCTTCCTGTTGAGTGCATGCTCTTTAATCCCAGGTCTGGACAGCTCCTGCTCCCTGCAAAATGCAGAGATTGTGAGTACCCATCCAAGAGCTCCTCAGCATCCCTTTCCCTTTCATCCTCCTGTTTTTTTCCAAGCAAATATTTTGCATTTGACTTGTAGCCCAGGCAGAACCCATCCACCTCTTCCATAAGACGACTAAGGGTTGTCACCAGGTTGCAAATGAGCAGCTTCAATTGCTCAGGAAAAGATATTACAATTTTATCTCCTTGTACTGTTCAATAAAACATTAGTATCTCAGCATTTTTATTTAGCAATAGGCAACCTTAGGCCAGTAATTATGCAACAATTATAATCATAAAAACTGTCCCCTGCTGCTCACCTAGAAACACTAATATATTAAATCAAGACTAACCATCTAAAAGGCAAGCAGCAAAGCCCCCTCATTTTTAATGTCCCTGCAGTGCACCATGGGAAGCTAATAATTCACCCTCTAATTAGTATCCCTTCTGCTGCTGTTGGCACAAGGACAGACAAAGAGGGAGCGGCTTCGTTACAAACTCGCCCTGGTAATCTTTTAACGTCGGGATGCTCTGCAGGTTGGCTGAGTGGAGCGGGGCAAAACGGGGTGTGCAACTGGGGACAGACAGAAGCTCACCTTGTCCTGACTGGGCACTCTTGCCTCAGTGAGCTCTGAGCAGGCACCTGCTGGCTTATCTCAAAGCCCCTGTCTCTTGCAAGTCACTCCATATTTCTTCTTGGTCATCCTTCATTAAGCCTGGTTATTGGAAGGGATGGGAATGGCAGTAATTGTAGAAAGGGCAGAACATGAAAAAGTAACAGCTCCTGTGAATGCTGCAAAGTGCCAAAGCCTCTCCAAGTTGGAGTTGTTGACGGCAATGGCTGGCTCAAGTGGCCTGCGAGGGAGGCCGGTGGGCAGTGATGGATGGACTCCAAGGATGGCTTTCCAGAGAGCAGGGCATGGACATCTTATCACCTCCAGAGTGAACATCCTGGTGATTTACTTCACCACCACTCATTCTCTGGTACCATCCCAGAGGGTCCTGTATGCTGCCCTCAAGAGGGCTCGTGTGATCAGGTAGGGCCTCTTCTTAAGGACCACAGAGTCCATCTTGGCTGACTCTGTCATTGTGCAGGTGAAAAAGCCAAAAGCCCATGTTAGGTAACAGTCATAGGAGCTTACACACGTAAAGGTTTTCAAGGGCCCAAGTGTCAAGGGGCAATAGGGAGTGGTGGAGACCATGGTCAAGTGGCAGTCATACACATTAATCATAGGGGCAGGGCTACTCAGTTATGCTGGTTTGTGACACTCACAGAACATGGGCCTAGTATGGTTAGATCTTCTGGTTTTGTAAGAGAAACCAGCAATCTAGGTTTCTGAGGTGCAGTCTTCTGAAGTAAATGTTTGCAATTACCCAGAATTATATAAGTAGGTAAAACTACATAATCTTCTTTTTCTTTTTTCCTTTTTTTTTTTTTAGATGGAGTCTCGCTCTGTCACCAAGGCTGGAGTGCAGTGACACAATCTCAGCTCACTGCAAGCTCCGCCTCCCAGGTTCACACCATTCTCCTTCCTCAGCCTCCCGAGTAGCTGGGACTACAGGCACATGCCACTACGCCAAGCTAATTTTTTGTGTTTTTAGTAGAGATGGGGTTTCTCCATGTTGGTCAGGCTGGTCTTGAACTCCTGACCTCAGGTGATCCGCCCGCCTCAGCCTCCTAAAGTGCTGGGATTACAGGCGTGAGCCACTGTGCCCGGCCATACTACAGAATTTTTAATTAAATGCAATGCATATTTCTGAGCCAGATGTGGCCTGCATGCTTCCAGCATGGACACCTGGGTTCAGGGCCCGCATCTGTAGACACACAGCCAGATGACATGGGTTTTCCTGTGCTGAGCTCTAAATCCAATTTGAACAGTAATTGGCCTTCCTCTTGCCTGGCCTGTGTGGCCAGTCAGCCCTCACTGGACAGTTGAAACCAGGTTGGGAAGGATTCATGAAACAGCTGGGCACAATTAGGCAGCCAGGATCAAGCCTAGGTTTAAAAAGATAGGGCATTTTTCTCTCCATCACCAGCTCATTAAGCTTCCCACTTTGACAGCTGAAGCATTCCCAAGGCTGGCCACAGCCAGATTTTTTTTTTCTCCAGAGTCAACTGAGAGCACCTAAGATTTGGTAATGAGATTCTTTGTGACCTGAGATGGGAGGTCACCAGAAGGCTGAGTCATGACCTCCTGGGGTACTTGGACGGATTCTCTTAGACCTCCTCCCTCCATCCAAAGAAGTGGTCTGGACAGAGATTATAGACAGAGGAGAATTGAATTGGGAGGTCAGAAATTTTTTGCTTAAAAAACAGGGAAAGCTCCTAGGATTGTATTGGAGCAGCAGCTGCTGCCAGGGTCTTTTTGTTGTGAGCCTTTGCCACATCAGCTTCTGGCTGCTGTTCCAACTTCTACCAACAGGAGTGTCTGCGTTATCACCCGGGGTGGGAAAAGTCTAGAATAGGACCAGGAGAAATGTCAGTGAGTTAGATCAAGGTTGAGGAGAATTCAAAAGGTCCTTTCTTGAGCCCCAGCAGACCAGAGCTTTGGAATGTATTCAATGCTCTGGAATATCTTTATCTCAGCTGCAAGGGAATCACTCGTTTTCTTTTCCTGGGGACTCCCTAGCAAAAGGAGAATGGCTTTTATTTGACCCCTTTGTTGTTCTCCAGTAGCAAAAATGAAGCTAGCATTTGAGCTCCTCTCATGGTCTGGGGAGGAGTCTGTGCCTTCAGCACAGTGGAAGTAGCCCGGGCGGCTGCTGTAGTAACTGGGTGTTAAGAAAGCTGCCTGGGTGCTCTGTGGCCTATCTTTGGCAGGAAAATGAAGTGCTCTGTTCTTGGGGAATGGGCTGTTTTGTTTTGTGTTTTTTTTTTGTAGTTGTTTTTTAAGATTAAATTTAAAAAATTTACCATAGGTTTTGATTCAGGAGAACAGTAGCTATGGGTAACAAAGAAAATGTCTATCACAATCTTGAGTTCTTGTTTCAAATACCTGCTATCCAGGAGAATGAAGGGGAACTCCAAAGTAATATTTATTTACTCTGTTATTAGGGTGTCAGTTACATTTTCTCACTGAGCACTGAATGTAGATATTATCCCCATTTGCAGATGAGGCAACTCAGGCCCAGAGAGGTTAAGTAACTTGACTCGGGTCACACAGCTGACAAGGGCTAAAGTCAAGTTTCCAGTGTATGTACAGAAGACTCTAACCCAGGCCCTCACACCATCCTGGGCTGTCTTCCTGCTTTTCAGCCTGAAGTTTGGTGGTTTTCAACTCAGAGCACGTTTCTGAATTGGATTCCCTTCCCTCATCCTCAAGTTATTGGGTCATAATAAAAATATACTGGGACCCAGGTATTTATTTATTTTTTTGTAAGTCCTCACAGGTGCTCTGGCACACACCTCCAAATGAGCACCACTGGTTTATAGTAGAAGGACACAAGGTCTGGAATCTGGAGACCTGAGTTTGAGTCCTGCCTTGTATCCCTTCTCACCTCTCAGCCTCAGTTTGTCATTCTATATCAAGTTCAAAGAATGCATTACCATGAAGGTTGTCTGAAGAATCAAACGAGACTCCATACATGTAGGTACTTTGTAAACTCTGGAGTTGCTGTGCAAATGTTAGTCATTATTCTTGTACACACTAAGACTCAGGCCCAGTCTTTCCCTCCAGAATTACACGAGTTCAGGGTCACACTGGAACTGTTCATCAAAAACCCTTATTTGCAAATCTGACAACCCAGATTCTTCTTCCTGCACAGTTGTTTGTTGATGATTAAATTATTGTAAATTAGTTCTACTTGTAGTATAATAAATGTCATTAGCATGACTAATCACACACCTGATTATACAACCGAATCCTCCTCCCCCAATGTATTTTCTGCATGCTACATCCAATAAATTGTGTAAATGTAGAGCTCTTGTTAGGGCTGATGAATGGGATGTGGGGATGTCAGCTGGCCATGCTCTCTGATTCCTTCCATGATTAGAAAGATCTTTCAAGAGTGGCCGTGCATCACGGGAAAGATCCTTAGGTACCACATTTGCCCTTGTTTATTTGGCTTAGCATCCAGGCATTACTATCACTGTTGTTGTTGTTGTTGTTGTTGTTCAGTTATGACTACTGCTAGCACCTTTTTTTTTGAACTCACTATGAATCAGGTGAGCCCCTTTATGCTCATTATTTTATTCATTGATGCATAATTTTGTTTATTCCTTAAAGAAATCTTAAGAATGCTGAGGGTCAGAGAAGTTAAGTAACTTGCCCACATCATCCTCTTAGGAAGTGGTAGAGTTGGGGTTTGTGCTCATGTCTGTGTGGTTTGAAGTTTGATGCTCACACTGCCTCCCACGTGGGGAAAAAAATTAGCTAGAAGTGCTCCTGCTGGTAGATTTGGACAACAGAAGGGCTTGAGGAGAGGTGGAGATGAGTAAACCCAAGTTTTGGGGAGCTGGAAAATGTCTTCTCCCTGGCCACCTGGCTCACTGGTTGTTAGGGAGGTGGAGTAGCTAGTGACGTGGTGATGCTGTTGGCAGTGGCCATGGCCACAGCAGGTGGTGGTGATAAGAAAAGGCAGTTTCATGCTGCAGAAAAGAGGACAAGAGCTTAATGAGAAGACCTATGTTCTGGTCCCAACTCTCTCTCTTACTTTCTGCTTGCCCCTATGCTTATCACCTAACCTGTCTGGACCTCAGTTTTCTCATCACAGGGCTCTTTTGAGGATCAAATGAAATTAAGGTTGTGAAAGCAATTTGTAAGCTGTGAAGTGATTTCCATATGCAAAGAACTATTTTTAACCTTCTCTGGTAAATGAGGGTATCTGGAAGTTGTAAGTCTTAAGATCTGAAGACTTGAGTCTGCAAGTTGAGATCCATCTTTCAGCTAAGCAAGTGGGTGGGTGGAGGGTGGCCAGCAGGATGGTTCAAGTTGATGCCAATGCTAGAGAGGACCCTCACCACAAAGGCCCTTCCTATGACCTTGATCATATGAATGTTCTGTGCTTTACAGAGAAGAGGGATTCTTGAGAGAACATTTCTGTAAAGATAGTAAAAATGAACCCCCTAAATTTGCATGTCCTGTAGTTAGAGTTGTTTTTTTGCTTAGTACTACAGCATCTAGTTCTAAAGAGACAACTCAGGCCAGGCACGGTGGCTCACTCCTGTAATCCCAGCACTTTAGGAGGCTGAGGTGGGTGGATCACCTGAGGTCAGAAGTTTGAGACCAGCCTGACCAACATGGTGAAACCCCATCTCTACTAAAAATACAAAAATTAGCCAGGCGTGGTTGCATGTGCCTGTAATCCCAACTACTCAGGAGGCTGATGCAGGAAAATCGCTTGAATCTGGGAGGTGGAGGCTGCAGTGAGCCGAGATGGTGCCACTGCACTCCAGCCTGGGTGACAGAGCAAGACTCCACCTCAAAAAAACAAAAAAACAAACAAAAACAACAACAACAAAAAAAAAACCCCCAAAACTACAACAACAAAAAACTCAATCTGGCAGCTGTAGGGGGCAAGCCACACTGGGTGAAAAGCTGTCCAGTGCCTATACACTGTCCACCACCCAGGACAGGAACACAGGTACGTGCCCCAGGCATTGTGTTCTTGTCCTTGTTTTCACAATGAAAGGAAACTGTTAGTTTTGGGCTGAAGGGCAGAGGGCAGCAAATAACAAGCTGTCCATGGTAGCCACAGGTCTTCATTGTTTGACTTAGTCTGGCAGGATTAACCCCCTAAACAGGAACATGAGAAACTCTCAGTGCTGGAAGTTTCCTCAGAGTGGATCTTCACTGGTTATGACCACTGTGGGGTGTGTGTGCTGCTCCACCACCTCACCCTCTTCCCCTTTCTTCCCTGCCCTTCCTCATGACATACATCACTAATTGATAATAGCATTCTTTTCTGTTTTGCCTCAGAACCTTTCAGCTATTCCCAATAAATATCTATCTGCAGTAAACTGGAGTTGGCATGCTTAAAGAAACCCACTTGCCTCTGCTGTGGATCAAACCACTCATTTTTAAGAAAAAGGCCTCAAATCTCAGAGATGGAAGATTTGTTTAAGATTACTAGTAGAATTAGAACCAGAAGAACTCCTGACTTCATTTTACGTTCTCATAACTTGAGTCTCTTTTAAACTTGTGTCAGTTCATATCACTGAATCCAGAGTCATCTACCTATTAATAATTATTTAATAGGCCCCTTACGTGGCTACCTATGTTGTGGAAAAGGAAACATGAGAAGTGCTGGGTTGAATGTTTGTGTCACCTGCAAATACACTTGTTGAAACCTAAGACCTGATGTGATAGTATTAAGAAGTGGAGGGCTGGGAATGGTGGCTCGTGCCTGTAATCCCAGCATTTTGGGAGGCTGAGGTAGGAGAGCTGCTTGGGGCCAGGAGTTTGAGATCAGCCTAGGCAACATAGTGAGACCCTGTTTCTACAAAATTAAAAAAAAATTAGCCAGTCATGGTGGCGTGCATCTGTAATCCCAGCTACTTGGGAGACTGAGGTGAGTAGATTGTTTGAGCTCAGGAGTTTGAGGCTGCAGTGAGCTGTGATTGCACCACTGCACTCCAGTCTGGGTGACAAAGCAAGATCCTGTCCCTAATAATAATAACAATAATAATAATAATAATAATAATAATAATAATAAGAGGTGGGGCTTTTAACAGGCATTTAAGACATAAAGGCTCTGCCTTTGTGAATGAGATTAATACCCTTATAAAAGGGCTCAAGGGAACCAGCCAGGCTCTTTTTTACACTTCCATCTCTTCTACCATGTGAGGACACAGCATTCCTCCCTTTCTCCCTTTCACCATGTGAAGACACAACCAGAAAATGCCATCCTGGAAGCAGAAAGCAGCCCTCACCAGACACTGAATCTACTGGTGCCTTGATCTTAGACTTCCCAGCCTCCATAACTATGAGAAATAAATTTCCCTTATTTATAAATTACCCAGGATGTGGTATTTTGTTATAGCAGCAAAAATGGACTAAGATAGAAAGTATATTAGTCATCTACTGCTCCATAGCAAACCACTCCCCAAACATTTAAAAACCATAACCATTTATTATCTCTCACAAGTCTGTGGGTTGAGGGGCAGTTCTGCTGCTCTGGGCTCAGCTGGGCTGCTCTAAGCTGGACTTATTTATGTGTCTGTGGTCAGTTGGGGGGTCAGGTGGGAGGTGGCTCAGCTGGGACAATGTGTCTCTCCTCCACAAGCCCTCTTATCCTGCAGCAGGCTAGCTCAGGCAATGGAAGTCACCAAGAATAAAAGTGGAAGCATGCATTGCATGTGGAGGCCAAGGCTCGGAACTGGCACGATGTCACTTCTGCCATGGTCTGTTGTCCAAAGCAAGTCACGAGCAGGACTGGGATTAGGCTGAGGGAAGCAAGACACCTAGGGCACACATGTTAAGGAGGCACTCTCTTTCGGATGTTGACCTTGTGTGACCCTGCATGTGAGCAGCAAGCACCTCCTTAAAATTTTGAGCCCCAGGAGTCTTGATTGCCTCATCCTGGACCCAACCCTAGTTAAAAGTCCAGCCCAGATTTCAGGGATGAAGAAGCAGACCTCACTTCTTAATGGGAAGAACCATGAAGTCACATAGCTAAAGTTATCAGTACTAGGACGAGAAGAAGCAAGGCCCACAATGCAATCAACGAACAGAAGGGCGTTGCAAAGCCTCGGTAATCACAGCAGATCTACAGCTGCCCAGTGGAGTTCATCTGAAGTTCACATTCTTTAACATTGTGATTTTCTCCTGTCTTCTGGATAGCTAGGCATTTCAAAGAGGTCTTTGTTCCATCTCCATTTTCTCATTCCTAAACACTTTCCCCAGTGCTGCACTAGTTCAAGTTTACTGCAACACTGCCAGGCCCTTGGCACACCTGGGTGTGGTCTGACACACTCTCAAATAAAGTCAAGGGCAATGGGGTCAATGTTGGGGCCAAGAATACAAAACACAGTCTTGGATTTTAGGTCTCTGAAATAATAGGCATAATTACCAATTACTTTAACATTGATTGGCATGACACTTTTGCACAAAGTCAAAGATTATTTTTATAGTATGTGTGACCTCGATGTGTTTGCTAAATCTAGGCTATATGCTTTCTCCAGTAGGATTCTAGGAATATAAAGAATTTATGGGTTTTCAATTGAGGGGATTTTCAAAGGAGACAGGTATCTGAATGCATGTTTATATCTGGACCTAAAAATGTGAACCCTTTGGGGCCAGAGGTATTGTCAATAGAATCAGCATTTGGCTTCATGGCTATGGCAGGCAGAAGCTGTTTTCTATGTGAGGGTAGAAATCCAGCCACCAGATGCATTGCTGTCATAGCTGGATCTAAGGTAACTCTTAAGTGAAGAGCATCAGGCTGCATCAGTGGAGTGAAATTGACCAAACCACTTGCTCAAGTAATGGCATCAGCCTATGGTGAATGTCCAGGATCTGGGTCCTGCATCCAACTTTGATGCACTTGTCAAGAAGGCCTGGACTTGGCCCTTAAGTTTGCTATCTTTCTCTGCCACCCCACTGTCTGACTTCTAAGGCCTGATAAAAAGCCTGTCCAAAACGGAGCTCTGATGGTGTCACTTTCAATGGCTCTCCACTGCCCCTGTGCACCTGGCCCTGGTCCTTCTCTCCGGTCACATTTCTCTATGCTTCCTTTGTATAGAACATGCTGCAGCCACACTGAACTTGCCCATTCCTTCCCTCCACGATGCCTCTACTTGGTCTGTTTCCTCTTGCTGTGACTTCCCTCTCTACCTCTTTAAGTCCAGCTTCTATCAATGTGTTAAGGCATTGATTAGTTTCTATCTCCTCCATGAGGTCTTCCTTCATCTCTTTATAGAAAGCCTCTGGATTCCATGACACTTTGGGAGGTATTAAGAGTGTGGTTAAGGGTGAAGCCCTAGGAAGGACATGACTTAGGATCAGACACCAGTTTCATTACTGACTGGCTATATCGCCCTGGACAATATACTTAACTCCTCTGTGCCTTCGCTGGCTGTCAAATGGATTATAATAATATAATTACTTTGTAGGCTGTGGCGAAGGTTGAATATTTAGTTACACATTAATATCCAAGAAGGCCTGGTACATGCTAAGTGTCAACTTTTATTATTGTTATTTTAAAGTATCCAAAAAATGGTTATTGAGCATCTATATGCTACATGTGCCCAGTCTATATGTGTCCAGTGCTATACAAGGCATTGGAGATATAGCAGTGAATAATGGAAGCCACTCTGCTTTGTAGAGCTTATAGTTTAACAGGTAACAAATGCAAATTGAACCCTGTATTGTGATCTTGGCCTATGGATGTCTCCTTCTTTTCTAGACTCTAAGGGTGTGGCTACTGTCTTTTATTTTTCTGCAATTTTTGAGTGTTCAGTACAAAGTTTCATGCATAATAAGTGGTACATCAGTGACTGAAGACATGGGTTATGGCAAAATGAGTCACCAATTCAAGCTAGAGCTGTCCCCACCAAGAATTGTTGGGCATGGACACTAGATCACGTGGGAAAGATCTCAAATGGAATAATTTGGCTGGAATCTTGGGCCAAGGATAAGGCATGGCCTGTATAACTAGTAAGAACTAGGGACCAGGGGCAGGAGTCCTTCCTGATGATGTCTTCAGGGCAATCTTCTCCCAAATCCTTTCCACCATAGAATGAATCGATTGTCCCTAAAAACTAAAATGTGTAAGCTTGGAGTTAGGAACACATTAGCTTGGAGTTAGAGCATGTGGATTTCCATCAAGGCTCTGTTGTTCCGCATCTGTGTGACCCTGAACTAATCTCTCCCACTTTCTGAGCCTCAGTTTCCCCATTTGAAAAATAAGGAGGTTGGACTAGATTAGTGTCTTTTAAACTCCTTCTCTTCCTTCTCTGTTCCTTTCTTATTTGTTCCCTTCTTTCTCCTCTTCTTCTTATGACTATGGTAGCCAAAAACATTTTTCAAATAAATAAATATTCAAAGAACGTTTTGTTTAAAGCGAGACTGGGGATCGTGGAGCCTCTGACTATTGAGCTTTCTCTCCTCCCACTACTTCCTATAGTGGCCCAAGAAGCACTTCTAAAGACCCCTGGGATTCCAGCAAACCCCATCTGAAGAACCCCTAACCTCTTAGTTTTAGGGCTCTTATGCTACAGTATTCTATGACTCAGGGCAACAGAATTCAAATGGCTTTGATTAAAACCATTTCAACTCATCCCCATTAATTATGATTGATATACCAACTGGAGAATAAGTGCATTAATGCTATAATTATCTGTTGGGGATGTTTTATTGATTCTGCAATCATATTTTAGTCAGTTTGTATTATTTAGTTTCTGACTTAAATCAGGAAGAAATGGCTATTGGTGAAGAAATTAATCATGTAAATCAAATTGTCATTGATGCTTTTAGAAATAAAACTCTAGAACAGGCTGAGCCAAGTCTCTTAATGTCCAATGCTCTTTGCTATGATGATTGATGATTTGCACTGGGAAGAAGGCTTCGGTTTGTGGCTCCAAGGCTACAGGTGAAACATCAAATCCCCTTTGGGCTTTTACAAGAGTTTTTATCTCCAGCTGAGTCTTCTGGGATCCATCCTTCAAATTTCTGCCTTGGATAACAGCAAGGCAGGGCTAATCCTATGGCTTTCTAAGTTCCTGCATCCTCAGGATTTTTTTTTTTTCTGTCTGAACATTGGTGCCACTGCTCCTGAGGCCTTGGGCTCCTTCCTCTCTTGAGGGGATGATGGGGGAGGTTGAGAGAGTGAGACCTCAGGTTTGGAATCTGTTTCAGGGAAAATTCTTAAGGTTGCAGTGATGGAAAACTGGATGCAAACAGACATGAGCAAAAGAAGAAACTGGGCCTCATAACAGAAACATTCAGGGGAGAGTCTGCTTTCAACAGGGTTTGGTTGAAGCTCAAGAGATGCCACAAGGCCTGATTTCCCTGTATCTCAGGCTGGTTTTCCTCCACATTTGGGCCTTATTTTCAACCTATGTGAAGGCAAGTAAGGGGCAGCAGGTTCATATTCCTCAATTCCAGCTTCACACCCTAAGGGGACAGTTGCCGCCTTCTCTCCCAGAGCCCCAGACCATGCACCACTTCTTGCTGGCTCGACTCTGCATTTCCCTCTCTTGTTAAATGTTGATGGCTGTGGGTTGGCTGCAGCTGCTGTGGCTCTGTTTGGCTCTGCCAGGCTCTGCCAGTCTCCTCATCATGTGTCTTCTCACTCAGGCTGCACGAACAGCCCTAAAGGGCAATAAGATCACTACTGAGGCAGACGGGAAGAACATGAAATGGAGATGTCTCACACAATAAATTGTAAGCTTCTGCTGAGATGTGTTCTATGTCATGACCACTCAGATTCTACTGGCCAAAGTCAGCCACATAGCTAAGATGGTATCATAGGCATTGAGAAGTACACTCCTTCCTTAGAGACAAATGTGGGTTGATACTTGCAAACGTTAGTAGGATCTACTATATCTCCCAATCTATATAAGCTGGGAGGAGACAGGGGAGCTTTCTGAAAAGAAAAGTGGGGTGCAATTTGCTAGAAGAATGGTAAAAATCAGTCAGCCTCTTCTGATATATATTGTAACCTCCCCTATTCAATGTCTGAAATCTCTTCTACTACTCAAGGCACTATCTACCCTCTCTCCCCCAGTGAAGGGGAACTCAGCTTGCAGAGGCAACTTAGTCTGTCTTTTGACCACTCTGCCAGCCTTCCAGGAGAAAAAGTAATGTAAAAGCTTTCTTCAGCTCAAGCTATTACTATGGGAGGTACCATTATGAGAGTATGGAGGAAAGATAAGAAATAAAGATCTCATGGCTCATTTTGGGGGCTTCACTAAAAGAAAAAGGAAAGAACGAAGCAGGGTATGGAAGGAAAAAAGCAAGATAAAAAACATTCTCTGAAGATATCTTTATTCTAATGTATGCAAAGCAATTAAAATGCTCTGCTACTTTATACATCTTCTACCCCAGAGTGATGGATTTGTGATCCTGAGCACAGGCAAGCTCCCTATTTAGGGCAGAGGGCAGAGTCCTTGATCAATAGGAACACAACTTTTTTCTCTTTCATGTGTCTCTGGATGAACTATTTACTTACACTTGCTTTTAATTTACTGGCCAACAATTAGAGCCGCCTAACAGGCCAACAAGCTGGCATGATGCACCCAATTATCTTCTGAAAATGTATTTCTATGATTGGGGCTTTAATTGCAGCTTAAATCAAATGCTCATGAACCCAGTTGCCATCGAGGGAATGAGACCAGCTAATGAAATAATGAGGGCTTTAACTCCAATTCAGAGGTAAAGGAACACAGAGAAAGGAGATTGTTCCTTTTTAAAATCTCCTTTCCTCTTATTTTATTTTTTTTTGAGATTGCCTTTGCAAACATTGATGTCATAAATCCTACCATAAGGCAGCAATGTTACAAGATGGGCAGCTTGTTTCAATCAGATCACAAATCGAACATGAGCCTGTTTTGTTTCCCGGGATTCACTTCCACGTTGCCTGCCTGGATTTGTGTGGGCTCCAAGTTTCTCACTCCCATCACTCCAGATCAAGTGGCTATGGCTTTGGAATTCAAATTTGCCAAATGGGCTCTCCTCTCAATGCCTTCACCTGCTGAACTTGGATGTGGAGCGGTACTTGCTTGCAGGGTCACGTGGGGAAGAGATGAGTATCCCTGGGATGGATTCATTTATGCAGATATGGCAGGAGCCGAGAGCCACAGCCACAGGCATCTCTTCCACTAACTCATGGTGCTTAATTCAGATTACCTCCTTCTTATGAAGAGCCAATTTGCCAATTATCCCTGAAATTTTTGATTAGGTGCCTTTTACCTAAGACAATGTGCCATAGGCTATGGCCTCCTGTGGTTCATTTAGTTCTTTCTGAAAGATGAGAGAGGGGCTTGGCTGAGAATCACAAACACTCTACCAATTTGATTCGAGCAGGTCTTTATTCCTAGAAGTTCCACATACCTTTGAGTTTGCATCTGGACAATGTGTGTTGAAATAGCAACAGCAACAACCATAATAGCTGCCTTTATTTAGTGAAGCTGCTGTCTTTTCTAGCCGCAAATTAGTATCACCTTGGAAGCCTAAAAAATACTGATGCCCACACTCCCACTCCTAGAGATTCCAATTTCATGAGTCTGAGCTGGGGCTCAAGCATCAATATTTTTAAACACTCCCTAGATAATTCTCATGCACACTGAGAGTTGAGAACCACCAGCTTTATGACTCCAAGGTGCCAGGAATTGTGCAAAGAGATCTGAACCCACTCTCAATAACTGGAGTGAAGTATTATTATTTCCATTGCATAGACAAATAAATGACACCCAGAAGTGTTTAGTAACTCACCCAAGATCACTCAGCTAATAGGTGGTGATGACAGATTATTAGGATGAGGTGCTCAAAAGTGCAGGAAATATATAGAAAGAGGGTATTGGAATTGTTTGAGGTTTAAAGACCAGGGGAGTTGAGACAGCATGAAAATTGATGGAAGCAACTGGAGAGAGGCAGTCTTCTTTCCCAGAGACAGGTATGAGGTCCTTCATGAGGGGACACACACTAGTGCAACAACTACATACTCTGTGCCTTCTTCTTGGCAGAAAATGGGGCAATTTACCTGGCCACGATGAAGAACAAGCTCACCCAAGAGGTGGAGAGGTGCCTGCAGAGAAAGTTTCTGGCTATTTTGTCCCATTCCTGCACCCTCTATCTCTCCTTCCAAGAAAGCTCTTTTTCTCAGGTAGACAAAAATTTTTTTTTCTGCTGCTCTATCGAGGAAGAAGCCTTTCTATTTTTGTCATTGCAGTCCAAAAGGGAATTGGGAGAGAAATCCAATGGCAACATGGAGAAGACACAGTTGGGAGAGAGAAGGCTCATGGGTGGCCCTGGAAATGGGTTGGGACTGAAAGTGAATGGAAGATGAAACAGAGGGATGCCTCAGGCTGGCAGTGCAGACAAGGGGAGGGTGTTGTTTTGAATCTGAATTATTTTGAAAGCCAGCTGGAGAATCCAGCCACCAAGTTTTGCCACAGAGGAGATTAGCTGCTGTTGCATCTTACCTCTTGTGGACAAAGAGGCCAGTCCTGGCCCCAGTTAAGATTTTGCTTTTTGTCTTGTTGGATTTGTGCTCAGTGCTTCTTCTGGCCCCTTCTTACCCACCTGTCTCCCTGCCATGTTCAGCTGGTTGAAAGAGTGCATATATATATATATATATATACATTTTTTTTTTTTTTGAGACAGAGTCTTGCTCTGTTGCCCAGGCTGGAGTGCAGTGGCGTGATCTCGGCTCACTGCAAGCTCTGCCTCCCGGGTTCATGCCATTCTCCTGCCTCAGCCTCCCGAGCAGCTGGGACTTCAGGCACCTGCCACCACGCCCGACTAATTTTTTGTATTTTTAGTAGACACAGGGTTTCACCATGTTAGCCAGGATGGTCTCGATCTCCTGACTTCGTGATCTGCCTGCCTTGGCCTCCCAAAGTGCTGGGATTACAGGCATGAGCCACCGCGCCCAGCCAAGTGCCCATATTTTTTTTTAGAGATGTCTGGGCTGTGGATGTAGGAGGAGAGTAGGAAACAGACATGAATTATCATTTGCCAGTCTCTCTGCTTTGTTCTTGTTCTTGTGCCAAGGATTGCTTTTTGGTGGGAGGAGGACAGTGGTTCTAGAATCCTTAATCTGATTTGTTTACCTGTGTATCTCCAGTATAATGTCTGGTGTATAATAGGTGCTCAATAAATATATTTGAATGAATGGATAAAAAAATGAAGTGGAAGAAAACTGGGAAAGCCACGGAGTCACCAACCTGGGACTAAGAACATGGTGAGGCCATTCGAAGCAATTTCTCCTAAGACTTCTCCACTAATGTGATGGAATCATAGTCTAGGTGGAATACGGAATTGTCATGAAATGCCTCAACTTTTATCCTCCATAATTTCCCATGCCCACTTACAAGTGAGATGGGTTAGTGTGGTGAATCAGCATGATTGAATATCTTTGTGTGTGACAGGAAATACTACTTCCCTCAAAAAGTTTTGCAAGAATTAAAATACATAGTACATATAGATTGCTGACCAAAGAGCTCAATGAATGCATTGAGCATGATAAATGCAAAATGAACGGTAGTTAATAATTATCAAGAAGAAAGGTGTGCCCTACCCAGTTGGCCCTGCATACTAAGGATCAGTTATATGACCTTTTGGCTAGCTAGTTGTATTTCTTCTTTTCCCCCCT
Organism: Homo sapiens; assembly: GCF_000001405.40. Lineage (NCBI taxonomy): Eukaryota > Metazoa > Chordata > Mammalia > Primates > Hominidae > Homo > Homo sapiens. Next base: position 48,844,362 of record NC_000016.10, read on the forward strand.
TTTCCCCTTTACCATTCATTTTCTTATTCATCTAGCTATAGTACCTACTTTGTGCTAAGCTCTGAGCTAGATTCTGGGGTATGTGATAATACCCCTGATGCTTTCTGTGGGGAAGACAGAGGTCATATCCCAGGATCCTCCTCTGTAGATCGTTCCATTCCTATGTGGCCATGGGAAGAGCTGCTCTTCCTGTCACACAACCTCTGAAGGCAGTAACTTGACCCAGCTTGATTGGTGGCATCCTCAATATATGAGATGGAGAGCAACTGGTCCTTTACTGGAATGTTCCTGTTTTAGAACCTTCTTAGACTCACCCCTGTTCCCTCAGGACTCTGCTCAAATGGTGCGCCTTGGCGAGACTTTCTATTTCATCACCCTGTTTTATTTTCCTCAAAGCACATATCAATGTCCAAAGCTTTTTTTTTTGTTTGGAGTCTCGGTCTGTTGCCAGGCTGGAGTGCAGTGGCGCAATATTGGTGCACTGCAACCTCCACCTCCTGGGTTCAAGCAATTCTCCTGCCTCAGCCTCCCGAGTAGCTGGGACTACAGGCATGTGCCACCACGCCAGGCTAATTTTTGTATTTTTAGTAGAGACAAGTTTTCACCATGTTGGCCAGGATGGTCTCAATCTCCTGACCTCAGGTGATCTGCCTGCCTCGGCCTCCCAAAGTGCTGGGATTATAAGCGTGAGCCACTGTGCCTGGGCAGTTATTTTATTTATCTAATTATTTGTTTACAGTCTTTCTTTCCTTCTAGAATGTAACCTTCACAAGATCAGGGACTGTATACGCCCTTTCCATTGTTAGTGCTGATTGTACCTAGAATGGGACTGGCATATCATGGTTACTTGGTACATATTAGTCATTAAAAGTCTTTGTGATCTGTCTCTAGACTCCCAGAGGCTCATTTGGGTATCTCTTGGAGCTTTTGGAAGGTGGAATTTTCTGTTCCAGGTTGGTAAGGGATTCATTTGACAACAGAGTTAAAGAAATCAGCCATAACCAGTGGAGTTGACAGTGTCCTTTTAAGAGCTGGCATGGAACATTTGACAAAAATACAGTGAGAGATCAGAGCATAATGAATCACATTTGGGAGAAAATCTCTTTTGAAAAGCCCAGGGTAGGTCATGTTTTTTTCATGCTTGTCAACTTGGCTGAATAATTTGCTTAAAATAAATGGACGAGAATGGTAAGTTGCAATGTAAGGGAAATGAAACAGACTCCTAGCTCTGTGTGCAACATGCCTCAGCCTCTGAAGGGTCTGGCGTGGGTGGTGGTGAGCTTTGTGGGTGGGGAGGTGGTTTATGCATTTAGACAGGGTCAATGTCTTGGCATTAGCACAAGATTTCTGAGCATCAGCACATTAGCCACTTTCCAGTGCAAACAGATTTAATCCATCACTGATGCTGAAAGAAAGCTCTACATCTAAGGTGTGTCATCTTCCCAAATATAAGCTAAATGAGTTAATATCTTCTCATTGTTGTCTTTATTAAGCCTTAGTTAAACCATTCTTGGATAATGATGTGTCTTTGTCAGAGGTCTTTTAATAAAGTAGGTGTTCCTTTATATAATCTCTCTAAGGAGAATGCTGTGGCTTTCAAAGTTCAAGGAACTGCAACATCCAAAATGTAAGTGACCAGGCTAATCCCCACCATGGTGAGCCCAGGATTTTAGCAGCAGATCCCCGGGAACAACTCAATATTGTGGCACGGGCTTTGGAGGTAAAATATACAGGCAGCTAGAGTTGGATGTCCTTTAGGGCATGGAGGGACAGGATGCTCTGGTGACAACGACAATGCAAGCACAGTGCCAATCTCGTCACCATGGGGTATTCAGTTCTCAACTAGTGCCAAAGCCATGGTATAGCGATGAGTGGAGAAAAACCAGAGAGACTGGTCCATTTCTCTCTGCCTCCACCTGCCTATTAATAGGGATGTGAGGTCCAGGGAAATACACATTTGGTTTATTGTTAGTTCAGAGCTTGCTCGCCAGGCCCACCCTGCTAAGGCCAACCCCAGATTCCAGAATTGTTCTTCCTTCATCCTTTTGTCAAAAATCCCCTTGCTGTCACCTAACCATTTTGCTGTAACAAGCTGATGAACTAATTTATACTAATATAATGATGACGTATGTGGTAAATATCTCTTAAGATGACCCCAGTGATCTCCACCTCCTGAAATTTACAGACTCATGTAATCCTGTCCCCTGGAGTAATTTGCTTCTGAGCAACAGAAAACCTCAATGTTGAGGGGCTGTCACCTTCATGATTAGATTACAAGCTATCACTGAAGCTTCTGACTTGCCAGCAGAGTCTCTCTATTGCCTTCTCAGCTTGCACATTTTAGGTGAAGCAAGTGTTCATGTTGGAGAAGCCCACGTGGAAAGGAGCTGAAGTTGGTTTCTGCATAAGAGCCAGCAGGAAACAGAAGCTCTCAGCCAATAATCCACAGTCTTGGGACACTGATGTTGCATCTTCAGAAGGATCAACTCACTACCTGGCAGTGGGGTTTGGAGATGTGCTTGGGGAGTTGGGGCAGACAGTCCATCCTTGGAGCCTCACTTCTTTTGTTACAAAGGGGTGGTAACCCAACAACTCAAGGATTCCTACCATCTTCTGAGTTTGGAAGCAGATCCCTCCCAGATGAACTTTCAGATGAGACCCCAGCCCTGGATGACACCTGGACTGCAGCCTTGTGAGAGACCCTGTGGCAGAGATGTGCCACAGCTAAGCTGAGCCAGATTCCTCACCCACAGAAACGGTGGGATAATAAACGTATGTTGCTTTAAGCCACTACCTTCCTGGTAATTTGTAGTTTAGCAGTGAATAACTTGTGTAACTGACAAAGGTTTAACAGGTTACCTGTTCTGGGGGGTAATGCATGTTAACAGGCAACAGCACTTTAACCAAAGAAGTGCGTCTCTAACATGAGGCTTGGAGAGGGCAGATTGGACACGACGTGGGGCATAAATAGGGAGAGACTGTGGAAGCTTCTAGAGCTTGTTTTTGATGTTTGCCAAAAGAGCCCTCCTTCACTCAGTTGTGTGGATCTGTTTCTCAGTTGCTTCCCTCTGAAGAAGTTCTCTCCAAATGACAGCTGGTCATCACCCAAGGCTCAGCCCTCCTGTCCTGCAGCAGCAGAATAAATCTATCTTCTTGGGTTTTCATGCTGACATCTATTTGAATGGCTTCCCATACATTTGCTTGGCAATTACCAATCTACAACTTCTCTCTTTTCCTTATAAATCAACACTCTTTCAAAATGGGAAGGCACACTCTGCCAAACCATGTGCTTGAGTGGTTAGGAGAATTGGTCTTGGAAGCCTCATTCCCTGCCTCAGTCATGCTCCTCCCCTTCCTAGCTGTGCAAGGTGACCTTTCAGTACCTCAGTTTCCTTGTTGCAAAGTAGGGTTAAAGTCATGCCGATATCCATGTGGTTGTTATCAAGATTGAATGCAAATCCCTTAGAACTCAGTATTGCTTTCTTACTAAATACTAAGTAATGATAAGTATTCAGTTAGCATTTGGGATTATTATGACTGTAACCAATTGTCTCCTGAAATGCTTGACTGCCCTCGAGGCTTGGACAATAGAATATAGGTCTTCCCTCTGGACCTGTATCATTGTCTCAAGGTTATGGCTTTTTAAAATAGAGATGAGGATGTACCTGTGTCCCAAAGTTCCACATCTCTTCCTTCCAGAACTCCCTGCTTTCTTCTCCAAGGATATCTGGAGAAACTGGGACCTTATCCAGCTTTACCTCCCACCTCTGCAACTTGAGTGGATCATTTCTTCCTTCTGGACCTCAGCGTCCTCATCTGTAAGATGGGGCTAAAAGAAGCCCAGTGTTCCTTGAGGGGCTGTGGTGAGAGGTAAAGAAATGAGAATTTGAAGGTTGTTGGGGGACTGTCTGAGATGAAGTTAGAAGAAGGGAAGCTTAAAAGAAGGCCCCAGGCCCTGGTCTTCTCATCAGGACCCCAAGAAAGAGTGGTGGTGACTGCCATCTCCCCCAGGACAGTGGGTGCTTGAGACAGAGTCTGGATCTCATCCATTTCCAGGCCCAGGACACAGGGGGCACTTGGCAGATGTTTGTTGAATGAATGTCTGAGTGAGTAAGTGAGTTAGTGAGTGAGAATGTGCCTTTTCTAAGTACCTGGGGCTTGCAGGGGAGAGAGCCCCTCAAAGCATGGAGACCTAGTGGTTTGAGAAATAAAGACCTGGTGAATTGGCCTTCTAGCCTGGGCTCAGGTCATGCTTCTGCCATACTGAGGACACATTGTGATTTTCATTACAGTTGGAATTTTGGGTGTCAGAGGCCTGGGCCCAGACAGCATGGGTAAGCTGGGCAGATTTTTCCAGTCCTGCACCTAGAATGGAAGGGATGGGACAGTCTTGCTAACCAAAACACCGAGACTGGTCTCCGGCATGCCTCAAGGTGGAGTGGTGAGTGGATGTTTTGATGGTGATATTTGCCTAGGCTCACCACCCAGAAGCCGGGCATAAGAACCTGAGGTTTCCAGGTGACAGTCCAAGGTCCAAGAGAAGGGGGTCCTGGAAAGCCCTGGGTTGAGGCCTGGCAGGAAGTTTCCTTGTTGCTGGTGGGGATCCCAGGCAGACAGCTATGACCCTGCCTTGGCCCTTGTCACACTGAATAGCATCATGTGACCTCCCAGAGACAGAATGAGGGTCCTGGAAGGGCAAAGGTCCTGGCTGGTTTGTCTGGGGCCCCAGTGCCAGGGGCTGGGAGTGGATAACAAATAAATAGGCGAATGAACCAATGCACAGAAGGAGGGTGTGGAGAAAGCTCAGGTTTTCTGGAAAGGACAACAACCCGGAAGCTGGGAGACTCCACCTCCTGCATGACTCTGGGCCAATCATGTTCCTTGCTCTGTCCACGATTTCATCCTCTGTAAGGAAGGGGACCACTTCGATTGGGTCTCAAACTGGGGGCCCACAGACCACACCAGGTCCTAAATGTGTTTTATTTGGCCAGCAATAAATTTAAAAATATAAAATTTGGATGCATTTAGGCAGGGGACACATGCTATTCAGTTGTCCACAGTAGCACTTCTCACTAGTATATAATCTCACTAGTAGGCCCTGACCACTTTACAACTTTATGAGGTCTGCTTGGGGCCATAGGCATCTGGATTTGCTAGCCCTAGCATCAGAAGTCTCTAGGGGTTTGGGGTTTGGCATGCTAAAATTCTATTAAAGCAAGAGGGATAATCAATAGAGTAAAACAGAAGAAAAGGAACAGAAAGAGAGAGAAAGAAAAAGTATACAGAAAGTGGAGGACAAGGACAGGGAAGTGGGAAAAGAGACATGGGAGAAGAAAAGTTTTTTTCCCAATAGTCACCCTCACCTATCCCTTGGGTCAAAAGAAAACCCATGGCCACCTCAGAAGAAAAGAGCATAAAAAGAAGAAGAAAACAACCCACCCCCTTTTTAAAGCAGCTCTGTGCTGGACTATATTTAAAATAAAAATGAGTTTCACGATATGCAATATAGTCTGACTGATGTTTACAAAACTGATGTACTGAGCTCACAAGATTTACCACTCTGCATCACCAATGGCTTTTGCAAATACATAGTCTCTCCCTCCAAAACACATAACATCATCTTTCAAATAGAATTTCCATTTGTTCTTGCTTCTCTTGGCCTGGAAGACGCTCCCTTTCTCGGAGCTTCTAGACACTGCCCAGGAGGCCTGACCATGGGCTGGGACTGGGGTTGCACCCATTGCTGCTCCACAAGGAGTCAGCCTTCTTTGGGGGTCAGCATATCCTTCAGGTTCGAGTGGCTTTGGGGAATGACACAGACCTTGCCTCTGGGGCTCCCCATTGCCACAGGGGTCCAGGCTGTTTCTGCATCCAAACCCAGGAGGAGCCCAGGGATGGGAGGGGCAGAGCCCAGAGCTCCTGCAGCCCTGGCCAGGGTGCTGAATTATTAATGTTCATTTCAGTTATCCTTTGGTTCAGCAGAAATATGACAAAGCAATCCCAGATAATGAAATCACCCACATTTTCTGCTGTTCACACCAGGCTTTCGGGGATAAATTTTGCCCCCACCTTCCCAGTGCTGATTGAGTTACATGTTTACGGGTGGGGGTTGTAACTCCCAAGTTATTGATCGGTGTGTAGTACATAGATTAGAGTGACCTAAGGACCCTTACTTCAGCAGGTCAGTGACTGTTCATAGCCAGCCAGTGGAAGAGGAACCTCTGCAGAACAAACAACTGCCATTTCACAGAGGGTCTCTGGGGGGACCACGCAGCCCTGGCCCAGCCCGGAAAATCACCATTTTTCTCCCTGCTCCTCTCTCTCAATCTACCTGCCACTGAACCTTCACACTGCGAATGCCATCTAAGGCTCATCAAAATGCTTTTATAAGGGGGAGAAGGGATTTTCCTACAGTTATGCTGCTTTCTTTTCAACCTTTCCCATCTCTCCCTTCTGCCATCTCTTTGTGGCCATTAATGTAAAAAAAAAAAAATCAAGTTCACAATCCAAGCAATCAGAAAGCAAAAATTACAATGAATCATTCGGAAATTCTGGGGTGCCAAATCAGGTCTAACTGACTTTCCAGTGGGCTGAATCTCACACTCAGTCATGTTTTGTTTCCTCGTGGTGATCACATCACCTCCAAGGTGATGCAGAACGCCAATTTTAGTTGTCTACATTTTAAAATTGGGAATATCACATCAATATCCAGAAGTACGATTTCTCCTGTAATATCAGAAGATCTGGCTAACCCAAGCCCACAGAGTAACAATTATCTGGTGCTGAAACTTGAAAGTCAGTGTATTTTATTTTTTTTCAATTCTTTGAACATTGGCAATGTATGAAACTTTATGAATTTGGAAACTGATTAACCAGTGTACACCATTTTCTGATGTCAAAAGAAAGGCAGAAGAAGAAATTGGTGGGTCTTGCCATAAATATAAGTGGAGTTTACATGACATTACCCCTTGAGGTGTTTGTCTTCAAAGTGGTATTTCCTTTTGAAATATTAATAGCTAGTTAACCATTGTTCACAGAGCTTCAATTACTCTAACCTTCAACCTTTATAGAAGATAAGAACACCTCTAGCCAAAGAATAAAAATTATTTTCCAGGATGCAGTAGTGTGGCCAGATCAATATCACCCCAGGGAAGGGGGTAAAATCACGTTGAGGACAGATGTGGTGCAGAGCATATATCTGCACTTGGGAAAGCTCCTGTGAGCCAGTTGGATGGTGCCTGGATTCTAATGGTGACAATGGATGATGTTCGGTGATTGTCAGCTATTGAGAAAACCTCTCGGTCACACTTGGTGATTGTGTGTTATGCTGTTCACATTGAGTGAATGTTTTGGGATGTTCTCAACACTCCTTTGCATCCCTGAACAAATCCTGATGAATTAGTCATGGGACTCTACTTTCTTAGGCTCAATTAGGCCTCTAGGGCGGGGACCCCTTTGTGGAGCTGCTTTGAGCCCCATGATGTCTCTGGCTGGGGTAAGAGCTGAGCGATTGGCTTGTGTTGAGGCTGAGCTTGTGGGTTACCATGTCTGCACCCACCTCATGGAATGTGGAAATAAAAGGACATAAACACAAAAAACATCATCCTTTTAAAAACTCAGGACTGGATCTTTAGTCTTCTAACATATAGTGCCCAAAAATGGCTCTGGCAAGCAATCAAACATGTACAGAAGACAAGAAAAGACAACAACCTCAAAAAAATATTAGGAGATAAATCCAGCTATCCTAGGAGAATCTCCCTGGAGGTCATCTTGTCCAGCCCCTTGCCTCTAGACAGGTTGGCCCTGGCCCCATCTCAGAAGGATGGAGGCTTGTTCTCTTTACTGGGCCTTGTCCCCCTGTCCCCCACCAGTGCCCCCAGGCATAGCGGGGGATTTTGTATCATTGGTCAGCACAGCCTTTTTGTTTGCCTGTGGGCTGTGAACCTCTGGCCAGTCCTTCAGAAACCCCTCACCAGCCTCTCCCCTCCCTAGTGAATGTCTCTTTATTATTTGCCCATGATCAGCTTCTCAGAGCACCCCTGACTTTTATTTTCTCCCCACGAACATTATCTATTTGTCCAATTCATCCCAAAATAGCCAGGCCCAGCCATCCCATAATACCCCGATCCTGTGTCACTCAAAACCGGGGCCTGGCAGGAGCTCTGAGCTCTTCTTCCTGTCCCTTTCTCTTCTTTAGTAAGCACACCTCGGGCTTCAGTCAATGCTGCTCCTCCAGATTCATGAGTTTGCTGGTTCTGCAGCAGGCCCGGATCCTGGCAGATAAATCTCCCCCGGAGCTGTCAGCATAGACAGAGGTGAAAGGCTCAGCTGGGTCCTCAGAGAGGTGACTGTGCAGACACCAGATTTATCACCCACCCTGTCCCCTAGGGCATCACTTCCTTGACCTTCGGGATGATACAGACACCAGGGTATGGTTTTTTGTTTCTGTGAGGGACTTAGATGTCAAAGGTACTGTTTCCAGAGATCCATCCCCCAACTTTGTCCTTGGTGACAAATGGAGAGACTGGCCACGTGGGAGGCGAGGGACACTTTGGTTCCCCAAGGAAGGAGTGGCTGTGCTGCTGGCCTCACTGAGGACTCACCAGAACTGGAGGGAAATGCACTGATTTCTTGCATGCCCTCCAGGGCCACTCTGGGTTAATTTTAGCTGCTTCTATGCCCCCGTATGGGCCACACATTTTTCCTCCTTAACCACGTCCAAGGCTGTCTTCTCGCGCAGCCTCGGGGCCTTCCCAAGCGAAATTGAGACATGTGCTTATGACAGTGTGTTTCCATGAAGACAGATCACTCTCCCTCCAAGGTCAAAGCTCCCGCTGGCCAGGCTCTTTGGCAAACAATCCGTCAAGCAGGGCAGTGGGCAGCAGACACTTAGCTCTCAGGCCCCTCGCTGGCCGCCTCGTCAAAGCTGTTCAGAGGATTACTGTGCCCTGCAGAACTTTTCTCTTTCCACTGTCTGTCGGTGTCTCCCCTCCTGCCCCACCCGGCCCTCCCCACACAGAGGGATAAGCTGGCATAATATCAGAAATTATGACAGGGATCCAGAAGGCAAAACAAATCTTTATGCAGAAATTGGGAAATTTCTCAGTCATTTTGCAAGGCAAGAGTCGTGGTCCCTCATGAGGTTAAAACAAACCAAACAGAACAGTGAAGACATAACTTGCTGGGCCTCTAACCCATGCACTGGCAGGGCCTGGGGCTTGCTCTCCGCTAGCCTATGGCACAGTGCCTGACATGTGTGAACCTCCTTTCTTTGTTTATTCAACATTTATTAAACTCCTACTATTGGTCTGTTACATGGTCTCTGCCCTCTTGGAGCTTAACGCCTTGTAGAAGTTGTCAAACCATCAAGAAGTGGAAGACAGAGATGGGAGATCATGGACTGGGAAAAGTGTTACAAAGGTTACCCTGGTGGGCACCCTCTAAGATGGTCCCCAGTGATTTTGCCTTCTGGTAGTCATAAAAAGTGTGACTTCTGTTTTGCTTGTCACCAATCTCTCTCTCTCTCTCAGACCTCCCTCTGATGGAAGCCAGCGGCCACATGTGCATATCCCTATGAAAGTTCCATGTGACAAGAAGCTGATGTCTGCAGCCAATGGCCAGCAAGGACCCCAGGTCTATCAGCAGCATCGAGGATGAGCTTGGAAGTGGGTCCTTCCTCATTTGAGCTTTGAGATGACCACAGCCTCAGTCAATGCCTTGCTTCCAGTCTGTGAGCCAGCCTGAGGCAGAAAACTCAGTTAAGCTGAGGCTGAATCCCTGACCCACAGAAACTGCAAGATAATAAGTATTTATTTTCAAGCTATTATATTTTAAGGTATTTTTTTTCTACAGAGGAATAGATTACTAATGTAGGTATCAAATGGAGTTTTCTGATAGAGATTTATTTGCAGAGGAAACCCCATTTGAATGGGTCAGCCAGGAAAGGCCTCACTGAGGGCATAACATTGAAGGTGAGGATTGGTGGATAAGTAGGACCAGCCATATAAAAAGCTGGAGGAACAGCATTCCAGACAAAGGGAATAGCATGTGCAAAGACTCTTAGGCAGGAAAGAGCTTGGGTTATTTTAAGTCTTGTGGTTTGAGGCCAGGTGCGGTAGCTCACACCTGTAATCCCAGCACTTTGGGAGGCTGAAGCAGGTGAATCACTTGAGGTCAGGAGTTCAAGACCAGCCTATTCAACATGATGAAACCCCATCTCTACTAAAAATACAAAAATTAGCCAGGTGTGGTGGAGGCTGAGGCAGGAGAATTGCTTGAACCCAGGAGGCGGAGGTTGCAGTGAGCTGAGATCACACCCTGCACTCCAGCCTGGGTGAGAGAGTGAGACTCCATCTCAAAAAACAAACAAACAAACAAAAGACTGGGCACGGTGGCTCATGCCTGTAATCCCAGCACTTTGGGAGGCCGAGGCGGGCAAATCACGAGGTCAGGAGTTCGAGACCAGCCTGACCAACATGGTAAAACCCTGTCTTTATGAAAAATACAAAAATTAGTCTGGCATGGTGGCATGTGCCGGTAATCCCACCTACTCAGGAGGTTGAGGCAGGAGAATTGCTTGAATCCAGGAGGCGGAGGTTACAGTGAGCTGAGATCGCACCATTGCACCCCAGCCTGGGCAACAGAACAAGACTCTGTCTCAAAAAACAAACAAACAAACGACAACAACAACACAACAAACAACCAGAAAAAAACAAAAAAAAAAAAGAGTTATGGCTTTAGAGTTAAGAGTAGTATCCGAACACTATGCTATCTCCTTTATTTCACTGTCTTTATTCTTTAACTCAGCTTTGAAAAGTGGGCATTAATATTCCATCTAATTCCTGGGAAAACAGAGGCAGAGATTTCAGTCACTAGCTGAAAGATTTCAGTCACAGACAGAAAGAGGCAGGGTGTGGATTCAAGCCTAGGCTTCTCTGAATCTAGAACTTGTGTGATCATTCTGCCTCTTAATACCACTTGCTTCCATTCAACCACTTCTTAGACATCCCCCAATCTCTTGCATTGTCTGAGTTGTTTGAGGTACATATAGTTTCTGTCCTGAAGTAGCTCACAATTTGGAGAGAGAGATAGATGCTGACAGCTAACATTTTCCCAGGGCTTTACTCATCTGTTCCTCATAAAAGCCCTGCAAAGCAGCTGGCATGGGGGAAAGGTACCCATTTAAAGAGAGAGAAGGTGAAGCCCAGAGGGCAATAAATGATCAGCACGAGGGCACATTGTTAGGAGGGAGCAAAATGAGATCTTGACCCCAGAGCCTCTGCCCCTGATTTTCAAACCCTTTCCTCTACCCCACATGGCTCTATGGTCCACAGGATGCCTCCAAGAAAGGCGGAGAATACTTTCTAAAGTCAAGACCACCCCCTTCAGAATCCAGCACTTGTACAAAACTAGATTTTCTTTTCAGAGACAGGGTCTTGCTGTGTCACCCAAGGTAGAGTGAAGTGGCACAATCATAGCTCACTGCAGCCTCAAACTCTTGGGCTCAAGTGATCCTCCCACCTCAGCCCCCTGAGTAGCTGGGACTGCAGGTGTGCACCACTATGCCCAGATAATTTTTAAATGTTTTTTAGAGACAGGAGTCTCACTATGTTGCCTAGGCTGGCCTCAAACTCCTAGTCTCAAGCTATTCTCTGGCCTCGGCCCCCCAAAGTGTTGGAATCACAGGTGTAAGCTACTGTGCCTGGCCCTAAAACTAGATTTTTATGAATTGCTGGTGTTCAAATTGTGGCATGTGAGTGTAGGATAACCTTTGCACAACAGCTGAATATGGGATCATCATTTATGCTACATGAAATTCTTCAACTTTACAGCTTTCACCATTGGCTTTGCTTAAATAACTAGACTTTCTGGCTCATTACTTTGAAACACTTGAGGAACAGTCAAAATTTGCAGGGCTGCTTTTATCTTGCAAAGTGAATCACTTACCTTTCATCACTTACCTACCTCTCACTACTCTTTTAGTCTTAGTTTAGATGCAACTTCCTCAGCAAGGCCTTGTCTGACTTTCCAACCAAATGAGGTCTACCCTGTTAGGCTTTCACATTAGCACCCTATGTATCTCCTTCTTAGCCCTCACTCCAATATATTACTATATATTAACTTGGGAGTCTATCTACTCAATGTCTTCCATACTAAACTGTAAACCAAGGGTCCTCAACCCCCGGGCCGATTACTGCCTGAGATCCACATCCTGTCAGATCAGTGGCAGCATTAGACTCTCAAGAATGACAACCCTATTGTGTAAGTTTTCCCATACTGTACATGCCAGGGATCTAGGTTGTGTGCTCCTGATGAGAATCCAATGACTGATGATCTGAGGTGGAACAGTTTCATCCCATAACCACCCCGCTACACCTGGTCCTTGGAAAAATTGTCTTCCATGAAACTGGTCTCTGGTGCCAAAAAGGTTGGGGACAGCTGCTGTAAATCTTATGCCAACAGAGCAAGTCCATTTGCAGCTTACTGTTAAATATCTGTCCAGCCCAGTGTTTGGGACAGGGTTGGGATCCAGTGAATTTTGTTGAATTAAAATGATGCAATTTGACCTATCACAAACAATCTGGGGAGGCACTTTGCTGAGTTGTGTGCATGGGGAAGATGGAAGGAATACCTCTGGGGTGGGAGTGACATTGGACTTGAACAACCAGAATATTACAACAACAAAAATACTAACAGTAACTAACATTTGTTGAACATTCACTATGTTTCCACAAGTGTTTTAAGTATATCATATGTTAAATAGTTTCAAGCAGTGATTTAGAGACAGCTGTTTTTTTGCATACAGATTTTCTCACATGTGAGTGATAAGATGACCAACTTGTCCTGGTTTGCCTGGGCCTGTGAAAATCTAGCATTCCAGGAACCATCCCTCAGGCTCAGGCAAAACATCCTATGTTTCCTTCCCATCCTACTGAGGGAAAATAGGGGACTGTAGCCAAAAAAAAAAAAAAAGGATTTATAAGAGAAAGGGGAGAGAGGAGAGAGGGGGGAAAACCAGCAGAGAATCTGGGAATAGTGAATCTTGTTTGCTTTTGGCAGGTTTATGTGTGTGTGTGTCTGTGTCTATGTCACTGGGGAGGGGTAAACTGATTAGTTAGCAGCTAGAACAGAGGCCAGGCTATGCATTCTGTCCTTGAGCAGGACAGATAGGGAGATTAAAGCAAACAATTTTAATTGTTTATGGTTTCTCCAGAAAACTCTGAGTTTAGCTGTGCAGCGCTATGTGGTGGGCTGCTTTGTGCTGTCCTGGCTGGATCCTTCCACCAACACTTCACCTAAGTTGGACCAAGTCTTCACCATGTGTTAAGCACAGTCTCTTAAGAAATTAGGTATAAACACCAGGCATGGGGAACACAGAAACAGGGAGACCTCCATTCTAAAAATGAGGGAAGAGGAATTGGCATTAGGAAGGGAAGGTGTTTATTCTCCCTGCCCTTCATGTGAAAAGCTTCAGCCCTCAGTTACCTGCCCCAAATAAATGCCACTCTGAGTCATCAAAGTGTTCATGGAAGCTCTGAGTGTTTGTTTATGGAACTTGCGGTCCCTTGAGGAAGTTCTGCTCGCCCCGTGATGCAGGCAGATGAGGGTTGCATGCTTCTGAATGAAGATTCTAGACACAGGTAATGCTTGTCTGTAGAAACACTCTGTGTTCCCAGATAGCAGACAAAGAAGTGGAAAATGCATTTCTCAATGACTTGAAAACACATCCTGGGTCCTAAGGATGCGAAGGATTCCTAGATGTAACCAAAAATGCTCTCATTCTTGCATGGCTCCCAAAGCTGTCCGATTTTAGAAGAAAGATTTGTATAGAGAAAGAGGTGGGAGCAGGAAGGCTGAGTTCTTCATTCTTTGCTTTGATCTTTCAAAGCCATTCCTTTCTTCATTCTCTCATTCACTTTTATTTATATTTATTCATTCATTTGCTCATTAATTCCTTTATTTTTACACATTCATGGGTTTGCTTTTTGCTTTATGTGTTTATTCTCCCCACCCCTACCCCATTCTTGTAAGTTTTTACTGAGCACTTTCTATGTGCTCAGTGTTGTGTTGAGTGTTCTGGGCCAGAAGGGGGTCCCTTCCTTAGGGAGTGCTCCTTCCCACTGGGGTGTCAGACTCCTCCCCCAAATTTTAATCCATGGCAGCTTGGACAGAGTTCCAGCAGTTAGCCTTGGAGGATGTCCATCTGGGATCACTGGTCACTGCAGCTTCATAATGAGGTCCTAGAGGCTCTCCAGAGTCATTAGAGGCCTTTGTGACCATGCCTCTGGAGACTGGGCCCTAAAAGGAGGTCAATATGATAGTTCTGACCTAAAGGTGGATTTTCTCCTGGCTGAGTCATATTGGGAAGGTTTTCATTGGCCATGTGTAAAGGGTGATGATACAAGTAAGTAGGATCTGATTAATGTGAGCAGCCCTGTCTACGCAGCTTCAAGCATCTGAGGCTCCAGAGATAGGATTGTATTTGTCCCAAATTTCTCAAAATAAACTACAGGAAACCAAACTGAGAGGGAGTTCAGGGGCCACACAACAAAATTCCAAGGCAGGCTGGCCAAGGCTGAGTGTCCTGTCTTCCTGTGCTCTGCTGAGCACTCGGCTGTGCTATAAACTAGTCCTGGGCTAAGCATGGGGAGGGGGGACTCAGGAGGGGAAAAGCAGCAACTCAGCCCCTGCTTTTGAAGGGTACAAGAAAATAACATGGAACACAAAATAACCAACACTTTTATACCATTTTTTCTTTACAATGCTGTTCTCATTTGGACCTTACTTGGGCTGAGTGAGGAGGTGGAATATTATTCCTTTCATTTTACAAGTGAGGCGAGTTACACAGCTAGTAGAGAGCAGAGTCTGGATTTGAACCCAGGCCTGTGTGATTCCAAATGGGTGTCAGTGCCATGAACCCATATCATAGGATGTAACAGGTAAGAGCTAGGTTATGACCATCTTAGGGGGACTTGGAGATAGGGAGAGGATACTGTGGCTGACCATAGTCAGAGGAGGCTTCTTGAAGAAGTTGGAGTTTCCCTTGGGTGGTAGAGTCAGAACTGGTTATAAATTTACCTTTCCTTTACCCTCCCAGCCTCCTTGATGAAGCAGGGAATGGGTTTCACCTGCCAGCTCCCATGTCTGCCTGGGAAATGAGAAACATATCTTTCATTCCTCATTAATGTCAGGGCATAAGACCTGAATGGCTCAAAGAATTTAATCATTCAACAGGCAGTTTTGCCTGAGAGCAGAAATAAGAAATGACATGGAGTCTTTTCTATGGGTAAATATAATTAGACTGACTGTCATATACTAAATCCTCCCTAAGTCCCCATACTCACGTGGCTAAAGGAATCTGCTGGCTTTTGGTGACTCTTGAAACCAAGAACCTTTGCCAAGGCTACAGTCATTTGATTTACCTCAGAAGCAATCCAACATTACAAGACAAGTTTTGCATTTTCAATATGCAGAGATTAATTTACATGCAGAGCTAATTAAGCAATTGAAACACCCACTAATTGATTATTACATGAAAAAGAACACATCAATTTGAAGAAATACACTCTATAAGACTGTATCATATTTGCAAACTTAATTGCCAAGTGGAAATTCCTCTTCTAGTGGCTAACACCCTTAACCAATTACCTTTGCTGGAATGGTCTTTCATTCCTAGAGTCCAGCAGCACTTGTAAGGAAAACTTTGGTCTCTGCCTTTTCAAACTCAAAGGCAGAAAACACAATAATTTGGCCTGGTTTCTACATCTAGCACAGGACTGATTCATAGTAGGAGTTTATAATAAATGCTTGTGAATAAATGTCCAAAAAGTCTGCCACTGTTATTTCCCACTTATTTTTTATTACGAGAATTTTGCTGGACGACACTCCTGTAAGACATTGTTGTTATCCTCAGTTTTGCAAAATAAATAATTAGCATAGAGAATAGACAACCTACAGAATGGGAGAAAATATCTGCAAGCTATGCATCCAACAGGTGACTAATATTCAGAATTTATAAGGAACTCAAACAATTCAACAAAAACAAAAATAAATAATACCATTAAAAAGTGGGCAAAGGGCATGAATAGACATTTTTCAAAAGAAGGCATACACACATGGCCAACAGGCATAGGAAAAATTGCTCAACATCCCCAATCATCAGAGAAATGCAATTAAAACCACAATGAGATATCATCTTACACCAGTGACGACAGCTATTACTAAAAAGACAAAAAATAACAGATGTTGGTGAGGATGTAAAGAAAAGGGAACTCTTATATACTGTTGGTGGGAATGTAAATTAGTACAACCTCTATGGAAAACAGTAATTTTCAAAGAACTCAAAATAGAACTACCATTTGACCCAGCAATCCCACTACTGGGTATCTGCTCCAAGGAAAATAAATCGTTATACAAAAAAGATTCCCGCACTCCGTATGTTTATCACAGCACTAATCACAATAGCACAGTCATGGAACCAACCTAAGTGTCTACCAGTGGATGATTGGTTAAAGAAAATGTGACACATGAGCAAAATGGAATACTATTCATCCATAAAAAATGAAAAAATGTCTTTTGGAGCAACAAAGACGAAACTGGAATCTGTTATCTTAAGTGAAACAACTCAGAAAGACAAATATGGCATGTTCCCACTTGTGAGTGGGAGCTAAATAATGTATATACATGGACATAGAGTGGAATGATAGACAACAGAGACTTGAAATGGTGGGAAGTTGGAAGGTTGGGAGGGGAATGAGGAACGAGAGGCTACTTAATGAACATAATGTACATTATTTGGGTGATGGGTACTCTAAAAGCCTTGACTTCACCACTATGCAAGCTATGCATATAACAAAATTACACTTGTACCACATAAATTTGCATGCACACAAAACAAGAGATGGCATTCACAGAAGTATAGTAACTAATTTAAGCTAGCAAGGGGTGGAGTTGGGTTTTGAACTCAGGTCTTCTGACTGCAGGTTTAATAATTTTTCAGGAGGGAAGGAAGGGGGTCAGTTCTCAGAAAGTGGAGGCAAGAGCAGCCAAGCCAACAGAAGTCTTCTATACAAGCTGTGATGTCATCCAAATTGACATTCCCAAGAAAAAGTAGTGATGAAGCGTGCTAGAAGGCTGTTCTAGATGTGGAATCTGAGACCTAAGCTTGGATCTAAATTCTACCACTGACCTGATGCATGGCCTTAGAAAAGTCATTTATCCTCTTTAAACCTCAGCTCCTTTAATGGAAAAGTGGGATAATAACATTCGAGTTATTCTGAGGTTCAGATAAAAGCAAGGATAAAAAGGATACTGAAAATTCTGCAGTAAAGTACAATATTTGGAGCTCTTAGAGAAAGGTGGGTGATATAGAGGTGAGAGGAAGGGAACTTTCTGGTGAGCTTTGCGGAATTCCTTCCCCATGTTGGAGGCCGGTTCTGCAAAGGCTCCATTAGCTTGGGACCTGGCACTGGGCTGGTTGGGAGACCCTGGAGTCCCTCTCTTAGGGGGAAGCGTTGGAGTATCCTTTCTAAAGTTCCCTTTTCCCTGTAGCCAGAGACTTGGCATGCAGCCCACCCAAGCTCATATTAAATGTAAGCTTCCAACATTATGATCAAGTGACAGCTTCTAATTGGTGTTCTTATTTCCTGGTATTCACATTTTATTTTATCCAGGGCTTCAAAACTGATAATCTCAACAAGGGTTCTAAGAACAACTGGAACCAACTGAAAACAACTCCTGAAATTCAGCAATAATGTAGAAATGAGGAGTTCCTTTACCCCCAGGCAGGAGGCAGTATACATTCAGACATTTGGTAGGGTTTTCTGCCTCCTTCCTCGGCTGCTCCACATTTGGGCCTCTGCCTGATTCACGATCAGGACATCTGCATTTGTGTTTACAACCAGCAAAGGTCACTCCCAGATTGTGGGCTGTTGGCAGGTTTATAAACACAGGCTGGCCAATAGATAGACACGTCTCCCCCCACAGAGGGGATGTAAATTTTTCTTTGTAAATGGAGTCAAGCTGTTTGTTGCAATCATTCACGTGGGAACGCATAGCCGTCAGGGGAGGGAGGCTGCTCCACTCCCCGCTGACTCACCCCAGCTCTGAACAGTGGAATTCCAACTTGTGCTCCACGTGGGACCTTGCGGTCTTGATGAGCCAGAAACCTGACAGCCATCTTAGACTTCTTTCCTCAAACCCAGTCCCACTGATTCTTCTCTGGAGTATTTCTCCCCTACACTTCATCTCCGTAGCCATCACCCTGTCCAGGCCACCAGTGTCTCTTGCCGTCATGACTGCATCACTCTCCTAACTAGCTTCCCTGCCTTAAATTTTTCTCTCCAATTTGATCATGTCACTCCCTGCTTCAAACCACTGCATACATATTAGAATGGCTGACATAAAAAATACATTCAAGTACTGATGAGTATACAGAGCAACTAGAATGCTCATACATTGCTGATGAGAATGCAAAACGGTACAGCCATTCTGGAAAACAGTCTGGCAGTTTCTTGAAAAGGTAAACACATGTATAACATATGACACATTTATAACAAGTGATCACACTCCTGGGTGTTTTCCCTAGAGAAATGAAAAATTATGTTCATACAAAGACCTGTACACAAATGTTTTTAGCAGCTTTATTTATAATTGCCCCAAACTGGAAACAGCAAAAATGACTTTCAACAGAGGAATAGCTAAAGATCCATGCGATTGAATACTACACAGCAATAAAAAGGCCAACTTTTGGTACATGCAGCTACATGGATGAATTTTGAAGATATTATGGTGAATGAAAGAAGCCAATCTCATAAGGTTACATATTATATAATTCTATTTATATGGCATTACCAGAAAGACAAAAATATAGTGATGGAAAACGGATTAGTGATTGCCAGGGGTTGGGTGTTAGGGGAGGATGTGACTGTAAAGGAAGTTTTTTTGGGGGTATGGAACTGTTCTGTATCCTGATTAGATTGGTGATTTACATGAACCTATACACGTGTTAAAATTCATAAAACTGTGCAATAAAGGAAAAAAGTCAATTTTACCATATAATAACTTAAAAATAAAATTTAAAAAATACCCTTTGGGCAAAAACGTAAATTTTTGGAATGGTATTAGAGCTTCTTCGCTGCCTTCTCATCAATTCTGTCTTTGGTGCCTCTTCTCCTTGATCCTTTTTTTTTTTTCTTTTTTTGAGACAGAGTCTTGCTCTGTCACCCAGGCTGGAATGCAATGGTGCGATCTCGGCTCACTGCAACCTCTCCTCCCAGGTTCAAGCGATTCTCCCTGCCTCAGCCTCCCGAGTAGGTGGGATTACAGGCACCTTTCACAACGCCCAGCTAATTTTTGTATGTTTTGTAGAGATGGGGTTTCGCCATGTTGGCCAGGCTGGTCTCAAACTGCTGACCTTAGGTGATCCACCCGTCTCAGCCTCCCAAAGTGCTGGGATTACAGGCATGAGCCACCATGCCCGGCCTCCTCCTTGATCTTTATGCACTAGAAATAACAAAACACCTGTAGCACCCCAAACGCACTATGCAATCTTGTCTCCATGTTGTGCCTTCTACCTTACTGATATAGAAAACTACTCTTCATCCTTCAAAACCTTACTCAGAGCTAGCTTCTTCCATGCAGCTATTATGTTTTGACTTCTCACCACCATATTTAAGCATATCCTCTTCTGTACTACTTCCATATCTTGTAAATTCTTTCACTACTGTGTCTTACACCTCATTATAATGGGCTAGTGCCAGCTTCTCTGTGCAGGCCATGATGTTCCACTTTTTGTCCTGGGATCTTCTCTGACAGTGTGGGAGCCAGCTTGGCCCATGCTCAACCAGAACCCAGAAGTGGGTGGGTGTCACCTGAAGCAGCTCTCAACCACTAGGGGCAGAACCAGGCGGATAAGTGCTCTGCTGGTGGAGAGTTCTGGGTGGTGGTCTGGATGCCTCTCAGAGGTCTGGCAGAATTGAACCCTAGTTGTCCATGGCAGTAGCTGGAACAACACCCCAATGTACTGGCTTCTTCTCCTTCCTGGGCCATTCTCTTTACTCCTTCATACCTGCTTACTGGGATCATGTCCCAAATAAGCCACCTGCACCCAAATCCTTGTCTTAGGCTCCACTTTTGAGGGAATCGATCTGCCATACCTTATTCTCTAGTACAGCCTGGGTAGGGGGTAGGTCTGCAAGAGAAGTTTTCCCAGCAGAGCTCCGTTCTCAGAGTCAGGAGATCATGGCTCTGACCTTTTCTGTTTCAGCGACCTCAGAAAAGTCTGCCCTTCAGTCTCAGTTTCCCAACTGGACTAGCCACTCTTTGTGTGATGTCCTTCAATTCAGTTATAAATTCACTCCTTGGATCAGGCCCTGTCACAGGTTAAATTTTCCAGAAGCCGAGGCTGAGATGGTTTGGAGTGCAAAATATTTATCAGGGAGCAACTCCTGTGAAAGGAAGTGGGAGAAAGCAGGGTGGAATAGAGGAAGGAGTCAAATGGCATTGGAGGCCTGACAGAGCATTGGCCAACCCAGTACAAGAGGTACTTGCTATCTCTCGGACATGACCTGTGCCCATCAGAAGAGCTGGGCATTTGTATCCCTCAGACCGTATGACTGGGCATGGGCTGCCCTGGGAAGGGTGTGGCTTCAGGTGAGGCAGCTCTCTGCAGCTGAGGCTGACTCTGAAGGAGCTACAGGTTGAAGCCATCTGTTGGCCACACCTTCTGCAGTTGGGCAGTAAGATGTGGTCAGCCAGAGATAACACATCTTAGTGCCTCTGTGTTGTGACCTCTGTGCTAGAGGGCTGGATTCATCCTGGGTGGTCTTGAGGGCAGGAGAAAACTTGAGATTCTCCTCGGTGAGTACAGAGCTGTCCCTCAGAGCTGGGGAGCTCTTTGGGAAAAGGGCTGGGTGAGGACTTGGAAGGGAAGTAAGTTTTCTCTACCCTGGACACACACCACATCCTGGTATTTCCCACTCAGTATATGTGATGGAAGACTGAACTTGGGGGCTCACTTTGGAAGTGAATATAGTCTTGGAAGGGGAAGGCACTCCCTGTTGGGCCCCTGGGTGCTTGGCTTCAAAGGCTCAGGGATCGGTGGCATGTGCAAAATGAGGGCACATCTGCTCCTGTACACCTCAATTACACCTTCCCTGGAGCTGGGAGAGCTGGGATTGCAGGTGTTTGAGGCAGCATTGCAGGTCCTGTGCACTCACCCTTGCTAATGTAGCAGGCCAGGTTTTTAATTCCATGGGGTCAGGATGCTAGAGGATGATTTCCCTGGTGAGGACTGCCTGGCAGATCTCTGATTGGTGGGAAGGAACAGCAGGGACCTGGGGGATGGAAGGAGAAATAAATGCATGACAGGTCTCAGCGACCCAGCAGTGCCCTCAGGGTGGGGGCTTCAGAAGCCACAGGGAACAGAGGGCTGAGCACACATAGATCATGCTATGAAGCTGTCCCCCCACCTGCCTCTTTCACTCCCTTTAGGAAAAGACTTATGAATTCCCTGGCCAAGGACTTCCGAGAGAGTCCAAGAGAAATCTCTCTCTCGTTCCTGTGCACAGGCAGAATAAGTGCTCAAGCAACCCTGGTTATTTTTGGAAGGTCAGCTTGGGTCATGAGTGTGGTTTCTGGGAAATAATTTGCATCAGATGCCACAATGACTTATGGGATTGGGGGACATACAAAGAGGAATTTGGGCTTTGTTGAATTCTTTGGACTCCTGAGTTTGGATGCTGCTGAGAAGGAGAGAGAGATGCTCTTTGGGAATCCATTTTGTGAAGTATCGTGTGCCAACAGGGTGGAATGGACAAAGATGTCCTGCTCTGTAACAGCTATCTATTGCTGCATAACAAGCATCCAAAACTCAGTAGCTTAAAGCAATAGTCATTGTTTTTACATCACTAATTTGGCATGGAATCTGTGGCTGCAGTCATCCTGTGACTTGGCTGGGGCTGGGAGGTCTAAATGATCTAATCATGTGTCTGATGATCGGTGCTGGCTGGCAGCTGGACCACATTTCCCTCCCCTCACAAGCTGTCTTGGACTTTCTTACATGGTGTCTATGTGCCAAAAACAGCAAGAAAAAGAGAAACCCCAATGTACAAGATTCTTCTTGGGCCATTCTTTCTAATGTTCCATTGGCTAAAGCAAGTCACTTGGTCAAGCCCAGGTTTAATGTGGAGGGGCCCATAGCGGGAGACATGATTCATTGGGATAATTACTATAATAATCTACCACAATGTGTTCAGGAAGAAGTTGGGTGCAATTCCTACTTCATTCATTCATTCATTCATTAAGAAATATTTGTGGGCACAGGAAATTTAACAGTGAACCAAGTGAACCAAGCAACGCATATCTCTGCTCTCATGGCTTTTGCAATGTAGTTGGGGAAGTTAGACAATAAACAAAATGAATAAACAAAATATTGTCTGATGGTGATAAGGACTACAGAGAAAAATATAGCAGGAAGGAAGACAGGGCATCCAGGTCTCCTTGGCTCTGGGAGTTGTGGAAGACAACCCCTGCAGAGCATGAAATTGGGAGAAGGGAAAGTGCCCTGGGTGCCTTGGTAAATGTTAGGGCAAGCAACAGATTGCCTGACCCAGAGAAAAGGTTGAGGGTTTTTTTAAATTTATTTATTTATTTATTATTATTATTATTATTATTATTATTTTTTGAGACAGAGTCTTGCTCTGTCCCCCAGGCTGGAGTGCAGTGGCATGATCTCACCTCACTGCAACCTCCACCTCCTGGGTTCATACAATTCTCGTGCCTCAGCCTCCCGAGTAGCTGGGATTACAGGCGTCTGCCACTACGCCTGACTAATTTTTGTATTTTTGGTAGAGAGGGGGTTTTTGTCAATGAGGCCAAAGGGAGATGTTGCAGCTTTTTGGAAGGAGATTCTTGGTTTTCCAGAGGTTAAGGTGAAGCTGACCCTCACTCTATGAACACTTATATGGAATCTACAGTTTTGGAGAGAATTAGCTTGAACCGGACCCCTCCACAACTCCCATATATCATCATATATGTAAGGGAGAAAATATCTACTATTACCCTTCTTTTGTGTACCCAAACTAGAAGAGTTAGCACCCAGAAGAGGAAAGAAGGGGAGCTGTCTCAGCACTGGACCCTGTCCTCCCTTCTCTCTCTGCAGCTTGAGCATGGTTGAGGGAGAGAACAAGAGGAGTTTTGAATCAAGTTTGAGATTGAAAGAAAAAGTAATTCACAGGCATGAGCCTACATTGTTGGAACACTATTATTTGCGTAACTGAAAGTGAGGAAAAGCTGTGAAAATGGACCAAGGTGTCATTGGTGACTCTCTGAATTTAGAATGAGAAACGCTTATTGTCCATATCCTCTGACTTTCCATCTGTTACCACAAAAGAATTGTCAGGGCCCCTGTAGGAAGCCAGTCCCTTCAGCTGTGTGCCGAATCCCATCCCTTTTGGCTTCTTCAAGGACAACTCTCCAGCAATGCTCCCCTCTTATCTCCTAATGCCTCAAAATTTCCATCTCAATCAGATCTTTCCCTAAAGTATAGAAGCAATACTGCTGTTTCTCCCCACTTGAAATATCTTGACTCCATTTACTCTCTCAGCTCCAACTCACTTCTCTGCTCACCTCTGCAGTACAACCCCTTGCAGGGTTGTCTATACATGCTGTCTCCAATTCCCTTCCTTTCTTTTTCTCCCAAACCTAATCCAATCTGATTTCTGTCCTCACCAGTCCACAAACACTGCCATTGGCAGGATTATCAAAGACTTTCGTGTCACTAAATCCAGTGGCCAATTCTGAGTCCTTGTCTTGATTGAGCAGTCAGGATTATTGGTCACAGTTAACTATCCTCCTTTTTGGTGCATTTTCTTCCTGTGGCTTTCAGGACACCACATTCTCTTCGTTTCTCCCCATCATATTGTTCAGTCCTTCTCAGCCCCCTTTGTTGTCTCCTCCTTTCACCACCTCTGAAGGCTGGAGGTTCCAGGGCTCGGTCCTTGGCCCTCTTTTCTTCTCTGCCTTCCCTTGTTGGTTTCATGCAGTCTTATGACTTCAAATACCACCTATATGCCAATGACATCCCAATTTATATCTTCAGACTGCACCTCTTTCTAACTCAAGCCAAAGGTATCGAACTGCCTTCTTGACATTCCCACTGGGACTTTGTATCAGACAGGAAAGAGTAGGCTATGATTTGCTAGCAGTAACCTCAAATCTCAGCAGCATATCACAAAATGGTTGGTTCTCACTCCTGCTACATGTCCCTCATGCTCTGCACCATGTCATCATCACTCCAGGACTCCGGCTGATGGAACAGTTCCCACCTGGAATGTCACTGATCACAGTGCAAAGGAAAATAGAAAACATGGTAACCATAAACTGATGCTTTAAACTTTTGTTCACGTCTCACTGGACAAATGAAGTTCCATGGTTAATCCTGATATCAATGTAGTGGGGAGGTGTGACAGTATTTGTGCCCAATAGACATCTTGAACCCATCTTGTCCCAAATGAAACTCCTTCTCCCATGATCCTGCTTTCCCTAGGCTTCCTCATCTTAGTTGATGTCAACACAATACTTTTATTTATTCAGGTCAAAAATCTTGGAGTCATTCTTGACTTCTCTGTTCCACATATCCAGTCCTTAGGGTATATCATCACAATATATTCAGAATATGACCACTTTGCACCATCTAAACAGCCACATATCTACCCACCAACATCTCACTATTGGATTATTTCATGTAAGTACCATGTGCTAACCGATTGCACAACTGGAGCTCCATTACTGGATCATTTCAATAGTCTCTTAGTAACTGGCTTTCCTACCTCCATCCCTGACTCACCCCCTGCTCCCAATAATCTGTTCTGAGCACAGAAGTCATAGTGATTCTTTTAAATTCTAAGTCAAATAATTCTTTGTCTCTGCCTGAAACCCTCCAGTGACTCCCCATTGACTCCCATTTTTCCACAAAGTAAAATCCAAATTTTCCCACTGGCCCTCAGGGTCTTTACACTCTGGTCCTCCCCACCGCTCTTGCTTCTTCTCTGGCTCTTCTCAGCATCACCCACACTGGCCTCCTCACCCCGCCTTCCCCCAGGGCCTTTACAATGACTGCTCCCTCTGCCTGAAGTCCTTTCTTTCCAGATAACTGTCTCCTTTTTTTCTTCCTTCCCACGAGGCCTACCCTGACCATCCATTTGAAGCTACAGTCTTTGGTTCCAGAATCTCCCAATCCTATTTTATTCTCCCAATCTTATGTTTATGATTTACCTGTTTTGTCCATTGAAATGGAAGCTCTAAGAAGGCGGAGTTGGTTGGGTCAGTTTTCCTCACTGTCGTGTGTCAAGTGTCTAACACAGTGTCTGACATACGGTAGGTGGTTGATATTTAACTATGGAATTAATGAACGCATCGCTAGCACCACAGTGTAATGAGATTTTGATTAGGAAGATCTCCTTAGTTCCAAAGGAATCTCAGGCCTTGAAAGTCATCATGAGGTGAATCCACATTAATCCAGGGTTGATTTCCACCACAGAGTCTCAAAGTGTGGCATGGGGACTCCTGTGAGTATGCAAGATTTTAAGTGGCACATGGAGGCAGGGGTTTATGTTAATAGTTATGTGCTCCTTCTAATTCATTATGACAAGTGATCCAGTTTTTCACATGTGACAGGTAGGTAAAATTTCTTTTTATAATATTTGTGTATAAGAAAACAAAATAGATTGAATTGAGGAAAAAGTAAAAAATAGGCACAGATGGTAGGTGGTGTAGCAAAAGCTGTGAAGATGGGATGTGAATGAATGACACTGGTGAGGTCCTGGATGGCACAGAGGGATGCAGAGCTGGGCTGGGCAGGGCCATGAACATGGAAGCAGCAGGATCAGTCAGGGCCTGGCTTCTGGGAGTGGCCTGAGTCTCTTCCCCGCCAGGCTGCCCACATGCTGCCTGGGCCTGGTCTCCAGCAGGCTGCTGGCTCCTGGGAAAAGGAAGGCCCAGGAAGCAACACTGTGTGTAGGGGTGCAGCAGCTGCAATGGCACCTCTGATCCATCACTGTCAAGTTATAATTGCCATTTTCCTGAAATGTGCTTTGCTTCATTAGGCTTGAAATAAACATCTTATTTTTTTTTGTCTCAACTTTCGTTCTAGCTTTTTCTCTGCTGATCTCTTTCCTCCCCATGCTCCACAAAGGTGTCTGATGTTTATTTGCAGCCCAGACTCGAAAATCCATCCTAGGATGGTGGAGAGACAGAAGGAGAGAGAGAGGAGAGAGAGACATCATTACAGTATAGAAATCTCCACACCTCTCAAAAGCCATTTGAAATCTCTAATCTTCTTCATCCCCCACCTCAGGAAAAAGAGAAGAACCATAGTTCTTATTTATTTTGACAGTCCTTTACTCTGCTGTCAGAGGCTCCACTCCAATCAGTCCTGTGCCCCTTTCACACGGGAATGATAGCATGAAGGAGACAGATGACCTACCCAGCCTCTTGGCCTAAGTAGGGCACCTCTCCAGCTTCTCCTAGTCACTCTTAAGTCACTCCAGATTCTCCTAGTCACTTCTAGCTCCTTCTTTGCAATTTGTCTGCCTTAGAAAGCCACCATGAAACATTTTGAGGTGATTGGACTTCATTCATCCATTTGTTCATCCATCCATCCATCCATTCATCCAGCCAATTTATTTGACAATAGTTACTGAAGTATTTGCTATAGACACAGGATGCTATGTACGATGGGTTGGTATAGAGGGAGGGTTGGAGAAGTTATATGAGCTCAATATTCACAGCTTCACAGACATTCTATGATGAAGGTAAGATAAAGCTTATTTTCTCCTTGTACATCCAGAAAATATGAGGCCAAGAGACGATGAAGACATTTCAAGGTCACAAACCAAGTGTGTGGTAGAGTCAGCCCAGAACTCACGTCTCCAGTACTCCACGCCCTCCATCTGGACTGGTGAGTTTAGGCTGGAGAAGAGGAAAGAGGAAGGCAGCTGGCCAACCATTTCTAGAGGAAGCTTTGGTGCATTTTTCTTGCCCTAAAGTTGTGCTAACTTATGTTCTGTTGGAATAGCAGCCCAGTTCAATGAACCTTCAGACAAACTATCTAACCTCATGTAGGTGCATTTTAATCCCATTTGACTTCTACTGGAAAAAGCCTCAGCTCTGATATAAGACTTTGAGATTATAGGTAAAACCTCAGTTAGTGCAAAAGTATTCACATATGATGCAGCTAGCAGAAGAAGCAGATCACCTGAGGGCCCCACATCTGCTGTGGACATTTCCTAGGCTTGCATCTGTCACAGGTATGTCAGCTATACTAGGGATTTACAGCACATGAGACCGACACAAGGCCTGACCATGAGCTCTGACTTAGGGCTGCCAGGTATCCTATTTTTTCATTCTGTTTCTTGCTTTAATGGACACAGGGTCTCATTTATAGGGCTAATGCAAGTGATTAGCTTAAGCAGAGAGGGTCTCCTAAAAGCTGCCTGGGAAGCAAGGCGGTGCTAAAGAGGGCTTTTCTGGTTGCAAGGAAGGCAAAGAGAGGAGAATGACGTGTAAACATTCTATCTAGAGCAGCCATTCACCTCTCCACCACTCTGTGTCACATGGCTCATTTCTACCGTCTTCACAGCAATTACGTTGCTCTGAAATTTCTTTTTATTTAAATTTCAACTTTTACTACAGATTAAATGGTACACATGCAGGTAAATTGTGTGATGCTGAGACTTAGGGTCCCAATGATCCCATCACCCAGGCAATAAGCATAGTACCCAGCAGGTGGTTCTTCTGCCCACACCCCCTCCCTCCCTGCCCTGTTTAGTGGCTCCCAGTGTCTATTGTTCCCATCTTTAGATTCATGTGTATTCAATCTTTAGCTCCCACTTATAAGTGAGGACATGTGGTATTTGGTTTTCTGTTCTTGTGTTCAGTCACTTAGAATAATGGCCTCCATTATTCTAAGCTCCATTCATGTTGCTGCAAAGGATGTGATTTCATTCTTCTTATGGCTGCATAGTATTACATGGTGTATATATATATATACCACATTTTTTTTTATTTTATCCAGTCCACTGTTGATGGGCACCTAGGCTGATTCCATGTATTTGCTGTTGTGAATAGTGGTGCAATGAACATACGTGTGTATGTGTCTTTTGGATAGAACTGAAATTTCTTATGCTTTGTTTTCTTACTTATAACTTGTCTCCTCACTCTAATGAAAGTCCATCGTAGCCGGGATTTTATCTCCCTTGACCGTGTCTTCTACAATAGTGCTTGGTCTAGAGGTGCTTTGTTCATTCCCTGAAAGAATAAACAAAGAGTTGATTATCTTAAAGGGGTGCTGAGGTGTATCACATGGGAAGCAAGGCAGATAATAGGCATGATGTGACTGACCTTGTGAAGAGCCAAAGAAACTCAGAGAACAGCACAGATAGTGACTCAGTTTATGAGCTTTGGATTTAGACCTGGTATCAAATCCCAGCTTCTCATTCTAATTTCCTCATCTATAAAATGGGTTGAGAATATTTCTTGAGCAACTACTTTGTTCCAGGCCCCATACTGAGCTCTTGGACTACAATGGGGATCTAGTTAAATCTTCTACCCCTGTGGAGCTCAGGCAGATGTCTACTCCTCCAAGTTCACAAAGGAGCACCTATAACCACAGCGTATAAGAGGTGCTCTGTGAGAGCTAAGCAAGGAATGGAAGAACACTGGGGTGACTCCTCTGGATGGTCGGGGAAACAAGACCCTTGAGAAAGAGTTAGAGGCTTCCTGGAAGACCTGCAGAGAAAACATCAGAAAGGAGGAACAGCCTGCACCAAGGATAGAGACCAGGAGCTTCAGTGTTAGAGGAATTGTGACCAGATGGGCTGTGTTTGTGAAATGTAATGAGGCCAGAGCAAGAGATGAGTGTGGAGAGACAGGCACAGGCCAAGTATGTTTCACAGGGTTGTGAGAACGCCAGAGGATCATTCATTCATTCATTCATTCAGTTCTTCAGCAAATTATTTATTGAATGCCTTTTATTGGTCAGAGGTTATTCTCAGCACCGGGGATGCAGTGGTAGAAAGGAGACAAATCCCATGCTCTTCAGAGCATCTATTCCAGATGAAGAAGACAGGCAATGAGTAGAAAAAGTAAATTATTGAGTGTGTTAGAAGTTAATAACGTAAAAGTGGCCAATAAACATGTGAAAAAGTGCTCATCATAACTAATCATCAGACAAATGCAAATCAAAACCACAATGAGATATCATCTCACACCAGTGAAAATGGCTTTTATTAAAAAGTCAAAAAATTACAGCTGTTGGAGAGGTTACATACACTGTTGTTTGGAATGGAAATTAATTCAGCCCCTGTGGAAAGCAGTTTGGAGATTTCTCAAACTAAAACAAGAACTACTATTAGATCCAGCAATCCTATCCCTGGGTATGTATCCAAAGATAAATAAATCATTCTACCCAAAAGACACCTGCACTGGTATGTTCATTCCAGCACTATTTACTATAGCAAAGACATGGAATCATCCCAGGTGCCCATCAATGGTGGACTGGATTTTTAAACTGTGGTACATATATATACCATGGAATACTATGTAACCATAAAAAGAAGAACATCATGACCTTTGCAGCAACATGGATGCAGCTGGAGGCTGCTATCCTAAGTGAATTAATGCAGAAACAGAAAACCTAATACCACATGTCCTCACTTATAAATAGGAGCTGAACATTGGGTACACATGGACCTAAAGGTGGAAACAATAGACATAGGGGCTTCCAAAAAGAGGGAGGGAAGGAGGGGAGCAAGGGCTGAAAAACTACCTATTGGATACTACATTCATTATCTGAGCAACGGGCTCATTAGAAGCCCAAACCTCAGCATCACGTAATATATCCATGCAACACAACCGCACATGTACCCCCTGAATATGAATTTTTTTAAAAGAAGTTAATAAAAGGTATGGAGAAAAACAAAGCAAAGTAAGGGCCATAGAGCATGCCAGTGGGGGGTTGGGTTTGCAGTCTTATGTAATGTAATCAGGGCAGGCATTGGTAGGACTTGAAAAGAGGTAATTCACATAAAGATATACAGATTTCAGCACAGCGCTGGCTGGTACATAAGAAGGCCTCAATAGGCCAATTAACCAATTAACCATGATGATGATGATGGTAATAATGATGGTGCTGGTGATGATGAAGGTAGTGGTGGGGAAGATGAAGGTGAAAGACAAAAAGAAGAAGGAGGAAGAGTCATTAATGGGAAGTCCTTTGTAAGAACCCTTTCCTGGCCAGCCCTTCACACAAGAAGTAGCCTTTTTCTCTTTTTCTGTCCATTGGTGCCTCCTCCAGCCCTCAGGCCCTCAGACCTGAGGGTCTCAGGCATTTCCAGTACCAGAAGAGGTGCAGAAATGGTGGCCAATACTTTTGGAAATTCATCTTCCAAAAATTGCTTTCCATCCATTTGCTCCACTTCCAGTTTATTACCTAGCAGTGTGCAGATGGAACCATTTTTTCCCAGAGCTGCTTGAAAGAGAGGCATTGCAATTGTGCAGCAGGCTTGGGAACTGATTTATGGGAGGTATACCCCAGGAACCAGGCCCGATGCCCCCACCCATAGCTGTAGCTGGTAGAATATGACACTGTCTGGCCTAATTCTGTGGGCTAACACTGGAGACAGACGCCAGAGGTGCTGACATGTCACCTGGTCCAGGACGCCTCATCCTCTCCCATCTTCTTCCTGCATTGGAGTCTCTCCCACCAGGCCTCTAGCCATGGTCTCACCCCAGTGAGCAGGAAGGAGAGAAAATGTTTCTCAAGACAAAGGCAATTTCCTACTGCCAAAGGAAACACTCAACCACATCTTTAATCATCTGAGTATTCGGAGAGCTGCTCAGTTGGGCCATTTAGAAGTTATTATAGAAGCTAATTTGTTCTTTGACATTTTCTATTGAATTTTCAGTTCCCTCATTCAAATTTGAAGAGATTATGACCCCATAATGTGGCCTATAAACCCACATTATAACTACAAATTGAACCAAATCTTTATCTTTCCTTCTTTCTTGCTGTGTGACTATGGGCAAGTTGTTGAACTTCTTTAAGCCTTAGTTTCCATATTGGTAAAATCGGGTGGCTCAGAGTCTGCTCATAGGATCCTGGTAAGGATTAAATGAGGTAGAGCAGCTGAATGCTTAGCTCCGAATTAGGTGCATAATAAATGTTCAAGAAACGTAACCTAGTAATAATATTTCTTAAAAGCATTCTTACTGTCTTTCTCTCAGGCCTAAGTTTCCTTTATTCACTGAGCTGTGATTTGGAATCTGAAGGCCAGCTGAGTTTCTACAGGTGACTTAGGACAGGTATTCTACTACACAGATCCTCATATTTCATAGCTGTGAAAATGGGGGCATCAACTATCTCCCACAGTTCTTGAAAGAAATACTCCTTCTGTATGTAGAAGTTTCTTGTAAAAGCCAAATCAACCTCTGTGTAAAGGCTAGTGATTGCCATCATTTTATAAATAAAATCTGTGTTTATTTTCAAGGTGGATCTACTGCAAAACAGAGACACACACAGGCTTCTCACAACCCTCTGCCTGACTCACACAGGGTCTTGTTGCCTCTCCCTCAGGTGCCTGGTAGCTGCAGGTGACAGGGACGAAGTCTGAGTTTCTTCCCCTGCCTAGATGTTTCCCCAAGTGGATTCTGCAGGAGTTGATTCTGTAGCTGTTCTTGGGTTCAGATGACTTCAGTATGTTTGATGGGGGGACTCCTCACTTAGAGATCAAAGTCTGGAATCTTGTCTTCTCCAAGGTTAGGAAGTGTTTAGCTCTTGGCTTTTCTCCCAGGCTAACCTCTAGACCTGATTTTGGTATTTGCCTGCTGCCTGCATGATGCTGGGCCTAGAGAGAGACCTGAAGAGCCAGAGGGCTGGTCAGTTCTGTATCCTCCACATTTTGGAGGGATGCTGAAGACTGTACTGTGCCAAAAGCTCCCACGACAAAAGGCAAAGGTCATGGTGGGAAAGGGAGTTACAGTGGGCGGTTCATGTAGGCTGGCCATCCTGATGGCGTTCCCTTGTTTCATCTCTTTCTCCTGCCACCTTCCCATTTTAACATGTTACACTGGGGCCAGGGAGTGGGGAGCTAGATTTCAGGGGCTTGGTAAGTTCAGCCCATAACATTTTTGTGAAAGCCCCTTCTCCAGGAATCAGTCTTTACCTGTGACATTAGGTAATTTCTAAGATATGGAAGATATTCTAGATCAATATAATCTTCTAAGATTCTGCCAGGCCCATTCTGGCCTATGTCTCAATCTCAGAAAAACTGTAATCCTTGAGGGTAGAGCTTATAGGAGGATGGGTCCTTCCCAGTTTAATAACCTCCTTTCTCTTCATATGCTCTAGATAAGCTCGGTCCAATAAAACTTCCTGTGATAATGGAACCACGCCATGAAATACGGTAGCCACTAACCACATGTGGCTATTGAACAAATGTGGTTAATGCAACCAATGAGCTCAATTTCCTATTTAATTCGTTTAAATAGTTGCATGGTGATGCATGGCTACCGTATTGGACAGTATAGCTCTCGACCATCTCTCCTTTCAATTACGGAGTCAGCATGTGTGCAAAAGAAATTGCTTGATAATCTCTAAGATGCCAGCCCCAGTGCCAGGCTCTGCACAGGACACATGAGGAAAAAGGGGCTGGGGGTTGCTCCAAGCCTTGGGAAAGTTTTGCTTATTGCTTGGGAGGAGAGATGGAGACAAAACAATTAAAAGCAGAAGCAAATTCTGGGCAAGGGACTCAGAGCCTGTGAGTTTTGCCTGCCAAGTTAAGAGTTCAATTCTTGGAGGGCAGGAGCTACTCAGGCTGGGTGCACAAGGGTTGCCTGATAAAGACAGATGGGCTGTGAGGGAAGCAGCCTTTTATTGGGCATCTGCCCCATACTATTTGGGCAGCTCAGCATTGCTGGGCTTTGTGGGGTCCCCAGCAACCCTAGGGCTCCACTCGCCACCTACCCAGTATCCCCATTCCAGGTTCTCAGCAGGAATGGGCAGTGACGTCTAAACTTAATTTATTTCCCTGATACTCTCTAAGCAATGATCTGACTGACATCCCTAGTAGAAACCAGCCTCTTTTCCTGATAACTGTAAGCACCAAGAAAACATTGAGAGTGGCTGGCTTCTTGGCCTCTCTGTGCAGGGAGGGTGGGTTTTATCCTTTTGTCCAGGGTGAGGGGTTTCCCCGAGTCTCACACAGCCCTAGCTCTCCGTGGTGGCTGTGCCTCCACTCTATCCCAGAATGGCGCACAGATAGATAATCTCCTCCCACAAAACAACTGGTCTTTCTTTGATGTGTATCAGGGTAGCTTTCCTTTCTTTCTTTTTTAAATAAATAATTATTTTGAGAAATCTCCCTGACTTGAGTAGGAAGCAAATGGCTGTAGAATTTATTTAACAAACACTCATGTGGTGCATTCAAAGTGCCAAGTACTGTTCTTTGTGCTCTTATGAAATATGAACGTGTTTAAGACTTACAACAACACCAGGAGGTGCTCTGCTGATAACCTCATTTTAAAGATGGAGGAAGATGAGGCATAAGTGACTTAGGTTACTTGTCCAAGGTGGCATAGCTAGTTAAGTGGCAAGCTCGCAGGTGAACCTGTAGGGTGACGAAGCATCCTGGTTTGCCTGATGCTGAGGGGTTTCCTGGGACGTGGGACTTTCAGTGCTAAAACCTGGAAAGTTCCAGGAAAACTGGGTAGAGTTGGTCACCCTATACCTTGGGGGAACAGGATGGCTCAGAGTTCCTCCTCTTTGTCTCCATGTTCTGCTCATTCATGGGCCCTGAGCCAGTGGGGGCATCTGGAAAAAGAGGTGAGTGACTTGGGACTAGCTTTGTTTCAGTCCCCTCATTTTCTGGATGAGAAAGCTGAGGCCCAACTTATACTTGCCCAAACCTCAGGGAAATCAGAGGCAGAGCTGGAACCACACCTTCGTCTACCAAGTCCCAGCCTTTGGCTCTGTCCTACAGCTCATGGATATTTATTTATTCATCTGAACTCTATATCTGTGGAAAAGGGACTCAAAGGGACCTATAGCAGAGGACATGACAACAAGTTGCCGAAATACAAGCAACAGAATAAAACTGAAACCAAAATTTAATGCCAACATGCCAGCTCTAATAGATAATTTCAGCTTGAGCTTCCTGGCAACCATGATAAAAGAGGAAAACTCTCAGTTTCATCAAGGGAAACAAGGCTTTTGATGCTGTTGTTTTATTTGGTTTAGTTTGTGTTTTTATACTGCATTACTATCTATTTGAGATCCTTAGACAGGAACTATTTATGAACACCAGGAGAAGGTGCTTAGCACTAGTTGGCTGTAAAGACAGAAGCATGTTTCCATGACTGCTCTTTTTGTTAATCTGAGACTTCTGAGGGCTCCAACATAGTCTAAATAAACTCTGATTCAGAGGTGTACTCTATGAAACAGATACAATTGGAGGTTGAGGGGCCTGGAGCCCTGCCTGATCCTGTACCTCATACCTCCAAAGCCTCCAAGGCATTCCATGGAGCCATAATTGACACTCTGGAGTGTCAGTTCTCCAAGCCCAGTTCCTGAGCACAGACACAAGCCTTTGGAAGCCTGACTGGCAGCTCCTCCACCTTGACAGCACCATGTGCTTTAGGGTGGGTGCCCCCACCATTGCTTCACCTCACCCTGTGCCCAAGAGTCCAGGTTCCTGCTGGGCAAAACCAGGCGTTTCCTATTATTCTTGAATACAGCATGAAGGATGGCTGGCTGCCCTGCCAGGAACAATTTGATTCTTCCTTGTTAGTTTTTCATTAGGATTTTTGTTGGCTTTTCTTTTAAACAATTTCTTGGGTTTCTTTCAAGGTCGAGGAGAAGGATGCTGATATAAATATACCACTGAGGGAGGGAGGAGAGCCCCACCCTAATCAAATTTGAGCAAAGACAGGATAAAAATTAACCTTCATTTGAATATGTAAACAAACATGGCATTTGGTAATTTCCAGCCGTCCTTGGCTTGGGTTGCCAAAGAGCAGCATAAAGTGATTTGTCTGCCAGGTCTCTGTACAGAGAAAAACTTTATTCTTAGAGGCTTTTTACACTTGAATAAGTGCTAAATAATAATAATAGGCCAAGACTGAAAGCAACTCTTTCTATTGGAAGGGTGTCAACACAGGCAGGATGAAGAACTGGGACTTCTTCAAGGGAGTGAGGGAGTGACAAAATCTGGGTTGATAAATGCTGACATTCTGAATAAAATCACTCCATGCCTTCACCTAGGTCAAGAAACGACATTGTTTTCCTGAGCGGCAGTGACAGCGAGGTGACAGAGATTAATAGCTTGGTATTGACTGAGCAACTTCGAGTTCCTTATCTCTGTCAAGTCAAGGCTGTGTCCAAGGGCTGAAAGTGTTATTAGACTTATAATTGCAAAGACATTTAAAGGGTTTCCCCTTAAGGGACTATGAAATCCAATAAACGTTTCACAAAACCTCAAGCGCTCGAGTGCAAAGCCCCCATCTGGGAGAGCTGCGTGCTCCCAGCCAAGCGCCAGGGAAACCTTTAAGCCGCCAACATTGAATAATGTTTGATTTATGAAGTTGGTTTTGAATTTGTATCAGTTGTTTTATTAAAAATATATGAAAGGAAGTTTTAAATATGAGCAAGCCCTGTAGGCTGTCGCCTGCACTGTGCCACCTGTCTGGCTAAGCCGCCTCCTTCTTCCTCACTCTGCCGCTCAGACCCAGGAGGATGGAGGAGCTACACAAACAGTGTGGCTAATTTGCGGGGTTAATTTGGTCTGCCAGGGATTAAGTCTGAATTTTTCACCTGGGCTCACAGAAGAAGGCGGGAAGTTCTGAATAATGCTGAAGCAGGTGTATGCGGAACCAGTGGATTTGATTTGCCATCTGTAAGGTGGCCCAGGGACATCTCTCAGCATGCTGGATTTACTTGTCAAATAGCAACACAGAGAAGTATGTCAACTTCTGGAAAAAGCATTTCTGCTTCCTTCTAGGAAGCTTCTAGCACTGGAGGCTATAGGCAGGGTGAGGTTGGTTTGCAGGAGACCTGTTGGAGGGCCCTGGGTATAGGGATGTGGGATTGCAGATTGGTGTGGGACTCTGGACCTCAGTTTCCCTATCTGTTGAATGGACCAGACTTCTCCTCCCAGGGTCATCTATGGATCTAAGAGTCCTTGGACCTGTGAGAAGAACCGACCCAATAGGGCATGACCTTCAGGCTTGGTCCCTTTTCACCTTGTGGCCAGAGAGAAGGGCAGAGGCAGAGGCCTAGAGAGCCAGGGAGGCGGCTGGTAAATGCTTCATCCAGGAATGAGGCCATGGGTTGTAGAAGTGTGTTTGTGAAAGGGAATCTCTATTGCTAGGGCCAGAACACAGTCTCTTGGGGACTGTGGGCACTTGCAGAGATTTGGGGGCTGGGGCACCTACTCTGTGTGCAGCCTGGGATGGACCCAACAGGTGGATGCTTCTTACGGTGCTGAAATGTCATCTACCAGTCCACCCCCATGCCTTCATGGAGGTGGAAGGACCCTGGGTGTCCTCAGAAGCCTGTCCAGAGGTGCCCTCTCCCTCTCTCTCTGCCCTGTTCCTGCAGTAAGGAGAAGACTCAGCACCCTTAGGCATCCACAGTTCCACTTTCACATCACTGCCTTGTTACCTTTCCTCCACTTCCCCCGTGTCAGGCATACAGTGGGTGCTTAATAAATATTGGCTAAATGAATGAAGGAAGGCTCCCAATCTACCCCCATTCTCCCCTCCAGACCATCAGGGCCAGCCAAATGTGGCCAGATAGCATGGGAATTCTGCCAGAGGCTGTGGGAACTTGCCAATATTTTGGGATGGGGGATTAATTTCAGGTCTGATCTGGGAATCTCCCTATAGGTGGGTGCTTTTGAAAGTCTTGAGGTACTCTCTGGGGCTCTGAGGCTGTGTCCCCAGTGAGGAGGTTGGGAGTAGAGGGATGAGAGCCATAAAAGGCTTCCAGAGATCGGCCCTGGGAGCCCTTTGTAAGGGTGGTCTCTCTCTCTCTCTCTCTCTCTCTCTCTTTCTCTCTCTCTCTCTCTCTCTTTCTCTCTCTCTCTCTCTCTCTCCCACCCTCCCTCTCTCTCCTTTCATGTGCCTCCTGCAGTGAGGGGAAAGTTTAGGCATCCTTGGGGCTCCCACAGCCACTTTTATGTCACTTCTCCATTACCACAGTGGCGCCCCATGCCTGGCACAAGGTAGATAAATATGTGTTGAATAGATTAATGAATGAATGAAGGCCATCCACCAACTCCACTCCTGCCCTATTAATGCTATCCAAGGATGGCCAGCCAGCAGGTTGACTCTGCTGGGGAGCTGTAGTTGTGTAGTTATGGCCAGCTCTGGAGCACCATGTGGCATTGCTGTATCTTCCTAGGTAAGCTCTGTCCTTTGTTAGAACTCACCACCAGCCTTCTGATACCTTGGATTCCAGTACCTTTCGGTTATCCTCCAGACAGCTTAGCAACCTTCCCTGAACACTTCCCACATGCCAGGTGTAGCAGGACCTAGCAGGGGAGACCCCAGGGAGGGCAGTAGTTAGGCGGCCAACCTAATTACCCATGGTCGATAACATGCCTACCCCAAGGTGTCTCTCCAAACAATGGAGAACAGACCAGGAGGAGGAGTGCCACCCTGTGTGTGTGTTGGGAGAGTACACTGGGTGATGGACAACCATCCAGGTTGGTGGAGAATTGCCTGGATGAGTGCCTTGGATGGTAGAGGACTACTCCATGAGGTGGAGGAGTGCCTAGGTGGTGAATGACTAATCCAGGGGGTGATGATTGCCCTGGAGGAGAGCCTCCAATGGTGGAGAACTGCTCTGGGCAGAGGAAGAGTACTCTGGGTGGTAGAGGACATCTCTAGGTGATGGGGCAAGGTGCAGCCTGCCCAGCTATCTGACTTCCAGGGTTGGAACCCAAGGCTTGGGCTTCTTCCCAGTATGACCCTATGGAATCCATTCCCAAGGTGCTCCACTTTTTCTTAGGATAGGGAACAGAGAGCATCTCCCTGAGGACAAAAGCAGACCAAGACAAAACACATTGCATCTCAGCCTGGGCTGCAAGGAGACAGGGGCTAGGTGCAGGGTAAGAGGCCTGCATGCAACATGTGGGTTTTCAGGCAGAGCTAGAACTCCCAAGCTGGACAGCCCTCTGGGAGCAGGAGTGAGGGAGGGCCAATCTCTGGCTCTCCTCTCAGTATGCCTTCTCCACCTGTTCTGACCAAGAGGGCAGTCATGTCAATCAGCAAATTCTGGTCTCCAGGACAGACAGGAGAGAGGGCCCTCCCTCCCCATCCTGCTGTGGTCAGGAGGCCTTTCAGAGAATCTCTCCTCCTTCTGCAGAGCCCCTCTGTTCCTAAAGCAGATAGCCCCAAGGCCTCCTCTAACTCACCCTTCTTCTCTGCACCCCTTCTTGTGCATGTTCATTTGTTTTGGGCTCCCTGGACTTCTTGATAATTCCCCTGCATGTTCAGGCTCACACGGTCTATTCCTGCACTGGCTGAGCCCTGGTGCCCCCACACCTCCAGTGGATGTGGTCCTGGTAAAGGTCACTGGCAATGGCATCACCTCTCAGCACCAGGTCCTTGCCAACATTCACCTAGCTAGCATGATTACACATGAACTTGGGTCAGGCCCTAAGTTCCTTGTCCATCGCCTCCAGCCTTTTGGATCTTGTAATTTGCTAAACTCTCTACTCTTCCCTACCTGCTATTCCAGACTGACTCAGGCTTTTGCAGAGTTGAGTTCTCATGACATTGAATTCATCGGACTGTGGGCTGCTTGGATGTTTGTCTTGGAGGTTGGCCTTCAAAAGTCAGTCGTGCATTGTACTTCCACCTGCATTTGAATAAACTTCAGCAGAAGTTTTCAGTGCTCTGGGGTTTTGGCCACAGGAGACACCAAGAATTGGGGGAAAGGGCAGGAACTTGAAAAGGATGGACAGGGAGACAGCAATCTACAGTTGCCCCCAAACTGGCTGCAGATCCCAATTAACCTTGGCCTCCCTTGCCTTGGGTGAACTCAAGGCTGGGGTTAGGAAGAAGGTAAAAAATGTCTACACTCCACCACCAGGCCCTTTAGAGGCCAATCAGCTTGCTTCATGGAGGGTCCACTGTCCTGTTTGTCTTTCCTTTGGGATTTTCTAGGGCTCCATTAACTTACATGATAAACTAGCTTATGTTGCTAAGAGGTCTTCTTCTCCCAGGGAGTTGAGCTATTCTTGAATTGCAGTGGGGCAGTTAGGATTCTTCTGAAGCAAATGATAGAAACTCAAACCAAATAAAAACCTGTTTGGTCCCTGCAACTGAGAAGTCCAATTGTAGATTAGACACAGGAGAATTCGGAGGTGCAAACATTGATTTTAGAACTTGGCCTCTCTCTACTTCTCAGCTTCCTTTCCTATAGGTTCACTCTTTTCAAGCAAGCTGACCCCAAGTGGTGCCACCAGCAGCTCCTGATGTATACCTCTGTCTTGGTTGCTCTGGCAAAATTCTGGAGGCTGAGTCTCATTGGACTCACCTGGGTTATCTGCCCATCCCTGAATCAATCACTGGGGCTGGGAGGATATAGCATATTAATTGGCCCAAGCATGGTCATGTGCCTAACCCTGGAGTTCAGTCAATGCCATATGAACACATGGATACAGCATGGAGACCAGGCAGGGGAGCAAAACTAATGCCCATTAAACGGGCCTTTGTCATCATTTGAACTTTCTAGCTTTCCCGCATTTGTTTCTATCACTGCTTCTACCTGGAGACATCGTCCCTCTTCTCTGCTTTGTTCCATGCCCTTCACTTCCTACCTTGGAAGAGATGCCTCATTTCTATGCCTCAGTTGATACCCAAAGAGGGGGTTAGAATAGGTGGGCTTGATGGGTCCTTGCAGATTCCGAATGCTACATCTAGTTTCATCCTTTAGGGTTCAACTGAAATGCCATCTCCTTCAGTGTCTCCCCAGTTTGTGTCTCCCCAATTTGCACAACTCTCATTTGCCTTGAGTCTTGGCTGTTTATGTCCACATTTTGTCTCCCTCTTACCCCATGAGCTCCTTGAGGCCAGGTATCATGCATGATTCATCCCTGGTTTTCTTTCTTTTTTTTTTTTTTGAGACGGAATCTCTCTCTGTCACCCAGGCTGGAGTACAGTGGTGCGATCTCTGCTCACTGCAACCTCCGCCTCCTGGGTTCATGCCATTCTCCTGCCTCAGCCTCCCGAGTGGCTGGGACTACAGGCACCCACCACCATGCCCGGCTAATTTTTTATATTTTTAGTAGAGACAGGGTTTCACCGTGTTAGCCAGGATGGTCTCAATCTCCTGACCTCGTGATCCGCCCACGTCAGCCTCCCAAAGTGCTGGGATTACAGGCGTGAGCCACCGTGCCCGGACGATTCATCCCTGGTTTTCTAAGAGCACCAGACACACAGTAGAGGGCTCACAAGACTTCCAGAAGCTAAGAGAGACATGACTCATCTATCTTTATTCCTTGATTCATCCTGGATAGTAAAAAAATAAAGAGATGCCAAAACAGGGCAGCAAAATTATTGCATATTATAATTTTTTCTTTGAACAATTAATACTTTTACACTAAAGCCCATTCAACACAATAATTTACTAGTCTGTATCCATCAGTTATATGACTGAAGAATTTTGACTAATGCAAAATGTCAGAACATTTATGGCAAAATAATGACACTTCAGAACTTTCGATAAAACAGAGCGTGTAGTAACAATTATGGTTTGAATGATAGCTACCCATAATCTCTTGACTTCATTTTGTTTTCAGTGTTCTATTGCAGGTGGCAATGTCCTAAGATGTAAATTGCCATTCACAAAGTAATTACAGGATTTATGTTTTAAAAAATTCACAGCACACGCCAGGCAGTGGGTTCCGGCAAGGGGACTCACATTTAAAGCTGGAAGACAGGATCTTCTTTTAGTCCTCTTGTGCATTGCTGTGGCTTTATGTATAAATATATTAGGTGACAATGTCAATTTTAAGTTTAAGGATCTCTGTGAATATGCAGGAGGCCAAGTAGTTACTCCACCCACCCCCTGGTCCCCCACACCCACCACGATGTGTACTCATGTGGGCTTGTGCGATTGCTTTGAGCGTCGCTAATTCAGAGGCCTGACAGTGCAGTGGAGATTTGGGGACAGACAGTGAGGGAGGGGGTGCTCGGGCTGCTGACATGGGCACATTTGGCGACAGGCTGTGATCACACCGCGGGTGGCTGGACAGCCTTCTTGGCCCATGCATATGCATTGTGGCAGCCCTGGGGAGCTGGGGAGTTGGCTGGCCTCCAGGAAGGGCGCCATATGGAAAGTGTGTGGGTTTTTTTTCCCCTAGGACTTTACCAAAAGAAAAGAAGTAGAAAAGAAAAAGGAGAAAAGAGAAGAAAACTTTAGAGAGAGGCTCATACAAGGTTAATGATGAAAAACGTAAGGATCAGCTAACTGCCCCAGTCTCCCCGTGGCCCAGATGGGGAAAGGAGGCACAACGAGTCAAGGAGGCTCTTTGCCCAAGTTCAGATGGAAGGCAGTGCTAAGGGCCACCTTTAAGTTTATGTTGGAGAAACAGAATGTTTGGTTCCTAAGTTTCCTCCTGATCTCTCTTGGGAATCTCTGACCTGGAATGTGGCCATCTGTGGCCACATTAGATTAGATTTCTGGCCTCTTCTAACAATCAAATAATTTCTTGATAGTTAGTGTTTTATACGATCCTTTCTCCAAATCTATCACCCAAGGTAATTCTTTTTAACTATACCAGCCTTTAAATTCCCCTTTTTCTTACATTGTTAAAAAATTTTAATAGTGTTAAAATACACATAACAGAAAATTTACTGTCTTAACCATTTTTAAATTTTGCAGTATTTATTGACATGGGAATATTTGCACAGTATATTCTTTTTCTATTGTGGCAAAGAATAACATAAAGTCCATCCTCCCAACAATTACCAAATGTCCAGTATAATATTGCCAACGACGTACACATGGCTGTTCAACACATCCCCAGGAGCTCCCACCCTCTATACTGAAACTCTGTACCCACTGAACAACAGCTACCCACTGTTCCTCCCTGAGCCCCTGGCACTTACCATTTGAATTTCTGCTTCTTTGAGATTGGCTATTTTAGATAAATCATATGGATGGAATCACGCAGTATTTGTCTTTTTGTGACTGACTTATTTTGCTTAGTATAATGTTCTCGAGTTTCATCCATACTGTAGCATATAACAATATTTTCTTCTGTTCTAAAGCTCAATATTTCATTGTATGTTTATACCACATTTTCTTTATCCATTCTTCCATTGATGGACATTTAGGTTGCTTCCGTTTCTTGGCTACTGTGAATAATGCTGCAATGAACATGGGTGTGCAAATATCTCTTTGATATCCTGTTTTCAATTATTTTTGGTCATATACCCAGAAGTAGGATTGCTGGATCATATGATAGTTCTATTTTTAATTTTTTGGGGACCTCCATACTATTCTTCATAATGGCTACATCATTTCACATTTCCACCAACAGTACACGAGAGTTCCAGTTTCTCCACATTTTCACCCCTTCTTAACCA
Source organism: Homo sapiens (assembly GCF_000001405.40). Lineage (NCBI taxonomy): Eukaryota > Metazoa > Chordata > Mammalia > Primates > Hominidae > Homo > Homo sapiens. Next base: position 48,887,016 of record NC_000016.10, read on the forward strand.
TTTTAAAGTCTACCATTCAATAGGGTTAAGTACATTCACATTGTTGTACAACCAATCTTCAGAACTTTTTCCTTTTGGAAAAGGCTTAAACCACTTGGGTTAGGTAAACCGCTTGGGTTGGCTTGCAAGAGCCCTAGTCTATGTGCCCCTCCCCCACCGCCACCCCCACCCCCAACCCCTGAGTAAAGTGCTCTGGTATCTTGGAGAGAGAAGTGAGACAAGTTCCTTCTCCCTCTCAGGTGCATCAACACAGCAGAATATTCTTAGTTTGTAAAGTGGGCAGATGTTGGTGTCCTAGGACTTGTGATAATGTTCCAGAGAGGTCAGAGGACAGCCCAAGGTGCTCTGTAGGGGGAAGATAATAACCCAGAGTGCTCAGAAGCATGGGATTACATATGTGGACCTTTGCTTCCTTACTGACATGGAGAACTGTCACTTTAGCCTAACAAAAATAGAAGTTCTTTCCTTAGCCAAGTGGCTCCACACCTAGCATCTTCTGGGGGCACTTACTGAATATACAGATGCCCTGGCCTTGTTCTTTCTTTTCAGGATGGGGGATTCTTCAACAGGACATGCCTCAGGTCCAGATAAACCACTCCCAAATGCAAAGGTTGAAGCAACTGTTTGCCTTTTGGACAGGAATCTTGGCACCTGTCACGGACTTCTCAGTCAGGAGAGGGCTGCTTTTGAGAGCACGTGATGTACTGTTCCCCTTGCATTTTCTTTTCTTTTCCTTTACAGGAGGGCTGTTGAAGGTCATGTCACGAACAGGATGTGTGTCATAATAGATAGAGTTCTTCCCAGAAAAAGGAGGTGGTTGGGGGAAACGAGTTCTTGGCTTGGTAATTTCAGAAGTCCTGATTTGTCAAAGCCAAGAATAGCCTTGTAATAATAAAGGGGAAAAATTGCTTGAGATTCCAAAGGGAGTCACGATTTAGCAATAGCCTCGAAGGAAAATTAGGGTCTATGTATGATGGCACTGCTCTTTCCTGCTGCCTCCTCAGAGACGATTACTCATTTGTAATTTATTAGCTAATTATGCATGGGCAAAGGAATATGAATCACTTCATTTAGATGATAGCAATTAGCGAGGGCTTGTTGGAGTTCTTTCTGTCGGGGTTCTGGGTATGTTTAGACAACACAGGTGCTGCCAGGGCTAACACACCTCTGGAGAGGAAACATTCCATTTCTCCCACCCCTACTGGGCTACCAAATAGGTTCCTGCCCTAACTCCCCAGACCTCTCCAGACTATACCACTTCCTTATGTCTTCACCACTTACAGACTCTGTGAATTTTGACAAATCACCTTATTTCTCTGGACTCCATCTGTAGATTGGAACCATTCACTCATTCTGCTTGCACACAGTAGGCTGGCTGGATGGACAGAAATGTTAGAACATAAATTTGGAACCACTGGCTGTTTGGTTTACTCCTAACACCCCAGAGGGTTAAGAAAATGCCAGCCCTTAGGACCTAGAGACCCTACCTGCCCTAGAGATGCACTGCATGTGTGCACGTGGATACAGGATGTTATTTGTATTATAGCATTTATTAGCAAAGGACGGCAACAATCCCAATGTCCATTAATAGGAGAATAGCTAATAAAATGTGGTATATTCAAAAGCTGAGCACTACCAGCCAGTTATAAGGACTGACCTAGATCTCTATATGTCAAAATGGATGGTGGCATGGATAGTGAATAATATATCCAGAGAATCCTGTTTGTGCCAAAAGTCGATATAAAATAATGTTACATGTTTTCTGTGGAAAAGTATATGTCAATCTACTTGTCTATCTATCTATCTATCTATCTATCTATCTATCTATCTATCTATCATCTATCTATCTATCATGTATCTTCTGGTAAAGGATAAAAAAAGTCTAGAATAACACATCAAATTAATAGCTTAATAGCATCAGAACTTCATGGATAAAGTCCCTAAAATCACTTGCTCTGCAATCCCAACTCACCGATAATGAGTGGGAGCTGGGTTTGGGAGGTTGACAAAGAAGACTTGTTTTATCAGAATGTTCTAATTTTTAAAGATGGTTATTAGGCAGCTATCAACACGCGATGATCTCACTTGCACGGGGTGCCCTGCCCTGTGCCCTGGCAGCTCCTCCTGTCCACTGCCTCCCTGCCTGGCCCCTCCCTCCCTCAACCCTGCCCCTCTCTTTATCCTAAGATAGATTTTAATAAAGTTGCTGCATGTGGAAGAGGATTATGGGCTCATCTGATTTCTGCTATTTGAAGTCCTGGGGGAAGGAAAGCCTTGTTTAACTCAATTCATAACACTATTAATCCAACCATAAACCTTCCAATGACTTGAAAGGAGAGAGGAGAATTCATTACAGTGCATCTCTAAGTGGCAAATCCTGCATCTCACATGCCAGCAGGTGAAACTCTCCGGGGCCCTGGCAGCTCCCTGTCTCTCCGAAGGTCATTCTCAGAAGCAGTGAGCCCCAGCACTGCATGGGCTTCATGGGGCTCATGCTGAATCCCTCTTCTGCTCCACACTTCACAGTGGGGTAAGTGGGGCCCAGAGAGGTGTGTCGGCTGTCCAAGAACACAAAGCTAAAAAACAGAAACCTGATCCAACTCAATACTCCTGATTTTATGTCAAGAGATCTATGTGTTGTAAAAACAGTTTTAAATGAATGAGGTTTACGCGCAATCATTCTACTTCTGGAAGTCTAACCTTCCTTAAAAATAATTCTAAGTATGGAAAACGCCATATCCCTACCATATTTATTACAGTATAATTTATAATATAACTTACTTTTCTCTTTTTCTACATCCAGGATGAAAGAATCATATAATGTAACATCTTGAGTCAAACTAAATATGTACCTCTAGAAAAGAGGCCACTAACAATAACTCAATGGGTTATTATGCAACTATTAAAAATGTTTCAAGAGACTCAACTAACATCAATAATAACTATAATATGCTGAACAAAAAACAGCAGGGTGAAAATTGTGTGTATAAAATTGTTTGATTATAACTTTATGAAAATATATGCATAGGAAAAAAGACTGAAAGGAATAGAGCAAACTGTTATGAGGGCTTGTCAATTTCCCGTGCATTTAAGAATACATGATTGAATGTGCTTTGCATTGTTAGAGTGGGATTATGATATTTACTTCCCTGTTTTGTTTCTGTTCTCCCAAAATATTTTGTAATGCATTCATGCTATTTTTTAATCAACATATTTTAATTTTTAAAAAGTGGCTTCACTCATTGTCTTAGGTTAGACTCCCTGTGAAATGAGAGAGAGAGAGTGAGATGAATTTGCATGCAGAAGTTTGTTAAGAACAGCTCTCAGGATCAACACCTGTGAGGGGTGAGGGGCGCTGGCTTGAGCAGAGAGAGAAGTTAGATTGCAATGCAGTGGCTTTGAAGTCCTTAGCTGACTCCATGGAAGCTTTGTAACTGGGATGGTCTTCAGAATGTTCCTGCCCACATGGTGGTTTAAGTTTCATAGGGCATTCTAAAGTGGCAGTGAATTAGTGAATTGCATGGCTTCAGAGTCCAGGCTTGGGGACCAGAAAGTCTGGGTTTGAATCTGGCTCCCCTGTTTACAAGCTGTGAGAGCTAGAGTCTGTTTCTTCCCTGCCTCATCACATCTTTCTCTCTTTCTCTCTTTTTCTTTCTCTTTCTTTCTCTTTCTCTCTTTCTCGGAGTCTCACTCTGTCACCCAGGCTGGAGGGCAGTGGTGCGATATCGGCTCACTGCAATCTCTGCCTCCTGGGTTTAAGTGATTCTTCTGCCTCATCCTCCTGAGTAGCTGGGACTACAGGCACACACCACCTTGCCTGGCTACTTTTTTGTATTTTTAGTAGAGATGGGGTTTCACCATATTGGCCAGGCTGGTCTCAAACTCCTGACCTCAGGTGATCCAGCCTCCTCGGCCTCCCAAAGTGCTGGGATTATAGGCATGAGCCACTGCCCCCGGCCCACATTTTTCTTATCTGTGAAAATGGGATGATGGTAGCAGTACCTGTCTCCATTTCCTTTCCAATTACATTCACACATTTTGCCTCCTTTAGTCCTTAAAACACCCCTGCAAGGTGGGCAGGGCAGAAATGTAGCCCCCAGGGCATTTGTGGTGCTGAGGCATGTGATGAATGTTTCCCAAATCCAGAGGCAACTGCTGCATCCATGCATGGAGCCCAGATGTTTTGGTGGCCACTACCTCTTTAATCCTGAGCAGGGAACAGCTGCTCACCTGTTGCCACCCCGATTTGGTGGCTTAGATAAAGAGTCACCTCAGATGCTCACGCATGGCCTCTGGGTGCCCCTCATTACTGGGGGCCTCCCTTGCACCCAGGATAAAGCCAGCCTTGGCAAGGTCTGGAGGTGGGGCTCTTCCCCATCCTGGGAAGATGCTTGAGAAGTCCAGTTTCCTTACTCCAGCACATGTTTCCAGGACTCTTCAGATATGTTAACTGCTGCTTCTGTGTAGACAAAATAATTATTATTTCTTAATTTTTTTTAATTTTAATTTTTTTGAGATGGAGTCTCACTCTCTTGCCCAGTCTGCGGTGCAGTAACACTATTATGACTCACTGCAATCTTGAACTCCTGGGCTCAAGTGATCCTCCTGCCTTAGCCTCCCAACTAACTTGGACTACTGGCATGTACCACAATCCCTGATCATTTTTTTAATTTCTTGTAGAGACGGAGGTCTCACTATGCTGCTCAGGCTGGTCTTTAACTCATGCGGGATCCTCCCACCTCAGCCTCACAAAGCACTGTGATATGAGCCACCATGCCCTGCTAAAATTTTTAAATAAGTTCTAAATGTAAATGTAACAATGACATATGATAAAAACAATTCAGGTGCCATGAGAAGGTAAACCACAGAAACTACATACCTCTTTCTCATTCCACAGCCCTTCGGAATTTTATTCCCCAAGGAAATTGCTGTTAATAATTTCTTGTGGCCTCTATCAGCCCACATATGTATGTATTTTTAAAATGTATACAAATGGGGTTATAATATATGTGCAGTTCTGTGTTAGGCCCTTTCTTTCAATGTTTGATAGATGTCTACCTGTTAGTACCTATAGAACTATTCGATCTCTTTTAATGGAGGCAGTATTAATTCTAATTCTTTTAAATGCTACCAATAATTTCTAATTCTCTTAAATTTTTCTGTTTGAGTCTATTTCTATTTAATCTGTCCACGATGCTGTATTTAACTAAGGAGCTCTTGATGCCCATTCCAATGCTGTGATGAACATCTTTGAACATATATCTTTGAGAACATCTACTTAGGATAAATTCCTAGAGTTAATCTTATTTTAAAGCCTTCCATGAGGATTTAAAAAAATAGATTTCCTCTGTCATGCGTTTCTGCCCCTAAGATGAGGAAATGTTTTGTTGGAGACAATCAAAATCTCTTGCTGAGTAGGGAGTGACATGAGTTTTGAGAAAACTCTGTCACTCTCAGTGCTATGAGAAAATGTGTGCTGAGTCCCATCCCAGTGGGAGTTCAGAAGGAGAGACGATATGTCCAACTCCAAGAGCTGCTCATTTGCAGGTAGCAGTTGACCTCTGCTCCTGTACTCTAGACTTGGAAGGATTTAAGCACGTTTGGTGGCTTATTACAAACTCATCATCCTAAATTATGAAATGCCCTTTGTGCCTCTCAGTGCCTGTGTCTGGCATTAGGTGTGTCGTGGATGTACTTTTTCTAGTTCTTTGGAAGGCAGGTCACTGAGTAGCAGCAGTGCCAACCTCCTCTCTGATAGAGGGTGTGTGGTATGTATGAGACCCAGGGCAGGTGTCACAGCACAAAGTAGTGATTATCGGTAATATGATTTGAGTACTTAGTATGTGCCAGATGCTGTTTTAAGGGCTTTGGGTAATTAACTTATTTAATTCTCAAAGCAAACCCATAGTAGGTAAAATTTTTATCCACCTATTACATGAAGGAACTATAATAGTTATTGGTGCTGTTTGGCATTTTTTCTGGTTTTTCTTCTAAGCATACCATGAGTTTATAGTTTCCCACTCACTTTGAAGTTAGGTATGGCCATGTGACTTGTTTTGACCAATGGCGTATGAGCATAAGTGGCATGTATCTCTTCCTGGTAGCAGCTTTAAGAGCCAGCCTGTGATTGGTTCCATTCCCTCTGTCACAGAGACTCCAATGCTCCATGTGTGTCAATCTGAGTCCCAAGGGGAGGGTCATGAGTACCAAAACCCCCAGACAATCCATGATGGAAATGGAGCATGAGTGAAAAATACATCGTTTTATTTTCAATCACCGTGAGCCTGGGATCGCTTGTTATTAGAGCATAGCCTATTCTATCCTGATACAGGAAAGGAAATCACAGAGGCTAAATTAGCTTCTCAAGGTCACATTACTAAGTGAAAGAACCAAGGTTTGGGCTCTGACATTCTGTCTCCGGAGTCCACCTGTCTCTCACATTAGTACATAGCATACCTAGCTAGTGGCTCCAAATTGGAGCTTAAGGAGAAGAATCAAAAGCTCTCTCTAAAATTCTGAGTGTGTTTGGGAGTAGGAGCCCAGAATGTCAGGTTGACAGGGATTTCATTATCTGGGCTTACTGAGTGACAAAGGCTCAACTCAAACTGATGTAACATAAATACACACACACACACACGCACACACACACATTTTTGAGGGTGTTCATATGTCTGAATAATCTATGGGTAGAATTGGCTTAAGAACAATGGGCTCGCTGGGAGTGGTGGCTCACGTCTGTAATCCTAGCACTTTGGGAGGCCAAGGCAGGTAGATTGCCTGAACTCAGGAGTTTGAGACCAGCCTGGCCAACACGGTGAAACCCCATATCTACTGAAATACAAAAAAACAAAACAAAACAAAACAAAAAAATCAGCCTGGCTTGGTGGTCTGCGCGTGTAGTCCCAGCTACTTGGGAGGCTGAGCCAGGAGAATTGCTTGAACCTGGGAGGCAGAGATTGCAGTGAGCCGAGATTGCACCCCTGCACTCCAGCCTGGGTGACAGGTAACAGAGCAAGACTCCATTTCCAAAAAAAAAGGAACAAAGGGCTCAGAAAACATCCTTAGGACACTGTCTCCCCATCACTTCACTCTGCTTTCATTTGTGTTGGCTTCAATCCTAGGCAGCCTCCCTCCTTAGTGGGCCAAAAATTCCATCTTTTAGCTTAGCGCCCCAGTGAGGATGCATTTTTGTTCTGACTACATCACAGTGTGGTTAAGGACTGGGTGAAATGTGTGTGAAGGTGACTGTGAGGGAAAAGAAGCATAAATGTCCAGTGTTTAGCTGATTGGAGCTAGCTAATGAGAGTCTAAATGGTTCCCCTTTCATAGGTGAGGGGGGGAATTAAAGATACTGAGGGAAGACCCAGCTGCAGAGATCAGAGTGAGGGCCCAGCACACAAAGCCCAACGGGATGATTACAGTCCAGCCCAAGAGGCAGGACCCAGCACCCATGGGGCAAACCTGCAGCAATAAGCATGGCCATGTGGGTTGCACAGCAGCTGATTCAAGCCCTGGTTCATGTGTATGGTAAACACAGCTAGGGGCTCCTATATTGGGCTCCTCCTTCTCTAGAATGTGTGCTCAATCCCTGAGGGATGCCCTCCAATGGGCATGTCTGTATATCATTAGTCAGGGTCAAGGAGGATGTGTGATAGGTCTGGGTGGGAGTGGAGAAGGATTACCAAGCTGAGCTGTTCAGATTCCTCCTCCTGGAAACATGACACTTGGAACTGAGACTCAGAAACTCGAGCACAATCATTCTTTTATTTGTAGAATTTTATTGAGCACCTATTATGTGTCTGATATTGTTCTACAAGTTGGGGATTCAGAACTCTTCATGCCAACATAGATTTTAAACAAACACACACAAACACACACACATAAATAAATACAAACATAATTTCAGATGATAACTGCTATCAAGGAAATAAAACAGGGAAATGTGTTCAAGAATGACCAGGTGAACAGGGAAGACTTCTCGGAGAAGGGTCATGGAAGCTAAGTCCTAGATGAGGACTTAGTCATGGGAAGAACTGGAGAAGGGATTTCCAGGACAAAGGGGCAGAAAACCCCCTGAGAAGGGGACGTATGGCATTATATGGTATTAGAAGCAGGTCTGACATGGCTGAAGGGTGTTGAGCCAGGGAGACAGTGTTATGCCATGAATCTGGAGAGGCAGGCAGGACTGGATCTCATGGGGCCTTGTTGGCTGTAGCAAAATGTTTACCTTTTGTCCTACGGGCTCTCCATGGTCGGAGCTGAGTCCTGGTAAGGCCAGAGCCTTATAGAGAAGGACTCACTGCCACTGAGATCCCAGGAGCTGTCCGGGGTTCTGCCTTCCAGAGGTTGGTCTCCTCTGCGTGTCTGACAGGGTGATCCAGGTCCCTTCCCCTCTCCACATCCTCCATCAGACGACCTTCATTTAGGGGAAATGTCAGCCAGGTCTGGCTTCTGCAGGAGCCACCTTATTCTTCCTTCTGCTGAAAACATCTCATCTAGTGCACAAAGACATCTTTGGTCAGATTCCCTGAAATCAGAGTCTGGAATGGGAATTCTCGTGCAAGTGATTTACCTAGGGAGTGCACTCGGAAGAAACAGGTAAGGAAATGAGAAAGGCAGGATGGGGCAGGTAAAGAAGAAGAGATGTCATTCCAGCTGACATGGAGTCTCAGCTTTGTCCCTCCAGGAGGTCTTGGAACATGAATGGCCACAAGGAATTTTGGCTTTTGAACCCCTGTGCCAGGCACTACTCACAGGCCCCCTGCAGGGCAGAGATGTGGCTGGGACTAATTCCACCAGTTCCTCCAGGTGAGGTGGTTCCCATCAGTCAAGGGCAATCCTCCAGATCAGGGTACAGCTGTGAGTCCTTAGCACCCCAAACTTGCAGGGTACGTGGTTTATAACTTGCCCAGTGAAGGGGATGTGGATCAGGCACAAACAACATCTTATATAAGGAGCATGGCATGTTTCCTTGCATGGAAGCTTGAGGCTGGGCCAAAGACACAAGCCTCTCCTCTACAGAGAGGAGGTACCCCAGACCCAGGCTTTAGAGGCCAGCCGATCCTTGGACTCTACCTGTTTGTGAGCTGGAGGTGATACTGGGCTTACTAGCCCAGTTAGGAATGGGGAATGAAAGTAGGCCATGACCTGTGCCAAGAGCTCTGCAAATGACTCCATTTATGCTGCTGCCCAGACTACAGTGTCATGGGGATCACTCACCCCATTTTACATATGGAGAATCAGAGGTGCAGATAGGTGGTGTGGTTGGCCTAAAATCACACAGTTCGTTGATAGGAGAACCAGAACTTGAATTTAACAGACTTTGGAGCAGGAGTGACTGTGTCTATAGGAATGGGGCTGGAGAAAGATGAGAAAGAAGAGTGGCCTCATTTGATGAGGTCCTCTGGGGCCAGCCTTGTGCCAGTGCATCTTCCCTCCCATTTGGAAGGGCCTTCCACACTGCAGTTTCTCACTTATCATGTTCTCAATCCTCTTCACCTAGGGCTGAGGCACCAGATTTTCTTTCCTTCCAGCTCCTGCAGATACCACTTATCTCTTCCCATCCCATCATACATCCTCCTCTCTCGCTCAGCTACTGCAGAGCCAGGCAACAGCATGTAAAGTGCATGACGGTGGGTGCAGTGGGAGCTCTGGCTCACCGCTCATTTTCTTCAGGGTCCTCTGAGACCTTGGCGGTGACCATAAGCCACATGCATGGAGGGTATGAGCTGGTGGCTGGCGTGGGGGTGGTGCAGAGCTTTCTGTTAGTATATTACTTTCACAATTTTTTACCACATCTTCTTAAAGCTTGGGATATCCTTTAATTGCTTTTAAAAATATGACTCATTTAGAACCTAAATACATTTAAGAACAAACTTATACCATAAATAGAAAACAGCATTCACTTGCCATACTACATAACTTTAAAAAGTTCTAAAATGCATAACTATTAAACTTATTTTGGAGACCAACTGTGTTACAGGTTTGACATTTTAGGAGAAACACTGGCTAGTTGAAAGAGCACCGGATTTGATGTCAGGAAATTATATTATGTGTCAAGCTCTTCTGCCAACACAACAACAACAATAATATTTAACAATTATTGAGCATATATTATGGGTCATGCATTGTGGTAAGAACTTTCCATGAATCCTTTTATTTAATCTTCACGTTTTAATTTGGAGCCCCAAGAAGCAGACCCTGGAATAAGGATTCATGGGCAAGTGATATTTTAAGAAACTTCTTTCAGGAGAAACAGGAGGTAAGTGGCAAACTCCAGGGTATGACTGGTTTTAGGGAGCTGATGCAGAATGTATTATAGGCATGGAATATTTCCTGTGCGCCTCAAGTTATAGTAAAAAGGCGTTTCATGAGTCAGGCATCTTTTGGTTGTGACAGAGACCCAAGTCAATATGTCTTAATCCAGGGGAATGTATTGCCTCAGTTTAACTAAAAATTCAAAGAGTAGCTTCAGCCATGGCTGCATCCAGTTGTCAAACAACATCCTCAGAGCTCTGCTTTCATCTCTCATCTCTGCTGTTGGTATGCTGGCTTCTCCCACCATGCAGGCTCTCCCCACAGGATGGCTCCACACTTACATCATGCTAGATTGTCCATAGCAGATGAGAGAACCTCTTTTGCATGATTCCTTCAAAAGCCCTGGTGAAGGCTTTCATTGGTCCAGTTTAAGTCACATGCCTATTCTTGACGTTATCACTGTAGCCAGGAAATGGGTGCTCTGATTAGCCAGACTTGGCCACCATGTGCATATTCTTGGATGCTGAGGAGTGGGGAGGAGGCAGCTGTATCTGAACCCCATGGACTGAGTTTGAGACATGAAGGCACACCTACAAGAGAAACTTGCCAGCAGAAAACAAATGTCCATTTCCACCTGTCTGCATGCCAGATTTGCTCTGCAGGTCAGGGGAGAAGTGCAGAGGACAGCAATGAACCGAACACTTTCAAATGTGCTGACGACGGTCCGGGAGGGGGTTCCCACCGGCAGCTCGGAATGCAATCAACTGGCTGCTTTTGCCAACCCCAGCACCTGTCATATTTCATCTTCTTTTAAATAACTTCAAGGATATGAAAGTCATAAAACCAAACCCAGGTAGGGTCAGAAGTCACTGGCTGCTCTGAATAGAGGGCTATCACTATTTGGCTATTTACCCTGCCTCACATTTGCACGGCCCCCAGTGAAGCTGAGCACAACCCCAGCAAATATTAATCAAATGAGGCTCGTGGGTCCAAGTGGAAATAAATCACAACTGCTCACCCACCCCCAGGATGTACTCAAAATAAAAAAAGTACAGTGGAGATTACCTTCTTCATAATTGTTATATATTTTGTTGACCTCACAGCAGCTAAAGTTGGCTTTCAAAGGAAAAAATGTTGTTGCTGTGCAGCAGAGAAACATTTTAATGAACACCACAGGGTTTACTGATCACTGTTAATGAATGAAGAACGAGTATCCTGCAGAAACCTTCTGTCTATCTTTAGAAAACAGTCCTGGATGATGGAAGGGCGGAGAGTAACGGAGCGGACACGTGCCTGCAAACTAGGAAACAAATACATCATGTCTTTAATGCCATCTGTAATAGACAATTCAGGAGCCAGCCAAAACTCATTTGCACCTTTGTTTGTGCCTTCCCCAATCAATAGCAGCAGTTAAACCAGGATTTACTGACTTCTATAAAGGGTTACAACAGCAATATTTAAAGAAATGAAACTCAACAGAAATATTTCAATCTTTCTGGGCCCTTCACCAACCATTGTTGTTTGGAGGTCGCTTGATGGGAAAGGTTCATTCTTTTTGGTGTACTCTCTGTAGGGGGTGTGTGTGTGTGCATGGTATGTGTAAATGTGTGCACACCCATGTCTTTGAGTACCCACACATGAGCAGGCTCTCAGTCTGAACAGGGCTGAAGAGCAATTTTGCCATCCAAAGTCACTGGCCCAAGCTCCTGAAATCAATCGGAGGCCTCAAGAAGTAAGGAGCAATTTAATATAGCGTGCTTCTTGGTTTCTAGAAATGGCAACGTTCTCCTTATTAGCTTATTAAAATTAAGAGCAGGGAAAAGAACAGTCTATTAACTACACATAATAAATGACATAAAATATGCTTCCATTTTATTTTAGAAAGGAAGGGAATGAGGGAGACAGAGACAGATAGAAAGGCACACATAGACATGCACTTAAAATCAGCAAAGAATACAGAGACAGGTGAGGAAGCAGTAACATGGTGACTCATTGCTCTGAAGGGCAGAGAGCTTTACATTGACCCCTGTGTTAATGTGTTCCTCACTGGGGCAGGCACTGTTCGTGTGATGAGGACATTGAGGTTTAGGAAGGCTGAGACACTTACTCAAGACCACGCTGCTAGGAAGCAGCAAGGCTAAGATCTGACCCGCAGTTCAACTGCAAGGTCTCTGCCCTAGAGCACTTGGGTGTCCTAAATATTGTTGTCCAAGGGATTGTGTGTGTGTGTGTGATTGTGCATCTTTTGTTTTGAATGGGTAATATACTGACACAGCACAGAAATCAAAATGGTGTAAGAAGATGACAGTGAGGAATTACCCTTCCCCTACCCTGTCTACATGTGATGTGTGCTCTGTTTCTGGACACACCTGTGCCAATGTTGCCACCTGGCTCCTCTAGGTCCACCAATACCCCTCCCTACAGCCTTGGCAAGCCTGTAACCCTCCCGCCTTTGCCACACTCTCCCCAGTCCTGGATGCCTGTCCCTGCTCTCTTCTGCCTCCCAGGGTGCTGCACCACATCACATTGGATCCCTTGGTGGGAAGGCAAGCTGGTGCCCTCTCATGCTTTGCTGGCCAGGAAAGAGGTTTTTTGTTTGTTTGTTTTCAGGAGGCAGGGCTTGGTGTCTTTAACAATTTTATAATACTTGTTAATCTCTCCTTTTTTTTTTTTTCGTTTGAGACGGAGTCTGGCTCTGTCGCCCAGGCTGGAGTACAGTGGCGTGATCTCGGCTCACTGCAACCTCCGCCTCCCAGGTTTACACCATTCTCCTGCCTCAGTCTCCCAAGTAGCTGGGACTACAGGCGCGTGCCACCACGCCCAACTAATTTTTTGTATTTTTAGTAGAGACAGGGTTTCACCATGTTAGCCAGGATGGTCTCAATCTCCTGACCTCGTGATCCACCCACCTCGGCCTCCCAAAGTGTTGGGATTACAGGTGTGAGCCACTGCGCCTGGCCTGTTAATCTCTCCTTTATAACAAAGAGGAAGCAGCTCTTAGGTACAGAGCTTCCCATCACTAACATTTAACTAGAATTAAACAACTCTGGGATGTTTAAACAAGCATTTTTATGTTTTCTTTCTTTCATTTGTGGCAGACAATACTGGTTTACCTGTACAATAAGTGAAACAGAGTTACCATATGAAATGCATTTTTTACAAACCTAGGATAATTTCAGATGAGATTGAGCACATTCAGGGTGGTATGGCAGTAGACCCAAGATAATTTCAAAGAAAAATATTAAGTAAATAGTCATACAGGTTTTACAAAGAAATGCCAGGATAGTGAAGTTGGGAAGCCAAGAGCTAAAGGTGGGGAAACACTGCCTTGGGCTTTAAAGTTCAGAGCCAGGTTCAAATGGCCCCGTGCTTGTGAAGCCTTCCTCAATCCCTCCTCTGCCACATCAGCCACCGGCTCCCTCCCCACCTTAAGATATTTAGCTCACGCTGTGAGTGTTATCATTGGCTCTGTATCTTTTAGCCAGAGTCTGAGTCTTTTTATCCCTGTTAGCACTCTCAGTTCTTTCTATCCTTATTCAAATGACATGGTTTTGGATCCTTCTCCATTTTAGTCACCCTCTTGCAGATAAAGATGATTTTGTCAATGTTCTTCAGAAATTTGATACTTCAATTGTAGCTCCTGTGATCTGGTACTTCACTTCTATTGATATAACCCAAGATTGTGTGTGTGTGTGTGTTTGTGTGTGTGTGTGTAGGAGAGAAAGAAAGACAGAGAAACATTTTTCCTCCAATAAAATGGGCTCATATTATACAAATTGTTTCCTAACTTGTTTTTTTCTCACTTAATCACACGTCACAAACATCTTTTCAAAGCAATAAATATATATCTCCTCTATCTTTGTTAATTGCTACATAATAGCCTATTGATGGGTGTGTCATGATTTAGTTAAACAGTAATTTAGTTTTTTCCGAAGTTCCCCCAACTACAAACCAGTCTAATAAGCTCAAGCCAGAATTTGTGACAAACTATTGTCATTATCTCTTGGAGGGGTTCCCTGGGATCTCTTTTGGCCAGTGTTCCCTGCGTGTCTCGCCTCTGTGCCGGGAGCTGTTGGAGAGGCTGGGAAGGATGAGCAGGCTGGGGAGGACAGATCATCACAGTACTGGGTGCTAGAGGGTGTTCCTAAATGTTCTGGGAGCAGGAAGGAAACTCTGGCTCATTCTGTCTCAGAAAGGTTGAAGATGGCTTCACATAGGCGGAGATACTTAATTCAGGCTTTGAAGAATAAGTAGGAATCCAGTTTTGAAGACTAAATTGAGCATTGGCTCAGCTGAAGCCACTCTGGACATCCCATCGAATCTAGGACCAAGCTCCTGAACAACTCAGATAACCTGGAATGGTTCAGGTCCTTGGGCCATGACTTCCAAAAAAAAGACTGGTCCCTGGGCCATTTTCACTTGTTCCCGGACACCACAGTCCTGACTTTTCAGTGTTCGAGGATCTTAGGGGCAAATTGAAGTCCAGGCAGTGTGGATGTAATCGCTGAACCTTCATCACAACAAACCAGAGGATATGGAGCCAGCTTTTATGAACCCCTCTTACTCCTAGCCAGTTAACTGTGTGTAATCTCCCCGCAGATCCACATGACTGGTTCTGGCTGGTTAGGATGACTGACAGGCCACTTATTACTCCTGTCTGCCCCTACCTGGCCCCTCGAGAGGCTTTTATTAGCCCTGCACCTGGGTGAGTTTGGGCTCGGAAAACACCTCTCCTTGAGGCAGTCTCAAGACGATGTTTTCTCACCTGAAATAACAGGCACCTTTATTGTTTTTGAAAGAAAGAAAAATCTCATAATTGAAGTAAAAGAGGAATATACTTCTGGTTTTCCTAACGTGTGTCTGTGGAGCAGGGAGGCAACTCTGCCACCGGAGGGACCGCAGTTCTGAATAAGAGTGCAGTCCTGCCATTATAACTCACTCCAGCAGGACTCACCCATCACAGTCCCCATTTGTTAAAATGCCTACCTAATGGTTATGGAAAATGCACTTGCAAACTGACACCTCATTGGGTTGAAAAGCTCTTAAAATTCTGGAATGTCATCACAAGCCTCACTTCTCCTAATGCAATAATGCCTTCCTAGAGAAAACATCCTCCACCAGCCCCCGTCACTGCCAAGGAGAAAGTCAGATGGAGAAGGTTTTCAGCAAATTGACAAACTGAGCTAAAGTTTATTTAATTTAATTTCAAAAAGGATAGATCTGGAAATAACATTGCTGGATTCATGTGCTGGAAAAATCGATGCTACGATTTTTTATCTTCTTCCTTTCTACTCTCTTGCCAGGGGCTGGTGTAATAAGTCATTAGGACTGGTAAAGCAAACAACCAGCACCCCCGCCTCTCCAGCTTCTCATCTCAACCCCAGGGGCTCTGGTGATGGACAGGCTTGAGGACTCCAACTCTTCTTTCAACCAGCAGCTCACATTTACACTGAGCAGGGTCCCCCCAACCCCAAGGAAATATTAATAGCACAGTGTTTACCGCTTCTCTGGGCCAGGTACTGTTCTAAGTGCTTTATTTGCATGATTTCAAATGAGCATCACTACTCTCAGAAGTAGGGATTTTTAAAAAATCCCTATTTCATAGATAGGGAAACTGAGACCTAGAGGAGTCAAATCATTCACATAGGTGACAGATCTAGCACATAAGGAGTCAGGATCTGAATCCAGGTGGTTTAATTTCAGAACTCAGCTGTGAGCAGATGAGGAAAGCAGGTGGAGGTCTGCTCCCAGCTCACTCTGCAGTCCTCCTGGGGTGAGGTGGAAGTGAAGGACTGTAGACCCAGCTGTCCTCAACTTTCTTCGGATGAATTTGTCCGGCAAATGCTGTTTTATGTGCTTTTGTTTGGGTAAAAAGCCCCGCCTTTGGAGGAAATCTTCCTTTGTCCCTAGGGAAGCCTGGGGAGGCTGGAAGTGCCTGTGTTCTCCCCGGAGCTCTTGGTCTCCAAGACAACCACCAGGCTGAGAGGAGAAGCTCCTGGGCCACAGGGAGGCGATGTCCAGGCACAAAGCTGCTCATGGGCCCCCTGGCTGGACCTCGCTGGGGGCTGAGAGCCTCCACAGGGATCTGGCCTTGCTCCCCGACTTCAGTTTGCCACAGAGAATCCCTGAGATGAGTGAAGTCTTGAATCCAGCCTCAGCTTTGAGCATTGTTTGGAAAGTGGCAAGAGTCAATTCATGGAAAATCAATTTGTCAAACAAGCAATACGGTACACCAATTGCTCAATATATCCAGTAATTGAGGAATCTGTCAATGTTTAGTTTTACTCCTGCCTCTGCCCCAGGGGCTGTCAAATCATACCTTAACCTGGGCCTAGGGCAGCCCTCTTTAGCTGCTTTCCCTCCAGAAAGCAGAAAAGACAGACACCTGCAACTATAGAGAAGACACAGTGTGCTTAAGAAGAAGCCCATTTGAATTTAAAAACAGCAGCAGGATTAAGGACAAATAATAATTTTCCTTAACAAAACCTCAGTGAATTCAGTGAATCGGTAGTTTGATGAGTTGAGGGAGGACCATTTCATCCTCAGTTCCTTGGGCAGCTACTTTCACATGCTTCGGACCAAACTGCCCCAGCAATGACCAAACTGCCTCTGTGGTCACCTGGACAAAGCTCCTTCCTGACCTCTTTGATTTGAGCACCTCCAGTGCCAGTGAACTCATGACCCAATTGTTGGAGGTTCTGATGTTTAGAAAGTGGATTCCTCAAATCAGCTGATATCCAACTCTCTGGAGTTTGAACACATCCTGCAGAGTTTTGCCTTTAGGGGCCTATGGAACTTTTTATACGTGAGAAGCCAGGCAAGGGTCCAGTATAAAACAGCATGAAAATAATTAATCTTCACCCAAGCAATACATGCATGTGGCTGAAAATAATTGACCCATCAATTGGGATGATCATGAAAAACAATAATGCCCCCTCTCTCCCTTCATTTTTCCTAGTCCTGCTCCCCAGAGGTGTTCACTTTTATTTAAGGAAAATTTTAATTGAAATATAACTTACAAACAGAAAAATGCACATATATCATAGGTATATGCCGATGATTTTCTCGAAGTGAACTATCTTTAACCAGACCAAGAAGTGGAGGAATAATGCACCCCAGAAACCAGCCCCCACCTTCCAAAGTCAGCCACTATTTTGACCTCTCACACCATAAAGTACCTAAAAGCCACTGATTTAAAGCTTTCTGTCTTTAGTTCTCCTGCTGGTTACTTCCACATGTCTAAATGACGTAATTACACAGTTGCTCTTCGTTGATCAATCCTTAGACACTGTCTTTTGACTTCCTCCCATGATAAAACATTTAGTTTTCTCATAGCAGCCTCCACATTCTGGCTTCTCTTCTCCAAACAGAATTAAATCACGGTTTTCTGTTCCTCCACTCATTGGTCATCTCTGCCTCATTCTAAAACTTCCATTTCTTCTTTCATCCACTATCGACAATAGCATTTGCCTCCTCATTCCCTCTCTGTCCCCATAATCCTTCCAAGTGCTCCGTATCTTTTATTTTGTTAAATTGGATAACTTTTATATTTTGTCCTGTAACTGTAGGTAAACCTGTGGGGTTTGTCTATAGGTTGATCTAAAATATTAAACACAAAAAATAGTGTTTAGAAGTTTTTTTTTTTTTTAATAGAGTCTCACTCTGTCACCCAGGCTGGAGTACAGTGGCACAATCTCGACTCACTGCAACCTCCGCCTCCCGAGTTCAAGGGATTCTTGTGTCTCAGCTTCTCGAGTAGCTGGGACTACAGGCACCCGCCACCACGCCTGGCTAATTTTTTGTAGTTTTAGCAGAGATGGGGTTTCACCATATTGGCCATGCTGGTCTCAAACTCCTGAGCTCAGGCAATCCGCCCGCCTTGGCCTCCCAAAGTGCTGGGATTACAGGTGTGAGCCACCGTGCCCAGCCAGGAGATTTTCATAATGTTGTGCATTGCAGAACCAAGCAGCATCCTCAGATTATAGGTCCTTCTCTGTGAGTTCAATGTCATGCCTCTTGGGCCACTAAATATTCTTAGAGTCTGCAGCACTGTTGTACGTATTTTCACATTCTTCCTGTAGTGACTGCAAGAAGGAGGGACTCATGAGTGTCAAGTAAATGGCCTGAAGCTTTTGGTTTTAGCAATACCAGGATAAAACTCACCTATGTTCTCCATATTGGTGGCAGTCTTGTGTTCTTTTTATTAGAACCAACCCTGATTGGAGTGTTTGCTTTTACACCAAGATTTCTGAAGGGCTGGTCCTCAAATGAGAGGCAGCATTTACCTTTAAGATAACTTAAATACTTGGGCGGGTGATGTCAAAAGTCTATGTGTTCTTAATTGCAGGTAGTCATAAAATTGGTAGATGATTGATTTATGCCAGCACTCAGTTTTAGGAGAAGGGCGACTATGAGTGAAAAATACAGTATGTGAAGTGGTTTAATTTTTTCTTTGGATTACCCTTTACCAGGTAGCATGTAATTGTATTAGTAATCGGAGTCCTTCGAGCAGAATCTCAAACAAAGGATTAGCGGGAAGGAAGATGGAAGAATGCTGACTTCACAATAACTCACTGCCTTCCTAACGTGATTATATAAATAAATTCAAGCAATATTTTCCAAGACACTGGAGCCTGATCGTAAAGGCGTGAGGGGGCCCGGGGCCTCTGCATGGCTCCTGGTTTGTGGGCAGTAACTGATTGCTGTGGTTGCGAAGGGCAGTCCCCAGGTGGTGAAATATCCAATATCTCTGAATTATCTGTCAGCACTCAGAAATTATTGAAGCCATGCAGACTTCTCCAGTGGGGAGCAGGAACATCTTGGCTTCATTTGGCTAAACAATGGGGCTAAAATGGAAACGCCCCTGCTGTGACCTCCCCCCGGCCCATTGAGGTCATCCGGCTAGCCGTCAGCCGTGGGAGCCATGCAGGGCCGGCTCTGGACACTGCTAACTTCTTGACCCCCGGAGCCAAGGAGTCCTTGGAGCTGAATTTCAGGCTCCTATCTCACCGCCAGCAGGGGATTAGCTAATCCATCCTGTTTTGTTCTTCTCGTCCACATCGACAAAGGCAGCAGGCACAGTCCTCCCTTGCTGAATGAAGCAAGGTCTGGAAGATACATCAGAGAGCAGTGACATGCTGTCCACATTGTCTGCTCGAAAGTCTTTGAATCGCTGTTTTCACTTAAGCCTCAGCACTGCCTTTGAGGCCTCAGTTATTCCATTTCTGTTTCGCCGAGCTAGGCATGACAGAACAATGGAGCAAGACACTTTCCTCCAGGTTCCCCCAGACGTCTGTCCAGTTGCTTGAGATAATGGTTAAAATCCCAAGTGCTTCATAGCCCCTTTCAAAATAAGTCATGGGGCCGAGCACGGTGGCTCAAGCCTGTAATCCCAGCACTTTAGGGGGCCAAGGCAGGTGGATTTCTTGAGCCCAGGAGCTTGAGACCAGCCTGGGCAACATGATGAAACCCCATCTCTACAAAAAATGCAAAAATTAGCTGGGTGTGTTGGCACACACCTGTAGTCCCAGCTACTAGGGAGGCTGAGGTGGGAGAATTGCTTGAGCCCTGGAAGTGGAGGTTGTAGTGAGCTGAGAATGTGACACTGCACTCCAGCCTTGGTGACAGAGCGAGACTCCATCTCAAAAAAATGTCATGGAATCCAGGTTACAGGAAGCTCTGGACCATGGAACTCTCCATGAGAGGTGGGCACTAGGCATAGGAGATTTTGGCGATGGGTATCAACCTCAAGGGCCAGGGGTGGTGGATGTCAAAGTTGCCCAGCAAGGCTTGAAAGCCAACCTTACTAGCTGTGTGCAAGCCGCTTGATTTCTAAACCTCAATTTCCTCATCATTTAAACAGGAGTAATTACAATTCCATTAGTGTAGGGACCCCATGAAACAATGGATGGGGCGATGATTAGCAGACTTTATGCAAAAATGAGGGGTTGGTGTTACTTAACTCTTTGGCCGTGCTCATTGGCATATAGGCTGAGGGCCGATCAAATGAGTTTCCTTGGGGTCCCTGATGAATTTGGCGTTTTCTGGCTTTGTTCATTCAGCTCTCTGCCTGGAATGTTCTCGTTTCCCCCTCTGCCTGATTTCCATCCAATACTCGTGGATTGTCCATAGCATTTCCTCGGTCTTCATGGAACAAGACCTTGCTCAGCCTCTAATATCCCAATACCTTTGCCTCCTACAGCCCTAACTCGACATGGTATCTCTGAGCACAGTGGCAACCACTACACTGGTGGTCGCCTTGCATCTGACACTGGGAATGCCTCCAAAGAGAGGCCCAAAGGAAGCTGGGAGGAGTGGCTCTGTCAGTCTTTGCTGAGGAATAGGAATCATCATGAATGTGAGAACTCCTCCAGGGGAGATAGAGATTTACAGCCCAGCTACTGGATCACCATTAATTTAAATTAGCTATTTAAATGGAGGCCTTCTGTGTCCAGCCTGCACTTGCGTGAAGCTGAGAGTTGTGCCTCCTTACAATTTTTTACCCCAGCACTTCACTTACCTCACCCTAGCCCCAGCTCTGCTTTTCTGTGCCAGAAATGGTGGGGAATTCAGTGACAAAGAGTAAGATACAGTTGTTGCCTTCAGGAGGCTTGTCATATACTAGGAGGGACTAAGCAGGCATATTAGCATAAATAATAAGAAATTTCAATTTAGTTATTTTTGCAACAAATATTTACCAATCTTTATTCCAGGCACTTACTAGACACTGTGGATTCAGAATGGGATGCGCTCGGTGCTGTTGCCCTTGCGGAGCTCATGGCCCAGTAGGGGAGATGGACCTGTGCTTGGACAGTTCAAGTCGAGTGTGATGAGCGCTGTGGTAGGGATGTGCTGGGGTTTGAGAGAACACTGAAAGACAGTGCAGAGTTAGGAAGTCAGGGAGGCTTCTCAGAGGTGACAGCATCCAGCTG
Source organism: Homo sapiens (assembly GCF_000001405.40). Classification (NCBI taxonomy): domain Eukaryota; kingdom Metazoa; phylum Chordata; class Mammalia; order Primates; family Hominidae; genus Homo; species Homo sapiens. The sequence continues at coordinate 48,908,204 of NC_000016.10, forward strand.
AGATCTGACAGGAGAGGAGCTGGCCAGACAAGCTCCTCTTGGTAGGTAGATAAGAGAACACTTCCAAAGGGAGCAGAGATATGCAGAGGCACATGTGAGCAAAAAGAAGACAATTTGGTATTGCTAGAGCGCAGAGTAGGATGGGTGGTGGGGATGGAAAGTGTGGTGAGTCATCTAATGAAACCTTGGAATTACCCTGTAATACCCGGGGAATTACCCGGTAAACTTACAAGACTGTCGTTATCATGTTCGCATTACAGATGAAGAAATGAGGTTCAGAGAGGTTGGGTAGCTTGTCCAAATCACAGAGCTAGCAAGGGCTAGTGCTGAAATTTTGAGCTTGACTGGTCCAGTTCCAAATACCTTGCCCTTGGAGGGGTGTGATAGCCTGGCCTGGGCTGTCTGCTTCTACTGCCAACAAGCTATGTGACATTGAGCAAGTTAATTAACTGCTCTGTGCTTCAGATTCCTCAGCCACAAAAATGGGAATGGAAGTTAATATCTACCCCACAGGGCTGGGTTTTCCGAGGATTAAAAATTTAATACATGTGAAGAATTTTATAGACAGTCTAACATGTAGTAAGGGCCCAATCAATATTAGCTCCTATTATTAGGGTGGATTAAAAAAGAGAGGAACTGAAAAATCACATCTCAATTTGGAGTCCTTTGCAATTGTGGGGATGAGAGGTATTGGCATGGAGGGTGAAGGAAAGGGCAAGTGTGTACGTAAAATGCCATATTCCCTTCTAAAGCTGTTAGTCTAGAGACAGCCTCAGCCACCTTCTGGCCTTGGTTTCTTTGTCCCTTTCTGCTGCCCGCAGATAGGAGGGGACGAACGTGTGCTGCCTTGAGGAGGGTTGGTGCTCCTGAGAAAAATATAGATTTCTTTTGCGAGCTTCAGGAAACCGCATCCCAGTGGGCACTGCAGTATTGACTGACCTGCTGGGACGTGTGGTTGCCAGGAGCAATGCAATCAGCTTCTTGGCCCAGTCCTTCTCCCCGTTGCTCCCAATGACTCTATTTCCATCCAAGTGGTTTAGGGCCCTGTCACTTCCCAGTACTTTCTGTTTTCCTTCCCTGGAGGTGGGGAGCCAGATGCTATGACCTGGTCAGAGGCAGGGTGGATGGAGGGGTCAGCCAGGGACTCCCGAGCTTGGTGAGAAGGAGACAGCTGGTGGAGTGCCATGCACCGTCTGTGAGGCAAGCAGCTCCAGCTTCAGTGGGATCTGTGGGCACCGAGAAGAGGCGCCACCCCATAGCATCCTCTGGTCCCTCCTCTTTCAGGCCTTGGTACTCTCAGCCCTGGCTGGTCATGTCTTTGGGCGACTTGCCTGACCTGTGTCTGTTCACATGCTGGGGACTGTGGCAGAAAAGGTTCAGAGAAAAGAAAGAGTCAGCAAGGTTTGAGGAAGTTTGGGGAGGCTTTGGGGAAGAGGATAGTGAGGAGGGTAGAGGGAGGTTTTCTGGAAAGAGAGGGAAGGAGGGACAGGTGCTGCAGTGGAGGGAGCATCGGACTGAGCTCTGAACACTCTGATGGAATCCTCTCCATCTAGTGTCCTCGCTGCATTCCCAGAACTAGCACAAGGTCAGAGTAGGAGCGCACCAGAGTCCAAAAATGAGTGAATTACTGCCAGAGTTGGAGGTTTGGGTTCTAGTTTTAGCTGTATCATTACCTTGATTTGTGGCCTTGACAATTTATATTCACTTTTTGAACTGGGGGTGTGGCCAATGCAACACAAACCACAAGACCTGAGAGTGGGGATGATGGCAGGTCCCACAAAGGAAAACTGGGGGTCAGGAGGGTGTAGTGGCTCAGGCCTGTAATCCCGACACTTTGGAAGGCTGAGGTGGGAGGATTGCTTGAGGCCAGAAGTTGCAGACAAGCCTGATCAACACAGTAAGACCCTATCTCTACAAAAAATTTTAAAAAGTCATCAGGCATGGCAGTGTGTACCTGTAGTTTCAGCTGTTCGGGAGGCTGAGGTTGGAAGATCACTTGAGCCCAGGAGGTAGAGGTTGCAGTGAGCAGAGATCATAGAGATCATGCCACTGCACTCCAGCCTGGGTGACACAGCAAGACCCTATCTTCCCCCACCGAAAAAAATGGGTGTCATTACCAGAGGCAGGAGAATGGATGGTAGGAAGGCCTTCACTCACACACACACTGACTCTCACACACACACACACACACACACTGACACACACATGCACACACATACACAGAGGGATGCTCTGCATATACACAGTGGTTCTTTGCTCCCTGTGACTCTTCCCACATCCCTCACAAAAACCACGTTATTCACAGTAATAACCGTGGGTCAGTGCATTGTTGGAGGTTCTGATGAGAAATTGGGACTCTAGCTTCTCAGCTCAGTAGTGGGGCTTCTTCACACCACCCTGGGATAGATGCTTAAAGTCCTGCAGAATCCTGGCGTGTGATTTTTCAGGACCTGATAATATTCCAGAGGGGAAGAAAGGGCAGATGCATTGACTGACTAATGGGTTCATTCACTATCAAGCATTCCAAAGCATCTTTTCCTTGTCAGGCTCTGGGGCTGATTATGGAAAGTACATGAGTCAGTGCAGGCTACATTATGTTGGCATAAGAAGCATCCTCTCATGTAAATCTCCAAGCCTACTAACAACAAAGATTTATTTCCTGCTCATGCTGTGAAATCATCACAAGTTGGCTGAGGGTTTATTTTTCACCCTTCCTATGGGATTGAGCTCATAGAACAGCCACCGTCTGGAATATTGCGCTCCTTGTGGCAGGAGAGTAGAGCTGTTGAGGCACACACTGGGTTTCAGGGGTAGAGGTGAGTGAAGTGGGGAGAGGAGGGAGGGATAGGCCTGGTAAAGTGGGTGGAGGCTTGATGGTGAAGATCCTTGAGGAGTTCATGGTAGGAGTTGGACTTCATCTTGTAGACAGACCTTCCTCAGAGCTGGCCTCACCTCTAGAGTTGAACCTGAACTTTCCCTTTTGGCATCCAGGATGAGAACAGGTGCCTGCTCTGGACAGGTCCATGGTCCTGGGGAACTCCTGGTCACAATTTCACACATCATCAGATCCTGCCTTGGTGTGGCCTGACCTGGAAAATCTATGTCACTGAGGAGAAGCCGTTTAGAAGAGATAACTGGAATGCACTCTCAGTTTAGATTTAAGCTCTCACCATCTCACCATAAGTAAGTGCCAAGCGGTTATTAAACAATACATTTGCAGAATTCTGACAACTGTAAGAACCGTTCTTCTCCTACAGTGAATATTTCCCCGTAAATAAACTTGTAATACTCCACTGGCTTTTAATTAACCCTACTCGCCTCTAAACCCATTTATCTTTTAAAAAGATAGTTGTTCCATGTGCAATATGTGTCAATAGATAATTAAAATGTTTTTCTTAGAGAATGAACAGGGAGATGTGATTTATGCATTTCAGAACCTCGTTATTAAAAATGTTATTTATTGAGGTTTAACACCTGTTACTAGGTAACCATATAGTGACTGTGTCTCTTTAATATCCAAATTAAACTGGCACTGCAGACAGAATGTGAGATGTTAGCAAATTTCTTGGGTCATAATTAAATAGTACAAGTGACAAACGTTCAATTCTTATTTAGGAATCAAACACCATGATGTGGCTTCCTTATAATGAGGAGTTGGGAGGGCGTGTCCTTGTCGTTCTGGGAACAGCCTGGCTGTGTCGCTATTTCAAACAAAGACATTTCATGTTTTCCAGAGCAGCAGTTTCTTCTAGAAATAATAGTACAAAGTGTTCTGGGAACCTCAGAAGAAAAGATGATGTGAAACTGCTTTGGCGAGTGGAGACTTTTCCAGTGCTAGCAGCTGACCTGAGCCCCACCCCTGGAAGTAGACTTGTGGTCTGGTGGTCTCTACTCTCAGAGAGGAGCCCCTACCCACTGGAAGCAGGCAGCTCTGGCAAAGGGGCTCCTGCCTCTCCAGGCTGCCCCTCTCTACCCACCCTGAAGAAGCTTCATGCCCACACCTCAGTCTAAAGAGGCTGCTTGCTATTTCATTTTCCATTTGCCCCATTATGATTTGATTGTGTCCCCTGAAAGATGTCAAAGTCCTAACCTCCAGCACCTGTGAATGTGCCTTTATTTGGAAATCGGATGCTCAAGTTAAGATGAGATCACTAGGGTGACCCCCCACCCCCATCTAACATGACAGTGTCCTAGTAAAAAGGTGGCATTCAGGAATAGAGACAGGAGTGCACCCAGGGAGAACACCATGGGAAGGGGAAGGTGGTGCTGGGAGTGCAGCTGTAAGCCAAAGAATGCCAAAAATGCCCAGAAAACCCCTCTCAGCAAGGAAAGAGGCAGGGAACAGGTTCTACCTCACAGCTTTGTTAAGAGCCAGCCCTGCTAGCACGCTGAGCTCAGACTTCCGGCTCTAGAACTGTGAGACAATACATTTCTATTGTTTAAGGCTGTGGTCCTTTGCTACAGCAGGAAGTGAGTCCACCCCCTGACAAGTAAACCTCACACTCTGCTCCTCCTGCCAATCCTCCCCGAGTTCTTGGGGGACCTTCACCTGGGGACCTGAGGTGCAAATCAAAGTACTTGGCCATTTAAAGTGACTGGGTAGACTGACATGGGGTGCACAAGGCAGTCAATTTGGGCTATGGAAGAAGATATTATATTATTTCCTTATCAATTCCTGTTTTTGTGTATATTTTATCATGTACAAAACATTAGCATTGTAGTACATGTATGTGACTTATAAATAAACCTGTACTCATATTAAGGGGAGGTCCATGATCAATAATTATCCTGTTTCATTTCACTTTATTTATTTATTTTTTTTTGGAGGTGGAGTCTTACTCTGTTGCCCAGGTTGGAGCGCAGTAGCATAATCATAGCTCAATGCAGCCTCAAATTCCCGGGCTGAAGCAATTTTCCAACCTTGGTCTCCAGAGTAGCTGGGACTACAGTGAACCATCACACCTGGCTACTCAATAGCTTTTGACTGATAGAGGTGTGTGATCAAACAGGTGGGAGGCCACAGTTCCAACAGAGGGAGTCAGTGCTGGAAAATTAGAACAGGTGACTCCTGGTGAGGCAGATTTCAGGTAAAAACCAGAGAAGGGATTTTAAAACTCAAATGAGAAATCTCAGGAATGCAAAAGAAGATTCAACAAACAAAAGTTTGGCGAGGAAGTGGCAGCCCTCCCCTCACACTGCAACACAGACAGATCCTGTGCTTACTTATGATGTCATCACACTTATCACAATTTGTAATACCCTGACCTCCTTCAGGGCAGGACCCTGATTGTCTCTCCTGGAGGTCCCCCACGCCCTTCACCACTCCTGTCCATGGGAAGCACAGGAAGTGGACAAAGAGGCCCTACCTGGAGGGAGCTGCATTTGGCCTTGGTGGGGCCTGAGCTCTGGACCCAGAATATAAAGAATCTTTATCTTTCAGCCACCTCATCCTGACAGTGACAGGAGAACTGCCAGTCAGGGGAGGCAAAAAGGGACAGAGTGAGAGAGAAGCGAGAAGGCAGAATGCAAAGGGAGAGGTAGGTAAACAGAATGGTGCAGGAGGACGGTGTCGGAGAGGCAGAGCTAGAGATGGTCAGTGAGGGCTGACCATGGAGACTGGAAGGCAGAGCAAAACCAAGAGACAAGTTCAACACTGCCGAACGGTTGGCCATTTGGTCATACATTCTCTTTTCAGTTACGTCTAGGGCTCTGCTTCTTCATGATTGCAATCTGTATCTTGTTCACTCATTTGAATAAACATTTTGTACAGATATTTACCCCTGGGCATTTGGAGCATTATATTATGCATCCTAGGCTGTGCCCTTGTCTTAGAAAAAGGCATCATTTTGGGGGATCCTGAGGCAACAGTCTTCAGGCTGTGGAAGGGAAACTCTGGGTGTCAGCCATGAAGCCACCCATGCAGGTGTCCTGGTCCCTCTTCCCCTGGGAAGCTGAGAGTAGACCCTCCCCCAGCAGGAGTTCTTCCTGTCCTGTAGCTGCCTTGATTCCAGGAGAGAGGAGAAAGAATGCAGAAGGGCTCAGGATGCCTCCCTTCCTCTCCTCCCTGTGTTACCATAGCATCCCGTTTCCTTGGTTACCGGTGGCCAAGGAAAGGACACTGGGTAAGTGCAGGATTTTGATGGAGCTCTCTGAAGAGAGATGTCAGCGAGGACCTTGTCTCTTTTTAAAGAACACACATTCTGAGAGGTTGCTCAAGAATGGGGGTGGGGAGAGAATGGGACTGTTCCCTATGAAGTTGGAATTTAGAAATTTCATCTCACTTGATAGAAATGAAGCACTTAAAAGACAACTCTGAGAAATCAAAGCCAGGGAGACCTTAACCAGCTTTGCACATTGCTGGAGATTTAGAATGGGCAGGAAGACCAATATGCTAATTAAGAAATGATTTCTGCAAATGCTCACTTTTTCTGCAAATGGCTCCTAGCTTGGATTAGCTCAGTAAATCTGGCCTGCTGCTTCCCCCGATAACTAAGCATCCATGGGGACAGTGGGGGATATGCCATTTCTGCTGTGAGCATCTTGGCATCAGCCTTGAACTTTCCCCAGAAGCCACACGAGACCTATGAAACCTCTCCAGGGATCCTTTGGGTGTTTTGTGGGTTTTCGTTGTCGTTTTTTATTTGTTTGACAACTAAATGATGTTAAAGAGAGTAGACTTCAATTCCACTCATTTTAAAATTATACTTTAAGTTCTGGGGTACATGTGCAGAATGTGCAGTTTTGTTACATAGGTATATATAGGCCATGGTGGTTTGCTGCACCTAACAACCCATCACCTACATTAGGTATTTCTTCTAATGTTATCCCTCCCTTAGCCCCACCACACTCCAACAGGTCCTGGTGTGTGATGTTTCCCTCCCTGTGTCCATGTGTTCTCATTGTTCAACTCCCACTTATAAGTGAGAACATGTGGCGTTTGGTTTTCTGTTCTTGTGATAGTTTGCTGAGAATGATCGTTTCCAGCTTCATCCATGTCCCTGCAAAGGACATGAACTCATCCTTTTTTATAGCTGCATAGTATTCCATGATGTATATATGCCACATTTTCTTCATCCAGTCTATTATTGATGGACTTTTGGGTTGGTTCCAAGCCTTTGCTATTGTGCATAGTGCCACAATAAACATACATTTGCATGTGTCTTTATCACACAATGATCTATAATCCTTTGGGTATATACCCAGTAATGGGATGGCTGGGTCAAATGGTATTTCTAGTTCTAGATCCTTGAGGAATTGCCACACTGTCTTCCACAGTGGTTAAACTAATTTACCCTCTCACCAACAGTGTAAAAGGGTTGCTATTTCTCCACATCCTCTCCAGCATCAATTGTTTCCTCAGTTTTTAATGATCGCCATTCTAACTGGCGTGAGATGGTTATCTCATTGTGGTTTGGATCTGCATTTCTCTAATGACCAGGGATGATGAGCATTTTTGCATATGTCTGTTGGCTGCATAAATGTCTTCTTTTGAGAAGTGTCTGTTCATATCCTTTGCCCACTTTTTGATGGGGTTGTTTGTTTTTTTCTTGTAAATTTGTTTAAGATCTTTGTAGATTCTGGATATTAGCCCTTTGTCAGATGGATAGATTGCAAAAATTTTCTCCCATTCTGTAGGCTGCCTGTTAAAGGGTTAATCAAGATATTATTTTCCCTGATAAGTTTTTCCTGACTTCTCCACCCAAATTAGGCACCCTTCCTTAAGAACTCAAAGAGCTCCATGAATGTTTCATCACTTACTACATTGTTTACTAATTAGATGATTACTAGTCTGTTTCCTCCACCTGACTTCGGAGTTTTCTCATTTTTATGACTTTTTCTTCAGAGTGTTTTATTTTTGGAGAAAGAGGTAACACATAAGTGTGTTTTAAAATAATTAGATCAATAGAAAGAAGTGTATAGTGAAAAGCCTCTTCAATTTGGAGACCCTCATTTCCTGTCTTCCACCCCCTGCCCAGGGGCAACCATTGTTTCAAATTCTTATGTATTCTTCTAAAGGGTTAATGCAGAAATGAGTCATTTTTCTGCTCCCCCTCCTACTCCTCCTTGAGCCTCTATCTTCTTTCTTCCTTCTCCCTGTAACACAAATGATACAATATGACACCCTATTTTCTCATTACTTTTAACAAAATTAATCTATGTTGAAGATATTTTCATATGAGAATGTATAGAACTGTTTTATTTTTTAAAACTGCAGCATAGCATGCTACTGTGTGGGTCTCCCTCTGTTATCCATCCTGGGTTTCCAAAGACCCCCAGGGCAGACCCTAGTGTACAGTAGATGATCAGTAAAAATTTGTCAAATAAATGAATGAATAAAAATTCTCCATGCCAAGAGAGATTTTATTTACAGCATCAGGAATATGGAAAGATCAACTGCCTGAGCAACGTTTTTCCCCCCAAAAGTGAGATATATATGTATTTGGACAGGGTGGTGTGAAGGAATACCAGTGGACCTGCTAAGGAAAGTGAAAAAAGATCAAAAGGGCCATAAATGGAACTGGACATAAGAGCCAAGCTTGCTGGGACTTTTATTTGTATTTATTTATTTGATGACAGGTGGCCTCTCAGCTGGTGTTCTGTGGATACTGTTCATTCTTTAAAAGGGCTGGCCTTTTGAAGTGTGGGGCCTGGATTTGTTCCTTCTCTCTGTATTTTGGGGCTGGGGGCAACATGAGAGTCCTCTTTGGCTTTTGTCCCTGGCTTACTGCTAGCCCTGTGCAGCTGACAGGTTCAACATGAGGCTGAGCCCCCTGGAAAATGGTGTAGGGCATTCCAACTGGCCTTACATTTAGGGTTACTTGTAGGTGTTCCAGATGTGTGGAACTCCTGAAAATGGGACTCCCTTCTCCTACTTTCTCTCAGTACTAAAGCTAATGGTTTAGGGTGATCCATGTGCACCATAGGTTTCCCCCTTAGAGCCTCTTGAGTTTAATCCTCACCTGTGCCTGCCATTATTGTGTGCCCACTTTGAAGCAAACACAGATATCCAGGCAGCTTGACAGAGGCTGTGGTTGCTGCAGGAGGTGGCAGAAGGGTATGGTGTAGGAACTCAAATGAAGACTCAATCTATATATGTACATGTATAGATATATATGCATATAGATACTTATTTGTACATATAGATATAGATATATGGGGGTAGTTTTATATTATAAAATGTTATATTATTTATATTACATATATAATATATAGATCTGTGTATGATATATAAATATATCATATATGTGTAATTTTATATTATAAAATGTTATATTATAATGTATATTACATATATTAATCTACGTATTACATATATAACATATATATGTATAACATATATAACATATAATATATAACATATATAACATATATAATATATAACATATATTACATATATAATATATAACATATATTACATATATTATATATAATATATAACATATATTACATATATTACATATAATATATTACATATATTACATATATAATATATAACATATATTACATATATTACATATAATATATTACATATATTACATATATAATATATAACATATATTACATATATAATATATAACATATATAATATATAACATATATATCATATATTATATATAACATATATTATATATAATATATAACATATATAATATATAACATATATATCATATATTATATATTACATATGTTATATATAATATATAACATATATATCATATATTATATATTACATATATTATATATAATATATAATATATGTATTAATCTATGTATAATGTAGATTAATATATAGATTAATCCATATACATTATATAATCAATATATATATATTGGGTTTTTTGAGACAGGGTCTCACTGTATTGCCCAGGCTGGAGTGCAATGGTGTGGTCTCAGCTCACTGCAACCTCTGCCTCCTGGGTTCAAGTGATCCTCCTACCTCAGCCTCCTGAGTAGCTGAGACTACAGGCATATGTTCCCATGCCTGGCTAAGATTTGTTTTTGTATTTTTTACTTTTTTTTGGTAGAAACTGGGTCTCCCTGTGTTGCCCAGGCTGGTCTCAAACTCCTGAGCTCAGTTGATCCTTCTGCCTTGGCCTAACACAGTGCTGGGAGGACAGGCGTGTGCCACCGTGCCCAGCCTGAAGACTCAATATTGGTGGTGCCTTGATAGCTGATGGAATAGGAAGGGCCTCCAGAGACTGAGCTGCCAGTTCCCCTCCCAACTCTGTTTTCACAGATGAGGTCCCATAGCTCAACAGACCTCCTTATCAAGGGACCAGAAACAGCTCCTGCTTATTCCTGTGTAGTGGGTTTCAGAGCCTTGCCAGCCCATAGAATTCAAACAAGACATCTGCCTTCTTCTGCAAGAACCGGGAGCCACCTCACCCTCTTGACACTGCAAAGGCTGCTTCTCACAGTCCCTGGCTATTCATTCATTTCTTGAGTGCAGCCCCTGTGTGGCCCTGTGTGCCATGTGGTGCCCTCTTCCTCTGGGCTGTGTGTCTATATGACTAACAAACTACTGTGAGTCATTTGTCTAGCATTGGGTGTTGTGCGTTCAGCCTTGCCCATATCCCTAGGATGGGAATTCCTCCAGCACCAATGAGGTGAACAGGAGGCTTAGAACAAATGAAGCCTTGTCCTGAACTCTTCCATAAATCAGTATCATCTGGGATGATTTTCAAAAGAGAATTTCCTAGGGCTTTACACCCAAGAGATTCAGCTGGTCTGGGTTGGAGCCTAGGAATCTGCATTTAATGAGCTCAGGAGAGTCTCACTTAGGCATTGAGGTCCCATGAGTTCCACATTCCCTCCTTGCAGTCTGAGTGTGGATGAAGAGGCCTGAGCTATCCTGTTCACCAGGGACGGGCAGGAAATACCACATTCCACTCCTCTTGAGTGACCTCCTCTGTTTTCCTGCTGAACTCCACCCTTGTACCTATAAACACAAATACAGGCTCACCAGCCCCATTAACCTTGGCTCTGAGGGCCAGGGATGGTAGTAGTGGAGAGCTCATGAGCTTGTCCATTTCAAACTATCCTCGAAGGTTGAGTCATGGGATTCCACTGAGCATGGAGCTCAAGGAGCTGCATGGGAGGATGGGAGTGGGAGTGTAGGGAGGTGTGAAACACGACTGAGTTTGCAGCGTCCACTTTTTTTTCTGAAGTTCAGAAGGTACCTTGCCTGGCAGGGCCATGTGAGAAGCAGAACACCTCTCTTTCTAGGTCTCTATTAGTAGGTTGAGTCTAAGTTTATAGGGAGTCAGAGAAGAATTCAATACGTCTTAGTGACTGGGCCTGTATATGCATTTGCTCATTCACTTCTCATATATTTATGATGTCTTTCTGTTTTCCAGGGAAGCACTGTGTCAGGTGCTGGGTAAATAGTGGTGAATAAGGCTAGGCATGGTGGCTCACACCTGTAGCCCTAATGCTTTGGGAAGCTGAGGTGGGAGGATTGCTTACCCCAGGAACTTGAGAACAGTCTGGCCAACATAGTGAGACCCTGTCTCTCAAAAATATAAAATTGTACCTGGGTATGGTGGTGTGTGCCTATAGTCCCAGCTACTTAGGAGGCCGAGGCAGGAGGATCATTTGAGCCCAGGAGCTGGAGGCTGCAGTGAGCCATGATTGCACCGCTGTGCTTCAGCCTGGGAGACAGACCAAGACCCTGTCTCTAAGAAAGCACACACACAAAAACAGCGGTGACTAAAACAGACATGGACTTTGCCCTGATGGGGCTTACAGATTGGTGGATGAAGACATCAAACAGAAACAAACGGAACATACTGTTGACTGATCCACGTGCTATGAAGGAAAAGGTGCTATGAGTGTACGAAGTCTTATTAGTTAGGATTCTTTCATTTGCTGGCAGCAGAAACTCAACTCAGAATAGTCCAAATAGAGAAGATGAACTGGCTCAGGTAAGTGGGAAGACTAGTGGTGGCTCCAGGGAGACACCCTCCATTTCGCTGCCTTTCCTCTGTCAGCCTTCTCCTCTCAGGCTTTTCCCCGACACCAAGGTTTCTAGCAGGGCTATGGATATGTTCTTAGCGTGTGAGCCAAGGAGAAACAGAGAACTTAGCTCTCTGAAAATCCCTTTGTGAAAATCCCAGGAGAGGATTTGGCCATTAAGCAGTCACTCACCCCATCTGTGACCAAGGGGTGTGGGTAGAGAAAACTGAGATTCAAAGCCCCACCTCAGCCACATGGACTGGGGAAGGGAGATGTCTTCAGAGATAGGGTGGTGGAAGGTGGGGAGAAGCAGTGCTGCAGACTGATAAAGACGGTATTTGCCACACAGAGGAATCTCATTTGAATTTGGGTTGTTGGTCTGGGAAAAGCCTCTTATAGGAAGTGCTATTCAGATAGAGTTTTTCCCCACTACTTCTGAGGAGGCATAGACGCATTAGAGGTGTGAACAAGAGAGGGGACAGCACATATGAACACGTCTCTAATATCTGCAAATCTTTTAGGGAAAGGGATGTGCAAAGAGGGTTTCTAAATAACAACATGTCCAGTCAACAGCTGTTGAGCTACTCAAGGGAAACTCACCTTGAGTGGAGTGGGTTCCTCCTTCCCCAGAGAGGCAAGTGTCCTCTGTGACTGCTTCCGATGGCAGCAACTTCAACACCACATGGGGACTGAAGCTGGCATGCCTCCATCTTGGATTCATACTTGCTTTAACATTTAAAAAAATTTAACTTTTATTAAAAAGTGTAAAGGATATATACAATATACAATGTTTATCTCAGAAATAAATTAGGAAAAAATTAGATAAGCAAAAAACAAAACAAAAATTACTCTAAATCTCACTTTCCACTGGGAACATTTTAACATATAGCCTTTTATTTCTTTTTACTTTCTTCTCCTCACCTCTCCTCTCTTCTCTTCTTCTCTTTTCTTTCATTTTCTCTATCACCATATACACACACACCAATATATAGCTATACACATGCATGTATATACATATATATTTGAGTATACATAAATACATATAAAATGGACTTATAAATTGTTCTGAAATCTGAATGACATCTTATATAAATAAGTATAGCATTATACCATCTTTTAAAGTGTCTCCATAACCTTATGAGAAATATTCGTCTGTGGCTTTATGCTTTTGTAATACCTTCATTAAGTTATGGTATTACAGTTATGCCAGCCTTATGAACTGAGTTGGGAAATAGTATCTCCTCCTTTATTTCCTGAGAGACTTTATATAGAATTGGTTGAATTTCTTCTTTAAAAGTTTGATAAAATTGGCCAGGCACGGAGGCTCACACCTGTAATCCCAGCACTTTGGGAAGCCAAGGCGGGTGGATCACGAGGTCAGGAGATCAAGACCATCCTGGCTAACACGGTAAAAACCCGTCTCCACTAAAAACACAAAAAATTAGCCAGACGTGGTGGCAGGCGCCTGTAGTCTCAGCTACTCAGGAGGCTGAGGCAGGAGAATGGTGTGAACCCGGGAGGCAGAGTTTGCAGTGAGCTGAGATTGTGCCACTGCACTCCAGCCTAGGTGACAGAGCGAGACTCCATCTCAAAAATAATAATAAAAATAAATAAATAAATAAATAAATAAATAAATAAACAAATAAATAAAAAGTTTGATAAAATTTACCAGTGAAGCTATCTGGGCTTGGATTTTTCTTTGTGGGAAAGTATTAGAATTCAATTTCTTTAATAGATATAAGATTACTCTGATTTTCTATTTCTTTTCCTGTGAATTTTGGTAATTTTTGTCTTTGAAGGAATTTGTCCATTTCATCTATGCTTTTGAATGTATCAGCATAAAGTTGTCTATGAAATTTTCTCTTGTTATGCCTTTAATTTCTGTAGGGTCTATAGCAGTGTCTCTTCTGTCATGCTTGGTTGGTTGGATGTCTACCTCCACCCTGCTCTCCCTAATCTCTCTCCCTATTAGTCTACCTATAGATTTATCAATTGTATTTGTCTTTCCAAATAACTGGTTGTTGGTTTTCTTGATTTCAAAATCTTTCTTCTTTTCCAATATAAACATTTAAAAGTATAAATTTCCTTCTAAACCCTACTATAGCTGCATCACACAAATTTTGATATGTTGTGCTTTTTTATTATAATTTAGTTTAAATACGCCTTCTGATTTTCCTTGTGACTTTTTTATTTGTAGGTGCTTTAGAAGTATTTTGTTTAATTTCCAAATATTTGGCCATTTTCCAAATATTTACTTGTTAATGATTTTTAATTTCATTTCATGTGGTCAAAGTACAGACACTGTATGATTTAATCCATTTAAATTTATGGAGAATCTTCTTTCTAATGGCCCTTAATATGGTCTATCTTGGTAAATGTTTAAAATAAGGTTCCCAGCACTTTGCGAGGCTGAGGCAGGTGGTTCACTTGAGGCCAGGAGTTTGAAACCAGCCTGGCTAACATGGTGAAACCCCATCTCTACTTAAAATACAAAAAATTAGCCAGGTGTGGTGGTACATACTTGTAATCTCAGCTACTCAGGAGGTGGAGGCAGGAGAATCCCTTGAACCCGGGAGGTGGAGGTTGCAGTGAACCAAGATCGCACTACCACACTCCAGCCTGGGCAACAGAGTGCGACTCCGTCAGAAAAAAAAAAAAAAAAAAAAAAAAGGTAATGTGTATTCTGTGAGTCCTGGTTGTAGCGTTCTATAAATGTCGGCCAGTCAAGTTGGTTGAGAGTGTTCTTCAAGTGTTTTGTATCTTTACAGATTTTCTGTCTACTTCTATCAATTACTGAGAAAGAAGTGTTAAAATTTCCAACTATAATTGTGGATTTGTCTTTTTCACCTTTTGTTTCTGTCAGTTTTTGCTTCATGGATTTGAAATTCTGTTATTGGGTACAACTGCATTTAGGGCAGTTATTGGGGGGCATTGATTGCAATGATCATGAAACAAACCTTTTGAGGCAATGGAAATGTTTCATATTTTGATGGAGGTGGAGTACAGATCTACACACAGTGTGTGCATTTGTCAGCACTCATAGAACAGGTGGCCATGGGGTGGGAGCAGCCGCTGTGTGACAGAGGAGCAGGAAGAAGCCTCTGAGGCTGAAGTGCAGTGAGGGAGGAAAAGACCAGAGAAGAGCTGCTAGCGACGCTATCCCTTGTAGGCCAGTGTGAGAAGTTGGAGTCTCTGGTGCTCTCATGGGAACTCTGGAGGGAGAGATGAGGCAGGACACTCATGTGTCCAATGGACCAGACTGACTGTCGTGTTTTCACTGCTTCTTCTAATGTCTTTTTGTCAGATTCTTAACAACTGGCTATGCCAATCCAACACCTTAGAAATCATTAAAAATGCACCACTAATGGAGACTGTTCCCGGGAGCAGCCTTTCTCCTGGTCTCTCTTCTCCCCTTCCCACCCATGCTATGGCCCAGAGGCAGGGCCATGGTGGCCATGGCCAGGACTATCTTGGGAGCTTTTCTGAGAATGCAGGAATCAGACTTCCTCCTCAGCAGCCAACTGTTCACTGAGCATCTCCCATGTGTGCAGCACCATGCCAGAGGCTGTGGGCAAACGAGTGGATGTTCAGGCCTCTGCCCACTTCCTAGAGGGAGCTTGGTCTAGTTATGGAGTTAAGACTTGCCTGAAATTGGCCCAGCGCAATGGCTCACACTTGTAATCCCAGCACTTTGGGAGGCCAAGGCAGGCGGATCACCTGAGTTCAGGAGATTGAGACCAGCCCAGCAAACATGGTGAAACTCCATCTCTACTAAAAATACAAAAATTAACCAGGCATAGTGGTGCATGCCTTTAATCCCAGCTACTCGGGAAGCTGAGGCAGGAGAATCGCTTGAACCTGCAAAGTGGCGGTTGCAGTGAGCTGAAATCGAACCTTTGCACTCCAACCTGGGTGACACAGCCAGACCCTGTCTCAAAAAAAGAAAGACTTGCCTACTTGCCTAAAATCATTAATGAGTGGCATAAGGCAAGATCAAAATTCACTAATAGATTGGATGGCTAAGGAGTACAGGAGTTCAGAGACCTGATGACAGAGCAGGCTTGAATTTTGGAAGTTCCTGCAGAGACCTTGACAGAAGATCCCCAAATCCAGTCCAGTTCTACCAAACCTACTGGGAGAAAACAGACACTCTTGAGTAAACCCAGTGTGGTAGCAGCTACCTCACCTGGAGCTGTGCCTGCCCCACACACTCACACACACACCCTGCCTCTTTAATACCTGTGATCCTGGCAGACAGGATAAGTTCATAGCTGAACATTACTACTCTGACCTTTAATGTCTGCAGGTAAATAGCAGTGATCTGGATATGGGAGAGGGAGCCCTCAGCTGGAATCACACAGTTTCTAAGGACTGGCTCTGCAAGTCATGGCCTGATTTCAGTATGTTCAGAAAGCCCTTCTCTGAAGCAGCCAACCAGCCAGTAATCCAATCAGCATTTATTGAGCACCTGCTGCTTGCTTGGTGACACAGGCCTGATGTGTGTCTTCAAAGAGCTCACAGCCTACTAGGAAGGGCAGCATGCACAGGGAACAATTACCAGGTGACAGTGGGATGGTGAAGTGTGTGGCTCCAGACCCAGGAAGTCCTGAGTCAGACCTTCCATCTCCACCATTTACTTATGAGTTCTGGAAACCAGAATTTCCCCTTTCTGCTTTAGATTCTCATTTATAAAACAAGCACGATCATAAAATCAATCTTTCTTTCTTTCTTTTTTCTTTTTTTTGAGATGGAGTTTCACTCTTGATGCTCAGGCTGGAGTGCAGCGGCACAATCTCAGCTCACTGTAACCTCTGCCTCCCAGGTTCAAGTGATTCTCCTGCCTCAACCTCCCAAGTAGCTGGGATTGCAGGCACGCACCACCATGCCCAGCTAAGTTTGAATTCTTAGTAGAGATGGGGTTTCGCCATGTTGGCCAGGCTGTTCTCGAGCCCCTGACCTCAGGTGATCTGCCTGCTTAGGTCTCCCAAAGTGCTGGGATTATAAGTGTGAGCCACCAGACCCAGCCAAAATCTTTCTTTTGGGTTGCTGTGAGAAAGAAGCACAAGTTCTGGCAAATAGTATGCACTCCACAAATGTTAGCCTTTTACAAATATAACTGTCATCCATATTAACATACTTATTTAGATTGTCAATAATAATTGTGTTTCTTAGCGTTTTTTAAAATAATATTGCTTGTAACTGTTATCCATATTTTCATACTTATCTAGATTATCAATAATTATTTTATGTCATAGATTGGGTTAAGATGAAAATATTGATCTTGGCCGGGCGCAGTGGCTCATGCCTGTAATCCCAGCACTTTGGGAGGCCGAGGCAGGAGGATCACGAGGTCAGGAGATCAAGACCATCCTGGCTAACACGGTGAAACCCCGTCTCTACTAAAAATACAAAAAATTAGCCGGGCGTGGTGGCGGGTGCCTGTGGTCCCAGCTACTCGGGAGGCTGAGGCAGGAGAATGGCGTGAACCTGGGAGGCAGAGCTTGCAGTGAGCCGAGATCAGGCCACTGCACTCCAACTCCAGCCTGGGCGACAGAACGAGACTCTGTCTCAAAAAAAAAAAGAAAAAAAAAAGGAAAATATTGATCTGAAGTTACTTGCAAGTCCAGAACTCTGTGTGCTGGAGCAACTAGAGGAGGCTTTACAGAGGAGGAGTGGCCTGAGCTGGCCCTGAAAGGTGGCCAGGGTTTGGATAATCAGAGCTGATATAGTTTGGATGTGTGTCCCCTCCCAAATCTCCTATTGAAATGTAATCCCCAGTGTTGGAGGTGAGGCCTGGTGAGAGGCGATTGGATTATGGGGTGCATTTCCATTTCTTATGAAAATTTAGCAACATCCCTCTTGGTGCTGTTGTGGCGACAGTGAGTTCAGGTGAGATCTGGTTGTTTAAGTGTGTGGCTCCTCCCCTCTGGCTCCTGCTTTCACCATGTGACCTACCTACTGCTCTTTTGCCTTCGGCTATAATCATAGATTATATAAGATTCCTGGCCAGGCGTGGTGGCTCATGCCTGTAATCCCAGCACTTTGGGAGGCCGAGGCAGGTGGATCATGAGGTCAGGAGATCGAGACCATCCTGGCTAACACGGTGAAACCCTGTCTCTACTAAAAAAAATACAAAAAATTAGCTGGGCATAGTGGCAGGCACCTGTAGTCGCAGCTACTCAGGAGGCTGAGGCAGGAGAATGGGGTGAACCCAGGAGGCGGAGCTTGCCGTGAGCCGAGATCGCACCACTGCACTCCAGCCTGGGTGACAAAGTGAGACTCTGTCTCAAAAAAAAAAAAAAAAAAAAAAAAAAAAAGATTCCTGAGGTCTCCCCAGAAGCTGAGCAGATGCTAGCATCATCCTATACAGTCTGCAGAACTGTGAGCCAATTAGACCTCTTTTATTTATAAATTACGAGGTCTCAGGTATTTCTTTGTAGCACTTTGAGAACCAACTAATACAAGAGTCAAGAATGGAGGGGAGGTGTCCAGATAGAGCAGAAGGACAGCTAGGATCCTGGCAGGTATGCTGTGAAGGGCCAACTGTGAGATAATAAATGATTTTGCTTAAAGCCACTATGTTTGGGGCAATTTGTTACACATCACTGACTGACTGCTGCATCAAGTTGAGGCACAGGAAATAAGTTACATTTGAAGATCAGAATGTGATCTCCAGCCTTTCCATCCCTGGAGAAAGGAGAAACAGGAAAGTGGTAGCTACCCAGAAGACATCATGAGGACCCTCATTGTCACTGGGGAGAAGGGTTTGATCTGAGCAAGGTGTTCAGAATGGATGACTACCAGGCTGCCTGGCATTGGGATAGAACACAAGTAGCTAATTATAGGACACATGCGCTGTAAATGAGTTTTGTTTTGCTTTGCTTTCAATGTTTGAAAGTTGTTGTTTTTGAGACATTGCCATGATTTTGGATACAGATTTCATATAAAAATTTAGATTTCCATCTTTTGTTTCAAAATTAGATCTGGTGACAATGTCCTGGCATCCTGGCACTCCAACATGCCACGGTCTTGTTATACGAACAGGTAAGTCATCAATCTAGGTGTATGGGGAGATTTGGATATTTACAAAAGTATGAGTCTAGGGTTAAAACCAAGAAATGGTGCAGCACCCTAAAAAGAAACAGAAGGAATGCTTACCAACCCTGGGGCTGAAGGGGCAAAGGAGGGAACAGTTACAGGAGGCCAGAGAGAGTGGTTATTGGAGAGGGCTCCCTGATAAGAGATGGGTCCTTGACAGAGTCATAGTCAACCTCAGCAACCTGGCAGAAAAGAAGCTGAGGGAATAAACATCTTGACTCACTGTCTTCCCACCCTCTGTATCTCCTGCTGGGGCCTTGCCTAGCTGAACCAGTGCTGTCCAATAGAACTTTCTGTGATGATGGAAGTGCACATCTGTACCATCCAAAACAGCAGTGCCTCGCCACTTGTGGCTATTTAGCACTTGGAATGTGGTTAGTGTGAGAGGAATGAAAATTTAAATGTTATTTAATTTTAAGTAATTTAAAATTAAATTTACATAGCCACATGTGGCTGCATTTTGTACAGCACAGGCTGAACTATCTGAAAGCCAGGGGGTTAGAGTGCCCTTAGATGCAGTCCACAAAAACTGACCTCCTGGGCGTGGAACAGAGGTGTGGGGTTAGAGGGGCAAGTGGAAGGTGTCCCACAGCTACATCTAGCTGGAGCTGAGACTGACCTCGTTAGATGTAGCACATGCTGCTTTTCCACAGTTCTCACCCAGGTGGGGGTCACTCATGGATGTGACCTTTCTGGCTCCTGTTGGGTCCCTCACACTTGGTGAATGATGTCATGGGCTGGACTGTGTCTCCCAAATCCATATGCTGAAGTCCTAGCAAATAGTGTCTCAGAGTGTGACCTTATTTGAAGACAGGGTCTTTCAGAGGTAATCAAGTTACTATGAGGTCATTAGGATGGTCTGTAATCCTAATAAAAGGGGGCATATTAATCCATTTTCATACTGGTTGGAAGAAATACCCAAGACTGGGTAATTCATAAAGAAAGAGGTTTAATGGACTTACAGTTCCATATGACTGGGGAGGCCTCACAATCATGGCAGAAGGTGAAGGAGGAGCAAAGACATGACTTACATGGTGGCAGGCAAGATAGTGTGTGCAGGGGAACTGCCCTTTATAAAACCATCAAATCTTATGAGACTTACTCGTTATCATAAGAACAGCACAGGAAAACCTGCCTCCATGGTTCAATTACCTCCCACGGGTTCCCTCCCACAACATGTGGAGATTATGGGAGCTACAGTCCAATTTGAGATTTGGGTGGGGACACAGCCAAACCGTATCAGGGGGAAATTTGGAGACAGGCATGCATAGAGGGAAGACAATGTGAAGAGACACAGGGAGAAGGCAGCCATCCACAAGCCAAGGGGAGAGTTATGCAACAGGTCCTACCTCAGCTTCAGAAGGAAGCAACCTGCCAGCTCCTTGATTTGGGACTTCCAGTCTCCAGAATTGTGTTGTGTAAGACACCCAGACCATGGTCCTCTGTTACAGCCGGCCTTGAAAACAAAGACAAATGGGAAGGCCATTTCCCACACCCTGGCTTCCAGGATTCTGTCTGCCCATCCCCGCAGAGTCAGCTGGGAGGGACGGTAGGACTCTTGGGGAAAGGAGGTTTGAAATCCCATGGGGCACTGCATACCAGGCCATCCTATCTCAGTAAGGCCATGTGACGATCCCGCCACTCACTCATCACCACCATGGAGCCCTTCTCTCCAAAACCAGTCTCTCAGCCTCGTTTGGCATTGCAGAGCTTTACAAAGGCCATGGGCTTCTAATTGCACCTCTGTCAGCTGTACTGGGCTTTCAGGACGAGAGAGGGGGATGCCTTGGCTCGTCCCGGTTGCTGTGGTGCTGCTTTCATAGGGTCTGACAAGTCCCCTCTACGTGGATGTTCTTAAATACTCAGCCTCCTTTCTGTCTGGATTAATTGGTTGGTAGCTATGAGCTGGACAAGCCTATTTTTACTGCATGTGCCAGCAAGACTTATACCAAATTAGCACTTGAAAAATTTTTTACAGCAGCAACCACCATGACCACAAAAGAACCTGAAGATGTGTCTGTATTTTTGAGCCCCCTTTGAGGCTGTCCTTCTTCTCACCCACTTTCCCCTGTTAAGGCTCTCTCATGCCATCACTATGATATGTAGATACTGAAAGAGACCTGGAGGTGCCCTTATCCCACAGCCTATTCTTCTTCCCTTTGGGGTTCCTAAGAAAGGGAGCTATGCACACAAGGAACAATCGCAGGGTTGAAGGTGCAGTCTCATTTCATTAACAGCTGAGTTAGCATTCGAAGTGGAGCTCTTTTCCTTTTTCTAAAATGTTTTCATTGACAAATAATAATTGTGTATATAGGGTACAGTGTGATGTTCTGATACATGTATACATTGTAGAATGTTTACATCAAGCTTATTAATGCATTGACAGTTACAGTTATATTTAAAATCTACTGTCTTATTAATATTGAAATATACAACACTATTATTAACTATGGTCCCCATGCGGTCTAATGGATCACTAAAAGGTATTCCTTCTGTCTAACTGGAGCTCTGTACCCTCTGCAGTATCTTCCCTTTCCCTTCCCTTCCCCAACCCCAGCCTCTGCTATCCACCACTCACTCTGCTTTTATGAGTCTGACTTTTTTGGACTTTTCAGATTCCACATGAAAGTGAGGTCATGCAGCATTTGTCCTTCTGCGCCTGGATTATTTCACTTAATCCCTCTGGATTCATCCATGTTGCCACAAATGACAGAATTTCCTTCTTTAAGTATTCCATTGTGTATATACAATGAATCCTCACTTAATGCCATCAA
Source organism: Homo sapiens (assembly GCF_000001405.40). Taxonomy (NCBI): domain Eukaryota; kingdom Metazoa; phylum Chordata; class Mammalia; order Primates; family Hominidae; genus Homo; species Homo sapiens. Next base: position 48,930,031 of record NC_000016.10, read on the forward strand.
TAGGTTCTCGGAAACTGACTTTAAGCAAAACAACATATAACAAGACCAATTTTATCATAGACAAATTGATATAAACAAAAATTAAGTTCCTGTGGCATATTTCTGATCACAAAAACATCACCAAATTTCTAAAGACTTAAAACACTTCTAATATTGAACACTGAAATAAATGTGAGCTATATATACATTCAAGAAAGATTAATAAAAACAAGTAGGGGAATTATTTGCCTAACTTTTGTTGAAACAGTGAGTGACAGCAGTTGTCATGGTGGTGGGTTAAATCAGGAATAAATGTTGGTAAAGTGAAAATTGTCAGGAGCATCTCCTGCCACCACACAGTTCAAAAACAATCACCAACATAGAGTGTTCACTGAGCGCTTTCGAACAGCATTGTTTACTGTCATGCATTTCTGGGATTACCAGAGACTTTACATATTTTGTACAATAATTTGTACTCATTAATTCATTTTCTAATCTGCTTATTCCAGTTCAGGGTCACGGGTGACCCAAGCCTTTCCTGGCAGCTCAGGGTGTAAGGCAGGAACTTGCCCTGGCTAGGGGGCCATCCCATCGCAGGGCACATTCACACACACACACTTGCTCACTCACATTCCCATACTCACTCACACACACGCATACTCACTCACACACACCCACACTCGCTCACACACTCACACACATCCATATTTGCTCTCACACACACCCATACTCACACCCATACTCATTCATACACCCACACTTGCTCACACTCACACACCCACACTCGCTCACACACTCACACACACCCATACTTGCTCTCACACACCCATACTTACACACATGCATACTCACACACATGCCCATACACACATGCATACTCGCTCACACACACCCATACTCACACCCATACTCATTCATACACCTACACTCACTCACACACACTCACACCCACACTTACACCCACACTCATTGACACACACACTCACACCCACCCACCCACTAACACTTGCTCACACTCACCTATACTCACACACCCACACTCACCCATACTCACACCCACACTTGCTCACACACACCACCCACACTCACCCATATTCACACCCACACTTGCTCACACACACACTCACACACCCACACTCACACATGCTCACTCACACACACTCAGATCCACCCACACTCAATGACACACATCCGTACCCACTCACACATGCCATCACACACACCCACACTTACACCCCCACACTCATCCCTACTTGCTCACACACCCACACTCGCTCACACCCCCCCCACACTTGCTTACACACTCCTTCATACACACCTGCACTTGCTCAGCCCCCCACACACATTCACCCACACACCCACACTCACACACACCCTCAGTCGTCCACACATACCACACCCACTCTCACACACCCACACTCTCACCCATATTTGCTCACACACCTACACTTGCTCACACCCACCCACAATCACACACCCACACACACACCCCCACTCGCTCACACACACACTCACCCATGCTCACTCACACTCACACACCCACACACTCACACACATTCACTCACACACCCATACTTACACACCCGCATAGCTCACACACACCCATACTCACACACACACTTGCTAACACTCACCCAAACTCGTTCACACACCCTCACACACACACCCACAAACACACATACACACACTGTCACAACCACACTTGCTCACATACACTCCCACCTACCCACACCCACACTCGCACCCACTCATACACCCAGCCACACTTGCTCACATGCCCACACTCACACATTCACTCCCACACCCAGCCACACTTGCTCTCACACCCATGTTCACACACAATCACATGCTCCCACACACACCCATACACGCTCATGCACACCCACACTCACACACACCCACACTCAATCACACCCACACTTGCTCCCACCCACACTCACACACCCAGCCACACTTGTTCACATACCCACACACACACATTCACTCTCACACACACACACCCACAGTCACACACCCATACTCTCTCACATTCACCCACACTAACACACACCCACACTTACACACCCACACTCATGCTTGCACACTCACACCCATACTCATTCCACACATACTAACACACACCTACACTCACACACCCATACTCTCACAGTCACCCACACTAACACATACCCACTCTTGCTCATACACATGCCCACACTCATGCTCCCACACTCACACCCATACCCGCTCACACACACTCACTAACACACACCCACACACACACCCATACTCTCACACACCCACACTCACTCATACACACCCACACTCATGCTCCCACATTCGCTCACACACACCCATACTCGCTCACACACATGCTCACACACCCATACTCACACTCACCCACACTCATACCCACAGTCACACACACCCACACTTGCACACACCCACACTCACGCCCACCCACATTCATTCAAACCCACCCACATGCTCACACACCCAGCCATACTTGCTCTCATACACACACATGCACACTAGCACACCAACCCACACTTGCTCATACACATCTACACTCACACACCCCCACACTCACTCACATATCCGTACTCTCTCACACTCACCCGCACTAACACACACACACTTACACACCCACCTACACTCACACCCCCACACTCACACAGACCCATGCTCACTCACACACACCCATACTCACTCATAGCCACATTCACACACACCCACACTCACTCATACTCAGCCACATTCACACACACCCACACTCGCTCACACCCACACTCACACACACCCACATTCACACACCCACACTCGCTCACACACACCCACACTTGCTCACACACCCACACTCGCTCACACATGCTTGCTCTCATACACTCACACTCACACTCTCACTGGGGCCGTGTGCAGAGGCCAGTGAACCTCACATGCACAGCTTGGGGATGTGGAGGACACCAGAGTGCCCCAAGAAAACACACAGATATGGGGAGAAGGTGCAGACTCCACAGACAGGGGCACTGGTCAAGAATCCGTTTTTTCTCTCATCAATCTTACAGCAAAATGACGTTGAACTAAATGATGTTATTTGAAGACCTGCTGTATGCCACATTTTCTTTATCCATTCACCCATTCATGAACACTTAGGTTGTGAAGTGGAGTTTTCTAAGACCCTTCTCAGAGAGACTGAGACTTGTGTAACAGAGACCAGAAATGACAGTTCTTAAACAATGTAGGAGCCGCTTTCTCTCTCGTGTGAAAAAGTCTGGGCGTGTTGCCTAGGGCCAGCATAGTGGCTGCACAGCCATCAGGGAGCTGGGCTCCTTCACTCTTCCTGTCCACCACCCTTTGATGCATGGCTTCCATCACCAAGTTGCCTCCTGGTCCTGAAGGGCATCTGGAGCTCCTGCTATCACAGCTATGTTCCACCCAAAAAGCAGAAGAGGAGGTAGTGATCATAGGGCACATGTCAGCTGTCATTTTCTCAGGGTGTATGCCTCTGCATCCACCCAACATGTCTATCTGCTTATAGCCCACGGGCCACTATAAGCTTCAAGGAAGGCCAGGGACTGAGGCCTTTTCACTGGGCACATTAACTCCAGAATAAAACAGAAGCCTGTTACTAAGAAAGAAGGGAGGATAGATATCAGGTAGGTAACCAGCCACCTCCACCACAACCTAGACCAGCTGCTACCCAGCTCAGCTCAGCACATGGAGGCAGGATTTTCAGACAGGGGGATGGCTGGCCCTGTGTAGGGGACTGAATACTTGGTGACGTTAAATGTAAGGAAAAGATTCACCATGGCGGTAAGCTATGAATGCACATGGGTCTTCTGCACTGGACACTCACAGTAGCCCTGTGTACAACTGTGGACAAATAATCTGTGGCATACCCAGAAAGGAGAATGCAGCATTTAGTAGTGAGAGCATCTCCACTCACCGGCATGAAACATACATAGTGATCCCTGAGCAACCCCACTGCCTCCCTCCCCTCAATTCTATTCTTCAGTTGTCTTGATCTTCCCAAAGGTGGTTTAGAGACTCAGGTGGAGATGTCTGCTTGAAGAGGGAGGGAGGGGTCATCATTTTCAGGAGGCCCTGGGAAAAGAGAGTCAATGTGGAACCTGGTTGGCCTACCCCAACCCTGCAACAGAAAGAAGTCGACATTCAGCTAGAGTGGAATTGAGACTCTGTGTTTCTGGATCTGAGAAATGCTTCAAGTTACTCAGAGCCCAGGCATAAAAACTTGAGCAAACACAGATCCAAAGTATAATCTTCCCTTTGACAAGTCAACTCCCTGTTTCTACAGTGAAGTACTTGGAACTGGGTACACTTTTTCCTAAAAATGGTCTCTGGGGCTCTGATATCTGAGGAGTTCACTTGGGACTATTTAGCACAAATTTACAAGTAGTTTCAGTCAACTCCAATTTTAACAGATGTTTTAAAAAGTAATGCTTTTGATTTTGGATTATAAAAGTTTATTATAGTCAACAAGGCTTATGTGAGCAGAAGGACCGGGGTACTTTTGTGACACAAAATTTCTGGTATTATGTTAAAGGAATCAATTACATATTTTTATGAAGAATGATCATCAAAAATTTCTCAATGGAAAACTTCCTGGGTTACAAAGTAGAATAAAGGTTATTGCCCACTCATCACAAAATATTTTATTGTAGAATATTTAGAACATACAACAAGCAGGAAGAAAAAAGAAACAAACAAACAAAAATTACCCACAGTACCACAGCCCAGAGACAAGCATTGCTAAAATTTGGGTATATCTTAACTGACTCTTTTTCTTTATATGCATGTATATAATTTGCTTTTTAAAATAACTATATCTATTATGTACTGTTATTTACTCTTGGAATATTCTACATTTCTTCATGAGCATTTCCCCACATCCCTAACTCTTCCTCTGTCACACAGTGTGTCATGGCTGCATGCATACTATTTGGTTATTGGGATGAACCACAATTGCTCTCCCCAAACCCCTATTGTTGGACAATCATGATAAGCCCAGTTCTTTTCTATTGTAAACAATGCTGCCTTGACTGTCCTTAAACACAAATCCTGGTGACAGTATAGATTACTGCTTCAGGATACACTTCTAGGAGGAGAGTCACAGTCGAACACATGCACATTTCCAAGGCCTTTGACATGAATTGCCAAATTGCCAAGTTTTCCTTTAGAAAAGCCAGGCCAATTCTCATTCTGAGCATCAAAATAAAAGCAATATATAAATGAGAGTTACAATTTATCCCTCAGAAACATTTATGGAGCACCTACTGTGAGCCTGCCTCTGTCCTGAGTGGAAACACAGTCCCTGCCTTCAAGTCTACTCCAGAGAAGGAAAAGGGACATGGCATCAGCTACCACACAATGCAAACCATCCCATAATCGCTGGACAAAGGGACCAGGAAGCACAAAGAAAGGTGTTTGCCTGGAGAGGCAACAGCCCGGAGAGGACTCTGAAAAGATAAACTCAGTGGTCCTCTGCAAAGACTTTAAAACAGCCAAACAAGGCTATTAAATTATTTCACTGGCATAGCTGCTGGTATCTTGTCAGACTTTTCAAAAGTGGCAGTGAAAATAAGCCAGTTTAGAGGGATGAATACTGCATAATTCCACCTATATGAGGTATCTGTAAGAGTCAAACTCAGAAGCAGAGAATAAAATAGTGGCTGCCAGGGACTGGGGATGGGGAATGAGGAGTTGTTCAATGGGTCTAGAGGTTCAGTTATGCTAAATAAATATGCTCTAGAGAGCTGCTGCATGACACAGTGCCTATGGTTAGTTAACAGTGCTGTGTTGTGCACCTTAAAATTTGTTAAGACGGTAGACCTCATGTTAAATGTTTTTTTTTTTTTTTGAGATGAACTCTTGCTCTGTTGCCCAGGCTGGAGTGCATTGGCTCGATCTCTGCTCACTGCAACCTCCGCCTCCAGGGTTCAAGTGATTCTTCTGTCTCAGCCTCCTGAGTATCTGGGACTGTAGGTATGTGCCACCATGCCCGGCTAGTATTTTCGTATTTCTAGTAGAGACAGGGTTTCATCATGTTGGCCAGGCTGGTCTCAAACTCCTGGCCTCAAGAGATCCTCCCACCTGGGCCTCCCAAAGTGCTACAGGCATGAGCCACTGCGCCTGGCCTGTGTTAAATATTCTACACACACACACACACACACACATACACCCCAAAATAAGACAAAAAGATACAAGAAAACTTTGGGAGGTACTGGATATATGTGTTGCAACTCACCAAGGTTTACACATAAATGTATGAAGTTCTTTGTGTATCTATTGTGCCTTGACAAAGCTGTTTAAAACTGGCCTCAGCAGAGGCATTCTCCCTCGCTTGTGTCTGGGAGAAGACCCTGAGGGGCTCTGAGAGGATGTGATCGCTGTTCCCTTCTACCTCCCATACTGTTCCACGTGAACCATCCTAAGAATTGAATTTCTCATTTTCATCCCCATGGGGAGAGACTTTCCCTATTCCCTTGAGTGACAAAACTTCACAATCTGGACACTCTGCAAGAGTCTTTATGGCTAAGCTAATGCTAGCTGTAAATTCGCTGTAAAGGGACAGGGCCTGCCTCCACCACCAGACATTTTGGGGCCCAGAGCAAAAGGCCCACACAGCCTGAGCATTGTGAGCAGCTCTGTGCTGTGTGGCTAATCCGGGGGTTTGCTCAGGCTTTGGTTTTCCTGGAGCCAGGGACTGACCTTCTTTCAGTTACTGATCTGTTTAATCACCTGCTGATGAGAGAAGGGAAGGAGAAGGCCATGTGTCTTGACTGACGTCCAGCCGCTTGCCCTGGGATGTGGCTCGCAGGTGAATCCTTTCTGCTTCTTTTGGTTGTCCCAAGATCCACACGGAGGGAGCTGGATGTGGCTACAATAAATGCAAAATCAATCGAAACCAAAACAGAGAATGTCTTCAGGACCTAAGTGTGAGCTGAATGACCATAAGAAAGTCAAGAGGTCATGGATGGCTAATGAGCTGGAATCGTGTGGCTTGTTGCCCAGGACTTGTTGGATATCACTTTATCTTTATTTTTGTAGAGACAGGGGTCTCACTATGTTGCCCAGGCTGGTCTTGAACTCCTGGACTCAAGTGATCCTCCCACCTTGGCCTCTGGAAGTGCTGGGACTACAGGCGTGAGCCACTGTGCTGGGCCTGGACATCAGTCTGTAAAGGAGTCTGTGGCCAGTGCTGGATGGAGACGTGTTGTTGCTGACCTGTCTTCACTGGCACTGGACAGAGCTGAGTGGACTTAACCTACCATGTGTCAGACACTGGGTCCAGGAATATGAGGCAGGCACTGTGACAGTTCTCAAGCTCTGCCAGACAAGCTGAGTAATTTGTCTTGGGAGGCAGAGGAGGCAGGACTGGAACTCAGTGCTGTGTGTCTTCAAAGCCCATGCTCTTAAATAGCACATTGTAGGGGAACTAGGTCCTGGCTGAGACTCCCTGACTCTGTGAATTAGAAGGACCTCGAGGAGGTTTTTTAGGTTATGTGGACTGTGTTTTTAGTTACATGGGCTGCTTTGAGAGGCAGCATGGCACCAGGTGTGGGTTCTGAGGCCAAACCACTTTCAAGTAAGTCCTGAGTCTTGAGAGTGGCGGCACAGGGCCTGGATGCTGCCAGTGCTGGGGCAGCAGCCTGATGGTACAGTGTTTCTCTGGTGTGATTGTTCAGGGCACGGGTTGGGATTCACGCAGACCCACTGAGTGACCTGAGGCAAGTGTCTCCAAGCCTTGCTCCTCTGTAAAACAGGGGTAATAACAGAACTCCTACCTCATAGGGCTGTGTAGAGTATTCAATTAATTAATTCATAGAAAGTATTACGAACAAAGTCTGGTGCATTAATGCTACTCAACAGAACTCATCCTATGGAAATGTATGACTTCCTTGGCATTCTACTTCTTGGACAGCCTTAAAATTCTTCCTTCTGCTTGACGAAAACCTCCAGGTTGAGTCTGTAAGGTCCTTCTGGCTTGGAGAGGACTGGAGATGTGGAGAGAGGGAGGCTACTGGAACCTGGGCCTCCAGAATGTGGGCCCCAGAGCCATGCCCCAGGCCAGCAGGAGCACAGGTGGGGACTTAACTCCCCCAGAGCTGTGGAAGCATCTGTGAAACTTCTCAGTCACTCCCAACAAGCGTTTACCTTGCTGCCTCCTCAAGCCCAGCCAAGCTGAGACTCAAGGGGTCTTTCTGCTTTTCCATCTTTGAGGTCTGACCTTTGCAGACCTGTGATGAGCTGGGTACTGACCTTAACCCCTACTGTGCTCTAAGCTTCACTGTTTTCATTAGAAATTCACTCTGTTGCTAATAATAATAATACTAATTTTAAAAATAACAATTCATTACTGATAGCAACTAACCTCTATGGAGGATGTGCTCCGAGTTGGACCCTGTCCTAAGCAGTCTACGTGTCCTAATTTAACCCTCGAAGAAACACTACTAATGGTATTGTAACTCCATTTTCCAGATGAGGAAACAGGTTCAGAGAGGGAACTTGCTCAAGACCACAGATGGATTCAAACCCAAGTCCATCTCAGCCCCCATATTTACTTGTTTGGGGTTAAGACCTCAAATAGTTCAAGAATATGGTGACACTCAATGTGGAGAGTAAAGGGCTCAGTCAGGAAGCAGTCAAGTTCATGCTATTTGTTCTAAAATTAAGGATGCTTTTTTGGACACCAGAGTTCAAGGCCCCAGGTTAGATTTGTTGAGCTTGCAAGGGCCTCTAACAAATACCAAGATGGCTGTTGAGTAAATGCCAGGATCAAGCTGAGGCCCAGACATCCTCCAGCAAGTCAGCCAGGCACCTGAGACTGCAGTGCCCAGAGTCAGAGATGGGTCAGACAGACTATGACCCGGGGCTGGGAAGGCCAAAGCATGTACCATCCTCACCTCACTCAGGAAGAGACCCCAGAGTCCAGATAGGCCAGGCCCCTCCCATACCTTCCAGCCCCCCGCCACAAGATTCTATAGAAAAGGGCCTTTCAAGACATTTGCTCCATTTCTGTAGTTTACAGACCTTGTGACCCAAGAAAAGGAAGGTACGTAGCATTACCTTGAAAGAACCAGGGCCCACATTTATTGAGTGCTTTCTGTATACAAGACCCTGTCCTCATCCTATACCTATTTTATCCCTGCTACAGCCCTAGGAGGTTTTTGTTTGTTTGTTTGTTTATTTGTTTGTTTTTCTCAGAACTTGAGGTTCTGACTTCCAGATCACAATCACTCAATTGCACCTCTGTGTCTCCTAGTAGCCACAGCTCAAGGGTGTTGGCCACTCTCCTCTCAGAGGAGCCTAGCTGAGCCTCATTCCATAGCCACCAGAGGAAGCTGCCCGTTGCACCTTTTAGCCTCAGCTTGGCCACCTCTGTGAGCCATGCTTCCTCGCTTTCAGTGCCTCCAACAGGCCAAGTTTTCTTCCTCAGAGCCTTTGTACGTGTGGCTCTCTCCCTTGGGAATGGTCTCGCTGTCCCATGGCTTCCGCCTTGGCCAGTCCAGCACTACTCATCCTCATGTTTCAGATTAAATATCTTGTGCTCAGAGAAATCTCTTCTAAGTCTCACCTTATCTTTAAATGAGATATCTTCAGTTATTCCTTTTTGTTCCACTTAATTTTGTTTCCTTTGTAGTACATATTCCAATTTGTTAATCAGGCCTATTTGCATAACTCCTGTTTTCTGCTGGACCATGAGGTCATTGAGGGTGGGATGGCGCCTACTTAGCTCACCATAGAATGTCCTTGACCCAGCACTGCATTAGGCACAGAGCTCACTTGACGTCTGTTGAATAAACGATGGGCAGTCGGAAGGAGCAGAAGAATGTTTACTTAAAAGTCTTTATCTCCACCACAAGTTTCTGGAGTACAGGCTTAAATAGAAAGGTTATGGGAGAAATCTGCTGAACTTTCTAAAAAAATGATCAAAGTAGGTAGAAATCAAAATCAGATTTGGGGGTCTAAGTGGTGCATTGACTCAGAGCTGTCAGAGGCTATCAGGGATGCAGAAGCTGATGTCCAAAGAGTGTGAGTGACAGTTCAATGAGAAACGGCAAGCTGGGCTGCCCCAAAGTTTGTTTGTCTTGTGGAAAAGAAAGTTGCACTACTGAGTTGTCTTCATTGGTAGAAAAACCCAGTTCACAAAGAGCAAGATTTGAAGAGCAGGGCACACCACGCTTCTGTTGGGTGAAGGGAAAGTCCTAGAAGTTTACACATGGATACAGCTACGCTGGACCATCAGGGAGTTGGTTGAGAGCTCCTGTGCAATAGAGAGCTGTTTAGAGCAGCCATTAGCTCTGTTATGAACCTCATTTATGATTTTATTTACTTAACAATTCGGTCTTCCGTGTCATGAATTTTTGAGAGAGACATTCAATTAGGAATTATGACTGCAATTTAAAAAAATATATTGCCTCCCTTCTAGGTGGGTGCCAGCTTTCTTTTATGGATGTGCCTGGATGCATTCCAGAACATTTGGAAGAAACAAATTTTAGCACTTTTTCTCCATTTCTCCCTCAAAGCCTGGGACTCCTGCCAGTTAGAAAAACCTTCCTGTGTCCCCTCAATACTAGGTATGGTGTTACATTGGCAGCAGGCAGAGAGGGCAGCTGGCACCCTGGTGATGTATCTCAACTGGTTCCTCTGGACAGATCTTCCCTAAAATCCCACCATCTCAAGTGCTTCCTCAGACCCCACACAGGCACGGGAGTTTCCCCTTTAATGGGTCTTTCTCCCAGCTACTTTCATTCTAATCTTCACTCCTAATGCTTCCCCTCTCATGAGACCCCCAAAATTCATCCTAAGCTTGGGACAGACATACTCACAACTCCTCCACAAACCACAATTTTCCATCTAGACTGTGCTCCAATAGTGTTCCTTGGTTATAAGCAATGGGAATGCACTCTGTCAAACAAGCAGGAAAACTGATTAGTGGCTCATATAATCACTGAAAGGCCGAAAGAACTAAGGAAGGAAAGGACAAAGATGGCAGGAAAGCTGAACCATCTCCCCAGTCAAGACAAATGAACTCCAACCATAATTGCTCTTTGCATCCCTCAGCTCAGGATGGAAGCTCAAAGGGAGAACAGCATTTGGCTTAGCCTGGTAGGTGAGCCCAGTGCACTTTGATTGATGATCTCACCAGATTGTGTGTGTCCAGTGGGAAAAGTGGTCCCCCCTAAACAAAACAAAGTGCCATTGTCCAAAGAAGGTGAAAAACAATCCAAGCAGGCAGACAAAGGCTAACAGAAATCCACTAAAATTGGGAGGAGTCTAGATACCATGGCACCCCAGGAATGGTTAAAGGAGTTGAGGCTTTTTAGCCTGGAAATAAGAACACCTATACTGGGATCTTTAAATTCTTGAAGAGCTGCTATTTACACATATTGCTAATTCCTTACAACAATGTAAGGTAGATAGAGTTATTATCCCCATTTTAGTGATTAGAACACTGAAAATCAGAAAGATTGAGCAGTTTGTACAAAGTCACAGTGCAAGAGGCAAAGCTGGTTCAAGCCCAGATTTGTTTGACTCTCAAACCCATGCTGAAAGCAGCATTTTTCTTCTTGACTGTTAAACGTAGAATTAAGAGCAGTGAATAGAATGGGTGGAAAAGCCAGGCAGGACTTGTTTTCACATTATGGAGAACTTTTTTTTTTAAATAGAGCTATCTAGCAGTGTTCTTTAGAAACAGTGCCATCCCTGGGATGAGCAATTGCTATTTTTATTTCATTGCCCTTATTTACCCTTTCTTTTGCTAATAAGGGGCCCATTTTGCTTTTCAGACAACTTCAGGAATCCCCCTGGCTGGAAACACACTGATGACTGAAACAGATATTTTAGATCTAGCAGAGAATTTGTCTGGGATACTGTGGAGAGGTTTCTTGAATAAGGGAGAAGCAGAGAGAGATGAATTCCAGGGTCTTATTCAACCCTTGGATTCAAGGAGTCTATGAATGCTAAAAAGGTGATAGTAGTAAGAGGCAGAGAGCATTCTACTTTGCTTTACTTCTGATGATCACCAAAACCTTATGTGCATACATGGCACGTGTGTGTGTGTGTGTGTGTGTGTGTGTGTGTGTGTGTGTGTGTGTGTTGGTGGGTAAATGTGGCTGGCTCAGGGCCTCCGTTTCTGAGATAGTCTGTCCTTGGCCACAGGTCCCTCCCTATCCCTGTTTGTACTATGTCAGGATCCTGCTCTTTTCTGCCCAATTTTTGGTCACAGCTTATTAGGCTGGGATAGACCTGACCCAGTGTACCCATCCGTTGTCTTCACTGAGCCAATCAACTTCTCTTTATCTTGAATTTAAAGAAAAATAAACTGTATTCAGGGTTTCAACCTGGTGGCCCATAGGTATACAGATGTACTTGCCTGCTTGCTGACTTTTCTTTTTAAATTAAACTTGAATACATTTGTTGGGGCATGTATTCTCCAGTTTGGCATGGTCCCTGCCCACTCTTATTGTATCACTCAATGCCTGGTTCAGAGGTTTATATTATCTGTTTGGTTCCTGTGGGCATTTGAATTTTCATCCCTCCTGGAGTTTACAATAGCTAGTATTTTTAAGCATTTCCTTGCCAGGCCTACTTCTGAGTGTTTTTCATGAATCAACTCATTGGATACTCACATTAGCTTTATGAGACAGAAACAATTATCATTCCAATTTTACAGAGGAGGAAACTGAGGCATACTGTGTCCAAGATGACACAGATAGTAAGTGACAAAGTGGGAATCTGAACCCCATTCTCCTAACTCCAAGTTTATATTGTCTTGATTATGGTGGTGCAAGACTTAAAGTAAAAAGCAAGCCAAGCCGTCTCATAGCTGACATTTTGGAAGACCAGAGAGGTCACGTGTCAGCAGAAAAAGGCAGATTGCATTTTCTCCAACCAGGGGATGGAGCAGATGTTCCAGAAGAGAGGAGTGATGAGCAGCACCATAAAAAACAGAGATGCAGTCTTGGATGCTGGCTGTCCAGACCCAGACAACATGTGGCCTGAGTGTCCTTGGTTTCCTGTCCTTGGCCGATCACACCTTTTTGAAATCTCTGTTATCTGAGCTGGTTTGAATGAGCCTCTGTTTCTCACCTCTGTTTTCCTGCCCATGACTGCTCCATGAGGCACACCTCCTCCCGGGGACAGTCCACAGAGTCTGCTCTCCACTCAAGGCTGGGACAGCCCAACCAGGGGGTGGGGAGTGCGGCACCCCCAGAACCCTGGACACTCCTCAGGAGAGGACTGCAGGATGTTTTAAGTATCCTTGACTTTGAAAAAGCTCTCAAAATATCCTGTTTGGGCATGACATTTTTGCTTGCTGAAAATGTATGCATGCTTATTGTGCTTTTAGAAAATCAAGGCTTGGCTTACTTCAGCCCACACCCTTAGTAGCAAAAGCATGGCCAGCTGAACCCCACACACCCCAGATAGAGCAAGCTCCCAGGTTGTTTTCTGGGGATCAGGCTCTCTCCAGACAGCCATGAAGTCCTTCTTAGGGTGCTGCAGGCTTGTTCCTGCTGCTCGCCAATCCCAGGCTGCTGGAGAGCATGGCCATCAACTTCTTTCCAGGACATTTTGTTCAAAAGAAAAAAATGCTCTGAGCCTCTCACAACACGAGCCTCTGACCTGTGACAGAAGATCCTCTGGGGCTGGAAGGAGGGTGGCTTCCATGACACAGAAAGGCAGAGGAAACCAATTTCTCACTCCTCAGCAGGAGGGCTCCAAGGTCATCCTCCTACCTCCAAGGTTAAAGGGACACAGGGAACCTGGGAGACTTGCCTAGGCTTGCAGTCATTACCATTCAGAAATGTCCATTAGCGTGCAGATCAATAAAGAAGACAGGAGGCCACCTTTTGCAAGGACAATTCTGTGGCCCGTTCAAGTGGACCAGAACAGGTTCAGCCTTCCCAAGCCAAACCCAAGGGTGCTGACACTGGAGCGATTTCTCTTACCAGCCCTTACCTGAGATGAATTTCTCAAGGGAGGGTGCTTGTGTGGGGTGAGGAAGGCACACTGATGTGGGGAATTCAGGGAGGCTCCTAAAGTAGCTGGCTCAGAATGGCAGCTTCTGACAGGAAGAAAACAGGCCCCATGCCAAGCTCTTACCCACATCGTCTCTCTAAATCTTCATTATAGTCCAAAGACATAGACTGTTGTTACCCCATCTGACAGAGGAGGAAACCGAAGCTCAGGAAGGCTGGTTTATTGCCCCAGGGATTGAGCTGGGACTTGAGGTGGTGATTCCGACCTCAGAGAGATGGAGGCTGATCACGATGCCTCCTACCCGCAGTCTTTGCTCTGGAGGGGTTTTTACAACTCAATTTTCTACCCCCTACCTATCCCCTGCCCCGGTTTGCCAAATCCCTTTCTCTGTGGCTCTTCTCTTCTTTCTCCCCTCCTGGCTGTACCCCTAGCAGTCCTCACTGTTTCCTGTCACCTGCCTCTCACCTCTCTGCACACTTCCTGTGTTACGGAGTGCCCTGCCGAGAGACCGGGATATGATAGCTCAGACCCTCCACTCTATTTCATCACATCCACCCTCTCCTATCTGAATCGTTGACCTTATTTCTCCCTCCTCTACTTCTCCCTCCCCATCTATTTGTAACCTCTGAATAGAGTTCTGGATTTTTTACTCATCCATTCATTTCCTTATGCATTCATTTAGTTGAATAAAGTTTGAGTATTTTTATGGATCTGGGGCCCTGTTCTACGTCTTGGGGATACAACGGCCAGTAAACCACAGAAGATCCCTGCTTGCTTAAGTTCAAGTTTGGGAGACAGATCACAGACAAAAGTACAAATTAACAAAGAAGATAAATAAGCAAGATTGTAACAAGTGTCTTAAAGGACATACTCAGTATGAGCAAATGAGGAGGAACCGGGGAGGGGCGACCTCAGATGGGATGACTGGGTATCATCTTCCTGTGGGCTAAGTGGCCCCCATTGACCCACTGATGAGACTCATGCAGGGGGTTAGTAACCCTTCGTCATCCTTTAGTGTAGGTTCTCCAGGTGTCTGTCCCCTACTGACACTTCTTCCTTCCCCAGGTCAGTTGGGAGTTCTTAGGAGGGGAGGGAATTAGCAGCCAGACTTAATAAAACCTAGTGGAGGAGGAAAGTCTGTGAATTTAACTCCCGTTCGGGCCCTGGAAGGAGTGTCTATTCACTCTTCCCCTCCCATGGGGTTGTTCTTTCCAGCTGCTGGAGAGGTGGTTCAGTCACCCACCTGCAAGATTACTTGTCAGTGGAGCAGAAGGTCAGCCTCAAACTCTCTTTTGTCACCTGTCCAAGTTAACCTGAGGCTTCCCATTCCCTTGGTTTTCACCTTTGCATTTCTAGGCACCATTTTATAACTGTCTCCATTGACCTTCTGCTAGGATATGTTTGTAAGACATTTCATTTATCCTCTGGGGTTTCTGGGAACCTGAAGAGTTTGAGAGTGGCTCTGTCATGTGGGGAGGTTTTCTTTTCTCTGGGAACCATACCCACCTTCCACAGAATGTTCCTCACTCTGAAAGTCTAGGTAAATAGTTGCTGTAACTTCCTACCCCTGTTAGGATAATTGGACTAATGTTGCCCATTAGTGCTATCCTCAGGGGCCTGAACCCATGAAGTCATCAACTAAAAACATCCATTCACCTGCAAAAGCCCAAACTGCTTTCAAACGAAGTCAATTTTTTTCTCTTTATAGATTTATGAACCGAGCCAAGGTAATTTTCTTTTTTATAACATCAGCAAAAGACCTTAATGCCCGCTGAGCTAGTTTGAACTTATAATGAACTTAAAAATTGTCTGCAGCTTTTGAACCAGCTCCTCAAAATAATCTCTGAAATAAGCCTAAACAACCATTGCTGCTGGGCCATTCAAGCTGGTTCACTGGTGCCGCTCTGGCCTGTTGCGGAGGGAGTAATCCTGTGAAATTTGAAAGGACTTCTTTGCAAGGCCTCCCAAGGTGTGGCAAGGTGCTGAATTGACACACACCAATCCTAAACTGGTTCTCACCAGGGAACATCAGAGGTCAGAGAGCTGTGGACACCCGTGTGTCATATCTTCCTCATGTTAGAGTTTGGTGGAGGGTGGGGGCAGATAGAGGACCAGAGGTGGTGGGACAATCCAATTTCTGTACCTAAGATGTGTGCATTTGTCTCCCCCCATCCCAGGGAACTGCATCTTGCAGCACATCAGAATCATCTGGGAGCAGGAGAACCCTTCTGACCATGAAAGCAATTTATTTCCCAGAACCAATCCAGAAGAGGCCACTTCTACTGATCCTGACCAAGTCAAGAGCTGGGCTTG
This sequence comes from Homo sapiens, assembly GCF_000001405.40. Taxonomy (NCBI): domain Eukaryota; kingdom Metazoa; phylum Chordata; class Mammalia; order Primates; family Hominidae; genus Homo; species Homo sapiens. The sequence continues at coordinate 48,946,306 of NC_000016.10, forward strand.
TGGTGGGCTGAACTGTGTCTTTTCAGCCCAGAGCTGGTCAGAGTAAGCCTAGGCTGCCTAGACCTTGCCATCCCCAAACCCAAATTTCATTTCCCTAGCTATAAAGTGCAGGACCTATTCAACTTATTTTAGCTGCTGTACAATTCTTTAATTTCAAGGAAAGGACAGGAAAGCTATGTGAGTTCAGAGCCATTACCCCATTCACCTGGCATTTCCAGTGCCTACACAGTGCCTGGCACATAGCAGCACACTATAAAGATTTGCTGGTTATGAGTAAATGAATGAATGAATCAATGAACAAGCAAACAATACATGCATAGGAATAGAAATTCCCCAGACATGAAAAAACTTGGGCCAGCCTCTCTCCCATTCTTTGCAGGGTTCTGCTACAGGTATGTAATTGTTTATTGAGAGAGATGCAGGGCTAATACTGCTTAGAGTCCAATTCTGATTCCCCTATATTCTATTTGTTTGATTTTGATAAGTTCTTGGATATGCATGAGCTTCAGTTGCTGCATGTGTAAAATGGGATAATAATAGTTCCTATATCACAGCGCATGAAAAAACACTTGGCATACTGCCTGACACACGATAGACGCTTGAATGTTATCTATGCTCAGTATTCATAGAAAGGGTTTGTTTTCCTGTATGTGTATCTGTATCATCCATATCTATTTTTAGTTATTGACCAGTCATAAAGCTCAGGGTTAAGCAATTGCTGTGTTTATCAAACAAATATCTACAGACCATCTCTGGCTCCCTTTAGAACTCTATTTGCCCAACTTATTTTCAGCTCTGAAAGAGTTACAGTCCACGTTTTAAGTGTTACATTAACACTTTCTTTTTGGTTACCAGAGTTACAGCTTATCAACAGCTCTCTTAAATTTTCCATGCCTGTTTTCTATCACTTGTCTCCCGGAACCATCCACTTGGCAAAGCTCTCGGCTCCCTCTCTCTCTGTATTTCTCCCCTCTCCATCATCTGATGTTGTGTCTGTCTCCTCTGTTGTTTTCTGTTCTTCCCAGGTTCTCCTACCTCTTTGGCAGAAATAGCAAATGGTTTTCATCTCATGCATCAGCTCAGATAGCCTGGAGAGCTACATTGAGACTTCTCAGGCCACATCTAGGGTCGGTGAGAAAGAGCATCATGATTGATTAGCAATGTCTGCCACTGTCACGAGAGGGAAGGTAGGGTTGTGTGTAGTAGCCATTTGCCATCCTTATTTGGGCAAAAGAAACACTGTGACTCGTCATTTTACAGCTTTACTACAAATCTTAGCAGAAGATCAAACACTGGCTGAAATACAAAGTTAAATCATCTGATACAGTGTACCACAATTTGGACAGGTGCTAAAAAATGATTTCTTCTAATCTCTCTCTCATAGCCAGAGGGAACATCTATATCCCTCTGTCTTTGGGAAGCTGGGCATCCTCGGTGAAGAATGTTCTTCCTTCTTTCTAGAAAGCACAAGCTACAACAGAAAGATTGTTCCAGCCCTAATAGTAAACCTGCTAAGAAAATTCAGGGATCAGTTTGGGTAGGAAAGAAGCCAGGCTAAGTGAAGGTGAGTGTGGCCTGTGTGGTAAGGCTGACATCCACTGACCTAAGGCCAGTCCTGACACCTGCTTGCTCGCCTCCTAAGAACCCTGAATAAGGCCACCTGATCTTAGCCCCTTTTGTCTCCTTGTTTCAAGAGGAGGTACCTGGGTCAGGGTTAACTTGTGAACAGAGGGCTTAGAAGTGTCCATGGCAGGGTGTTAATGCTTGTATTACATTTGCTCGGCATCTTGCCTGTGCTAAGCCAGGGGCTCATGTCAGATTCAGGAACTGCCTCCTTCTTCTGCTCCCATGCTTAGAAGAGACACAGATTAAGCCCTTGCCATGTTTCTATATCCTGCCCCGGCCCATGCTCCCATGCCCAAACCTCAAGGTTCTCTTGCTCAGAAAACTCTCCTCTGTGCAGAGCCACAGAGCCAGCAAGTCCACCTCTGTGCTCGGCCAGACAGCCCTTGTTCCAAGCCACCACCCTGAGCCCTGCCTGTCAATAGTTACAACCTTGTTGATGATGGCAGCTGCCGCGAGTGTCCTTTATAGTCTGTTAGACCTTGGGCAAGCTTCTCAACCTCTCTGTGCTCAGTTTCCTCATCTAGAAGGTAGAGATTATACTAACAGTACATACTTTGTAAGCTTGTTTTAAAGACTAGAGGAGTTGGCCAGGTGCGGTGGCTCACGCCTGTAATCTCAGCACTTTGGGAGACTAAGGCAGGTGGAACACGAGGCCAGGAGTTCGAGACCAGCCTGGCCAATATGGTGAAACCCTGTCTCTACTAAAAATAGAAAAAATTAGCCAGGCGTGGTGGTAGGCACCTGTAATCCCAGCTACTCAGGAGGCTAAGGCAGGAGAATCACTTGAACCCGGGAGGGGATGTTGCAGTGAGCCAAGATTGCACCATTGCACTCCAGCCTGGGCAACAGAGTGAGACTCCGTCTCAAAAACAAAGAAACCAAAAAAAAAAAAAAAAAAAGACTAGAAGAGTTTGAAGAGTTAACATAGGTAAAACTCTCGAAACAGTGCTTAGGGCATGGTAAATGGTGAAAATGTTAACCATTGTTATTAAAAGTGTTTCCCAAATCTTGTCCTATTTGATCCCCACAATACTGTGAGGTCAGCTAGGGCCACGGGGTTAGAACCCTTATTCTAGAAGGAAACAGAAGTTCAGGAGAGCTAAGCTGGAAGGGCTAAGTTGGGCTGGAGCCAAGTTCTTTTGACTCCATGTCCAGGATTCTTGTGTGATGCCACCTGTGAGTTTTAGTATTTGACCTCAGACCACACTGGTGCCTGATATTGTTTTCCTTTATAATTGTTTACAAAAGAGGATTTTATAAACCGTCTGAAATCCTCAGTCTCGAAGTCAGCCTGGAATAGGCATTTTTATATGTAAGTATGTCAAGTATACACCTTGGTATTACAATTAGTGATTTAGCATCCTTGGGAGAGAAGATATGTAAAGGCATTTCATTTTTTTTTTTTTTTTTTTTTGAGACAGAGTCTTGCTCTGTCACCCAGGGCTGGAGTGCAATGGTACAATCTCGGCTCACTGCAACCTCTACCTCCCAGGTTCAAGTGATTCTCCTGCCTCAGCATCCCAAGTAGCTGGGATTACAGGTGCCCACCACCATGCCCAGCTAATTTTTGTAGTTTTAGTAGAGACAGGGTTTCACCATGTTGGCCAGGCTGATCTCGAACTCCTGACCTCAGGTAATCTGCCCGCCTTGGCCTCCCAAAGTGCTGAGATTACAGGTGTGGGCCACCACGCCTGGCTGGCATTTCATCTTTTATCTTTTCTGTCTGTAGTGGACTGCTGTCATTTTACTGGTTTCAAGACGATTTAACTTCTTTTGCAATATCACCCGAATTTCCTCTCAGGGAATGCCCATACAGGGTAAGTGGTGGGGCTCTCAGTTTTACTCTTCTTGTTTTCAAGTGGCTAGGCCTCTGTCAGACCAGTCCCCCAGCCTCTCCCCTGCCCTCCATTCCTCCCCAGGGAGAGGGAGTGACTCATCTGTTTGGTGCTTTTGAGGGAAGAAACTGGGCATGATCTGCTCAGCTTCTTCTGCCTCCTTCTCTCTTGGGGTATACACATTCCTTTGTCTTCTAAGCTATAATTTTACAAGGCCAGGGCCCTAAAGGGGAGACCTGCAGTTATCCAGTTCTGCCTGTGATGGGCTGTCTGTTCCTGAGATTTTAATACTTAGACGCTCTTTGCAGCCAAACAATGAAACTACATTCTCCAAACCTGTGATATTTTGCACCCCATATGCCTAACCCTGTGTCTATCCTCTTTTAATTGTTCTCAATTCAGGCAGGGAAAAGAAGGAGGTCATTTATTAGCCCCTCATACTCTGACCCCCTCCCTAGCTCTCAGTCCCTAGGATTTACCTGGGGCTGGCCCCACCTACCCAAGCCTGGGTCTGTCATATAATCAGGTCATGCCAATCAGCACATTTCCATCCTTTTGGTCATAGTAATTAGTTCATACTTGGGCACACAATCCAGGTTGACTCAATGAGATGCTATCCTTGAGAGTTATTGGATTATTTTGAGAAAAGTTATGATTTCTGCTGGGATGACTCAGAGAATATAAACCGAGACTTACTGAGCTTCTTCCCGCCATAGAAGAAGAGCCTGCTTGAATAGAGTTGACAGAGCAGAAAGCACAGCACAACTTGCTGATTGGACCCCCATCCCATCTTGCCCTTGATATTGGCCAATATTTACCATACGCGTCAGCTTCCACTGATCTTTCTGTGGCCCTAGGTGTCCTACAGGGTCAAGTTACCCTATTGGATAAATAAAGGCTGACCGAGCCTGGTCTATTGAATGGACGTGTTCATTTGTGTAATAATTAATCACAGGACTTAATGTGCTTGGCAACTGTTACCTTCAGCACATTCTACATGATTCCATAGCTAATCACCATTTTTGTTATTCTCTCAAAACCCATGAGAAAGATGCCCACACCACTCCCTAATTCCCTCTGCACTTAACCAGAAGAGAGAGAGATGATGATCATCATTGCCATCGACATCTTTCTTTTGCTTTTCTTTCTATTTTAAAGTCATGTCAGATAAATGGCTAAATGTAAACCTAAAGACAGGTGGAGGGAAGTGTTCACATTCGTGTGTGAACTAAAACTAACATAAGCTTCTTGTCAGGACAAGTTTCAGAAGGGGCTAAATGGATGTTAATCCAATTCTCCAGATAAGAAACTGAAGCTGCTCCCCCTCCCCCTCCCCCTCCCCCTCTCCCTCTCCCTCTCCCCTGTTTCCACGGTCTCCCTCTCATGCTGAGCCGAGGCTGGACTGTGCTGCTGCCATCTCGGCTCGCTGCAGCCTCCCTGCCTGATTCTCCTGACTCAGCCTGCCCAGTGCCTGCGATTGCAGGCTCGCGCCGCCACGCCTGACTGGTTTTGGTGGAGACGGGGTTTCACTGTGTTGGCCAGGCCGGTCTCCAGCCCCTAACCGCAAGTGATCCGCCAGCCTCGGCCTCCCGAGGTGCCGGGATTGCAGACGGAGTCTCGTTCACTCAGTGCTCAATGGTGCCCAGGCTGGAGTGCAGTGGCGTGATCTCGGCTCGCTACAACCTCCACCTCCCAGCCGCCTGCCTTGGCCTCCCAAAGTGCCGAGATTGCAGCCTCTGCCCGGCCGCCACCCCGTCTGGGAAGTGAGGAGCGTCTCTGCCTGGCCGCCCATCATCTGGGATGTGAGGAGCCCCTCTGCCTGGCTGCCCAGTCTGGAAAGTGAGGAGCGTCTCCGCCCGGCTGCCATCCCACCTAGGAAGTGAGGAACACCTCTTCCCGGCCGCCATCACATCTAGGAAGTGAGGAGCGTCTCTGCCCGGCCGCCCATCGTCCGAGATGTGGGGAGCGCCTCTGCCCTGCCGCCCCGTCTGGGATGTGAGGAGCACCTCTGCCCGGCCCCGACCCCGTCTGGGACGTGAGGAGCATCTCTGCCCGGCCGCCCCGTCTGAGAAGTGAGGAGCCCCTCCGCCCGGCAGCCGCCCTGTCTGAGAAGTGAGGAGCCTCTCCGCCTGGCAGCCACCCCGTCCGGGAGGGAGGTGGGGGGGGGTCAGGCCCCGCCAGGCCAGCCGCCCCATCCGGGAGGGAGGTAGGGGGGTCAACCCCCGCCAGGCCAGCCGCCCCGTCCGGGAGGGAGGTGGGGGGGTCAGCCCCCCGCCCGGCCAGCCGCCCCGTCCGGGAGGGAGGTTGGGGGGTCAGCCCCCCGCCCGGCCAGCCGCCCCGTCCGGGAGGGAGGTGGGGGGGTCAGCCCCCCGCCCGGCCAGCCGCCCCGTCCGGGAGGTGAGGGGCGTCTCTGCCTGGCCGCCCCTACTGGGAAGTGAGGAGCCCCTCTGCCCGGCCACCACCCCTTCTGGGAGGTGTGCCCAGCAGCTCATTGAGAGCGGGCCAGGATGACAGTGGCGGCTTTGTGGAATGGAGAGGCGGGAGGGGTGGGGAAGGGATTGAGAAATCGGATGGTTGCCATGTCTGTGTAGAAAGAAGTAGACATGGGAGACTTTTCATTTTGTTCTGTACTAAGAAAACTTCTTCTGCCTTGGGATCCTGTTGATCTGTGACCTTACCCCCAGCCCTGTGCTCTCTGAAACATGTGCTGTGTCCACTCAGGGTTAAATGGATTAAGGGCGGTGCAAGATGTGCTTTGTTAACAGATGCTTGAAGGCAGCATGCTCGTTAAGAGTCATCACCACTCCCTAATCTCAAGTACCCAGGGACACAAACACTGCGGAAGGCCGCAGGGTCCTCTGCCTAGGAAAACCGGAGACCTTTGTTCACTTGTTTATCTGCTGACCTTCCCTCCACTATTGTCCTATGACCCTGCCAAGTCCCCCTCTGTGAGAAACACCCAAGAATTATCAATAAAAAATAAAAAAATTAAAAAAAAAAAAAAAAGAAACTGAAGCTAAGAGAAGTGAAATAACTTGTGCAGCACTCACACCTGCCTGACTCCAAAGCCCAGGCTCTAGGTCATTGTGCCACCCACTTCTCTTCATAGACAGACTCTTAGTGCCCAGTGGGTAAAGATTGATTTGCTCCTCTCCAGCTGCTAAAGTCCACTTTACCATGGGCTGTGCTGGCTGGGAAGAAATCCTCTGTCCTCTGCAACTCAGAGCCTTGCCTGTCTGCACCGCTTCTTGGGTTCACTACAAGGCATATATTGTCACATAGAGAGGTATTTTTTCCATCTTCACTCCAAACAGGTTGTGATAATATTGCTCAGAAGATCAGGTTGGTAGGAATGAAATCAAGACAGACTCAGTTCCAATCCTAAATGGGATTACGAAGGTGGTGATCTAGACCCTTTCTTTTACTGCTGGTTGGTGAGAAAAGCTATGACACCTGCTGGGTATGAGCCCCCCTGACCCTCACCCACCCCCACTAGCCTTACACACTGTGCCTGGAAGTGTGAAATGATGAAACCTTTTCTGGGGAGGTGGATGAAGCAATTTGATGTTATACAGCAAGCATAAATCTGCATATATGGTGCATTGGTTTTCCAGGGCCGCCCTAATAAAGTACCACAAACCAAGTGGTTTAAACAACGTAAATTAGTGGTCTCACAGTTCTGGAAGCTAGAAGTCCAAGATCAAGGTGTCAGTGGGGTTACTTTTTCTGAGAATGTGAGGGATACTCTGTTCCATACCTATGCTGTAACTTCTGGTGGTTTGCTGGTCATCTTTGGCATTTCTTGGCTTACAAAATCATTATCTCAATCTCTGCCCTTAATTTCATATGGCATTCTCTCTGTGGGTATGCCTGTGTCCAAGGACAATAGTTATATTGGAACAAGGCCCACCCTAATGACCTCATCTTAGCTAATTACATTTGCAATGACCCTATTTCCAAATAAATTTATATCCTGAAGTGCTAGAGGTTAGGACATATAATTTTGGGTAGACACAATTTAATCCATAACACCTGGGAATTTTGCCCCTGGAAATTTAGCCTGGTTATCTATTTGCATGTGTTCACAAAGAGATATTTTATAAGGTGATTTGGCAAAAGCAAAATTGGAATCCTATGTGTTAAAAAAGAAAGTACACCCACGTGTACTACCATGAAAACACTTCTAGGGCATATCATTAAATAAAGAAACATCTCATAAAAGGTGATGTGATCTTAAAACAGAACAAAACTCCTATCTTTGTAAGTGTGCACAGGTGATCAGAAGAACAGACAAGCCAAACAGTTGACAGCAGCAAGTCCTGGTGAGAAGAGAGAGAGTAGAGGATTGTTAAAGTGCCATTTGAAGTTTTCTGGAATATTCTGGTGATTTGAATTTTTTAAAGTTATACTTTAAGTTCTGGGATACATGTGCAGAACGTGCAGATTTGTTACACAGGTATACACATGCCATGGTGGTTTGCTGCACCCATCAACCCGTCATCTACATTAGGTTCTCCTAATGCTATTCCTCCCTTAGGCCCCCCCACCCCACAACAGGCCCCAGTGTGTGATGTTTCCCTCCCTGTGTTCCATGTGTTCTCATTGTTCAACTTCCACTTATGAGTGAGAACATGTGATGTTTGGTTTTCTGTTCCTGTGTTAGTTTGCTGAGAATGATGGTTTCCAGCTTCATCCATGTCCCTGCAAAGGACATGAACTCATCCTTTTTTATGGTTGCATAGTATTCTATGGTGTATATGTGCCACATTTTCTTTATCCAGTCTATCTTTGATGAGCATTTGGGTTAGCTCCAAGTCTTCGCTATTGTGAACAGTGCTGGAATAAACATATGTGTGCATGTGTCTTTATAGTAGAATGATTTATAATCCTTTGGGTATATACCCAGTAATGGAATTGCTGGGTCAAATGGTATTTCTCATTCTAGATCTTTGAGGAATCGCCACACTGTCTTCCACAATGGTTGAATGAATTTAACTTTTTGTAATGATAATGTACTCACATTTTATTACTTGAGTAATAAAAATATTACTCGAGTAAAAAATAAAGACTTTTTTCTTTCTATACACAGTGGTCAGTCTGGACCCAAAGCAAAGTAGTTCAAACCAGACAGTCTCCAGAGCGTCTCCAGGGGTCCATGGAAGAAGGGAACCTTGGAGGCTGGACAGAACCAAAATCATCCCTTATCCACTGGACACCAAGAATCTCAGTGCAGAGGAGTGAGTGGCACAATGGCCAAGAGCCTGGGCTTTGGAGTCAGGCAGGTGTGAATGCTGCACAGGTTATTTCACTTCTCTGAGCTTTGATTTCTGCAGAGTTGGGTTAACACCCACCTCAGGGGATCCCTTCTGAAACCATGCCCCGGCCATGACCCACATTAATCTTAGTTCCCATTTCATGTATGGACCAGATCATATTTCAAAAATTTGCCAGAAATACTTTCAGACACTGTCCCAAGATTCTGGCATTCCAATCAGGCATTTGTGAAATTTGTGAAATTCTCAAGAAAAAGCAAGGCTTTTTGAGTTGGGTCTTCAGATATGGGTAAGATTTCAGTAGGTGAGAAAGGGGAGCTGTGGGCCTATGACAGGAGAAACGAAAACACTCCTACCTCCTCCCCATGTCGTCTTCTGTCTTTCTTGCATTTAAACTTTTTTTTATTCGGGCTGGTTTTTTTGCTTTTCCAATTTTTAAAACTATTTACCCATGTATATACTTGCATGTTGTCATAGTATTCATAGAAAAGATATGCACATATACATGAATCTGTGTGTGTGTTGTGAAAAATGAGGAAGAGAAAGAAAGAAACAGAAACAATTTCTATTAATTTCAAACTGGTTAATGAATAGGGAAATGGGATCAAAACTAATTAAATAGAAATTCTGATTCCAAAAGATATGGCACAAATACCCCTTATAAATGACCAGATTTCAAAGGATTAAAGTCCAACAAAATTCTCTTAAATGAACATTATACCAATAGCTCTCTAATCTCTCTTTTGGGATTTAGAAAGACCTTCAAGGTTCGAGTGTGCCACGTGTTCGCCATTGTAAACCTTCATGAGCAATGAGCACAGTTCTGGTTATTTGAGTGTTCTCAGTGTTTGGATCTGTATAAAAGGGAGCTGGAGTTTCCACCTTTTTCCTCCAGCTATCTGGTGGCTACAGCTCTGTCAGCTGCCTGTGTAATTAATCGTCGGGCTTAGCTAATGCTTCCTAAATTAATGCAATTATCAGTGTCTCCAAATAACCACCTTCGTGCACTGCTATCAAAATACACTGTTGACAGATTTGCAGCCAAAGCAGTGATGTTCTGAGACTGGAGTTGGGATTGATTTTAATTAACTTGTTTCTCATATTACAAAGGTGAGAAATACCAATTCTCAGTAGCTCCAGATTAAAAAAATGGAAGAGGGGGTGTGTGGATGGGAAGAGACTCATGAAAATAATGGCTACAAGGTATTTTTGTTCTGCAGCTTCACATCCACTGGCTGTGTTTTATGACTGCAGTGGCCCAGGCTCAGGCTGGAGCCCTTTAGTGCTCTCTCTCATGCATATTGCAGGGGCCCCTGGTTTAATTTGCTCTGGGCTGAGTGTGGCAGGGGGAGTCTCAGGATCAGGGCAGACACTTCTGCTCCTCACCTCCTTCCATCCTGAAATATTTCACTAAACATGGGGCACTGGACCCAAATTAAGGTGAGAGAAAGCGCATTCTGTTGGTTTGAATTTGTTTTATGCTGTAGCTTCGCTTCTAGAGGCTCCTGTTTTCAAGACACACAGCCCAATCTCTTATGTGAAAGGAGCTGCTTTCTCCAGGCAGACACTTTGGAAGGGGTGACTATTCCTGGGTCTGGGTCTGAGACGCATGGTGTGGAATGGTGTTTGCAGTGTGCATTCTGCTGGACATTAGCTTGCAAGATGTCCAGAAAGAAAAATCAAATATGTGGAAAATACTGTCGATTCTGGTGCCCTGCCCCCTGCCCCAGGAGTTTTCCTATGTACCATAACATATCAAAGGCTCTGAGAAGTCCTGCATTAAGAAAATGTGTTTATCCCTGCTCAGCCTAGTGCTACCTGTGATTACAGGCCCCTATACTTGGATTTTGTTTGGATTAGCATGGGGCAGAAGTAATGTTATATGAGATTCACCTGGGGAACTCCCCTGAGTGAGATAAAACGTGGGCTTGGGGACCTCGTTTTTCCCCTTCTCTGCCACTACTTGCTGTGTGACCCTGGCAAGCTCTTTCCCTGCTCTGGGTCTGAGACTTCCCTTATCGACAAAGAGGAGGTCCTGCCTTAGTTTCTCTGACTCTGTCAGGCCTGCAGACCAGGAGCTCAGTTCAAAACCAGAGGATGTGAAAGGTCAGGGAAAGGGAAGGAGAGATTGACTTAAGGAAATAGGAAAGAAAGGGTTTAGGGAGGCTTCATAAAGAGACCATTGTATAAAATTGGCTTTTTTTGACTACAAATTGGGTTCAGTATATACTCCTCAGGTGATCGGTGAAGCAAAATCTCACAGATCACCACTAAAGAACTTATTCATGTAACCAAGTACCACCTGTTTCCCCAAAAACCTATGGAAAGAAAATAAATTAAAAAAATAAATGGTTGTTGTTTTCTAAAAATAAATAATAATACAATAATAAAAACAGGCTTTTTAAATATTGACACATACCAGCTGTATATATTTTTGAGGTAAATGTGATAATTTAATACATTCATATAATTTGTAAAGATCAAATCAGTGTAATTGAGGTATCCACCACCTTAAAATTTGTCTTTTCGTTATTCTAGAAACATTAGAATTATGAGACCATCTTGAGGAGGGCGTTTTTCTTTGGAGAGGTTTAAGCTGGTTCTCCTGAACGAGGTTCTCTGATTGTGTTGGAAAAGGGGAAGACTGACCACCTTCCATGTCTGTCATGCCAACAGGACTGTTGAGAAGCTCCCCCACCCCCAGGAGCTCTAGTTTTGCTTCTGGTCTTCCCCTGCCCACCCACCCATCCCACCTCCCAGCACACAGCAGTGGCTGTGGCTGGGCACAAGTAAGGAGAGGGCACTCTTCTGCCCAGCAGGCAGGCCCCTACCCCCACCCCCCCAAGCCTTTTCTGTAGCTCGAGGCTGCTCCTCTTCTGGAGAATGTTGTCCTTGTGGTGAAAAGGTCCAGCCCCAGAGCTCAGCCAATCTGGCTTTAGGCGACTCAGAAGGGAGAGTGCCACTTTGCAACAGTTGAAAATGAAGGATTAATAATCCTCCATGTGAGTCTTGTTATAATGTTTTTCATAGGCCTCTAACCTGGGGGGATTAGTTGGTGCAAACAAAAGGAGGGATGGAATGGCAAAGTGAGGCTTATTTTCTTGGCAGAGTTGCTTTCTCAGCCACTTCTCATTCTGCTCAGATTAATTCTTCTGGGAGAATGCACTGGCTCTTAGTAATAATCATCATAATAAACATCTCAAATCTTAAATAAAATCATTTTCATATAGCTGAAATCGTTTTTAAAAAGCAAGCCACACAGAGTCTTTGTTGTGGGTGAGACACTGAGTAGGAACATTCGTGCATGATTTTAGCTACTCTTACTGCAACCCCTGGTGGTCTGTGCTATCGTTATCCCATTGTAAAGATGAGCAAATAGAGTCCAAAGCTGTAGGAGTCCTGAGACCTGAGGCCTGAGTTTTCAGCCTCTTCTCCTCATCCACCTGCTTAGAACAGAAGCTCCGGCCCAGGTACTCCCTCTTGTCTAGCCTGCAGGACTCAGAAGCCCTGTGGATTAATGTGAGAGATTTTGCCTGACTGGTCCCCTTGGTCTCTAAAGGTTCTGAAATCTCAGACAACCAGCTGTCTTTGGGTTTTCAAACCTCTTTTGTGGAATGGTCACTGGCTGCTGCTCCCACACAGTGGCCCTCCTGGTCCCCAATGTCACTGACAGATGCTCCCTGGATGGAACCTTCAGAATTCTCTGCGACAGTGACACTGGAAGGAACAAACAGCTAGAGAACAAACTGTCATCTAGTTGCACAGCCCCTGGCAGCTGGTTGGATCCGAGCGGAGCAGCCCAATCCCAGGCAGGCCAGCAAACCACAGCAAAGTCGATGTGTAAACTCTGCTGTCCAGGGCTTCCTAGATAATGTGGCAATGGGCCAGTCCATCATAACCTCTCTTTTAAGTACTTTGAACTTGAGCTATGGAGAATGAGAAGTCAGTAGAAGGAGGTGGAGTGAGACAAAGAGCCACATCAGAAGACTATAGGCAGGAGGAAAATGGACACACGGAAGGTGAGAGGCAGTGGCAGAGGAATGGTGGGAGCCAAGAGCGAGCACAGATGAATCGGTGCAGTAGATGAGAGCCACTGGGACTAGGGAGTCAAGGAGGGTCCCAGGGAGAGGGTAATTAGAGGCCCAGGTGCTGGAGTTGCCACCTACCTGCCCCTGCCTGTCTCGTGTCCTGGTGTGGGGCTGGCCAGCTTTGCCTATCGTGCCCTGTATTCTAACACTAATCCTATGTAACCTCTATAAGTGACTGGAGCATGCCTCTGGGCCTGGAAACCAACAAACCAAATGAATGCACCTCGTGACTCCAGGACTCTGCTAATGACTTCAGCTCATTAGGTGAACTGTCTGCTGAATCACTTCCCTGGCACCCTTCCCACCCTGTCCATCATCAAAGGAGACCTGGTGTGACCTCAGAATCTCAGCCCTTGCCCTGTCACCTGCTCCTCTCACTTATTCCATCCCTGCTGCCTCCTTTCTCTCTTTCTCTGTCTGTCCTGCTCTTTCTTATTCTCTCAAATGAGACTTCAGAGCTGCTTGGAGTGGGACAAGGAAGCAGTGATGCTCTTTAAAAAGCCTGTCTGATAGAGATGTGGGAGGATTTTACTTGATAGATAAAGTGAGAGCCAGAGAGAGAATTTCCTGGAGAAATCTGTCAAGTAGCTGCTTACAGCAATCTGCATGCCCTGTTGGACACTGGGGTGTCAGTTTTCAGTGGAAGCAGAAGGAAAATGTCTAATTGTGTTCATTGCACTGAGGAAATTTATGTTTTATGAGTGCTGCACCCTGTGTGTCCAAAGCCCCCTTTTAGAAGAACCAGGTCCCAGTGGGTCTGAGACTGGAGGCACAACTGTCCAGGATGGAGCTCTTAGTGACTGCTCCCACTCTGCTGACTCAGCATTTATGAACAGTACTGCAGAGAGACCTGATGGTGTCCAGTCTCCAGGTCTCAAAAACCAGACAGATTCACATTGGGCCACCAAAGAGCATACAGCAAGCCACACTTTCTAGGGCAATAGCTGGGAGACTGCCTAATATCTTCTCCAACCTTGTTGACCTTTGGTCTTGTACTATTTAGGATTATCTGGTTGCCAGTGACAGAAATCACTCTGGCTCGGCTGCTTTCAGTGGCTCATATCTGTAATCCCAGCACTTTGGGAGGCCAAGGAGGGGAGACCACTTGAGGTCAGGAGTTAGAGACCAGCCTGGCTGACATGGTGAAACTCCATCTCTACTAAAAACACAAAAATTAGCCAGAAATTGCTTGAACCCAGGAGGTGGAGGTTGCAGTGAGCCAAGATCGTGCCATTGCACTCCAGCCTGGGCAACAGAGAGATACTCTGCCTTAAAAAAAAAAAAAAAAAGAAAGAAAGAAATCACTCCTGCTCATCTAAACTGAAAATAAAAAACAAAAACTTCTAATAAGAATATGGGATTGCTCATAGGAAGTACTTGACAGTGAGCCTGGAGATGGACCAGGCCGGTTCTGGTGGGTGAGGGAACAGGGCCTCTGTTTAAGGCACTCCTGGTGGCACGAACCATCAGCCAGTGCTTTTGGCCCTTGTGTCCCTCTGCTCAAGGTCCACATTGTCATGAGAGAGAGATTAATGGGGCTGGTTGTGATTTGCCTGGCCCTTTGCTGGAATTACTTTGACTGGCATTTCCACCCAAACTACATACAATGAGGAGAAGGGTGGCTTCTACAAAGGAAAATCAAGGTCTTATCAGAGGAAGAGAGCATGGATGCTGGGCAGCTGCAGGCATCATCTCTCCACACTGATCCTGATTTTCTTTCCTTTTTTTTTTATTTTGGGAAGGGGAGCCCCATTTCTCATAAAGGGTTGCAGCCTGCAGGGTGGCCATTCTGATAGGCTGCGAAGCACAACCTCCAACCAGAAGCCAGAAACAGATACTTCAAGGGAGGGACAAGAGAAACAGGAATTAATGCTGAGTGGTGTGGCCGGATATACATATTCAATACACCACAGGAGCAGTCATGAGTATTTATAGAAGGGGAAATGTGTGCATGCACAGTTGAGCTTCATGCCCTTTCATGGGTGCCATGTACTATAAATGGCAGTGTTAGCACGATCCAAGGGTGGAGTTTTCGACCCTCCGACATCAAAAGGTGACAAAGAGGACATGAAAATTCTTACTATGTGTTCTCTGTAGAATGGTCAGAACCATTCCATGGTCTCCTATCAGGCAAAAAAGGAGGGGCAGTGTCAGGCAGTTGGTTTATGTCAGTGGGGGTGGGGGGGCATCTTTTGAAAGGGCTGGTTTCTGTTCAGCCCTTAGGGAAGAACGGCTGATCTTAGCGAGGGAGGGGTTATAACAAGGTGTGTCTGACTCTCCAACCCCCGGACAGGGCTGAAACTCAGTTTTCAAGTTTTCTCTGGGGTCCCCTTGGCCAAGAAGGTGTCCATTCCATCAATGGAGGGGCTTAGTATTGTGTTTTTAGTTTACATTCTCCCCCTTTTGGCCAAGATCTTCCAGAAGCAACTGTAGGTCAGAGTGGTGGGAGAAATTGTAGGAAAAACGCAAACCTTCTTGGAATGCCAGGGGGTTTTGCAAAGCTTTGGGGGAGAATGAGCCAAAGGTGGCGGTTCTTACCCTGGGGCAAAGGGTGAGAAGTAGGTACAAAAGAAAACAGGGGAGTTTATCTGAATAGCTTGTTTACTCATGTCTCCAGAAACCTGGCCTTTAATCATCTGCCCGCAATTACCAACAAGTATGTTGACTCAAGGCCTTTGTCATTAAATCTACACTGAATTAATGCCCGCAGCTCCAGCTGGTCAGGGCTGTGGCTGCTGACTCTTTACAGCACCTTCCTCAAGGTCTGTGATCAGCCCAGTTCCCTAGCCCACTCTTTCACTGGATACCTGTGTCTGAGTGCATTTGTTCATCCGTCATTTGGCCAGGGTCTGCGGGTCGGACCTGGCAAGCACCATCAATGGCCAAACTTTTATTTTGTCTTGTCCCAGGTCCATCTTATCCTTCTCTGGGACTCCTATTGCCAAAGGACTTAGAGCCAAAGACTTAAAGCCAATTTAAACATTCCAGGCCAGACAGGAATGGAGGTGAGCACTGATCCTGATTTTCTGTGCTTGTCTTTGTTCAGTCCTCCCCACTCTCACTATGCCATTCGCTGGATTTGGTGGTCTCCTCCAAATTCCTCCTGAGGCTTTAAGCCTCAGGCTTCCATTATTAATTAATTAATTCATTCATTCATTCATTTGCTCATGCAATGAGAATGCATTGAGCACCTACCAGGCATCACGAACAGGGTAAGACCTCAGGCTTGGTGCCTCCTTTGACCTTAGTATCCTTCATTGCCCACTGTGGTCCCTGGCTTGGTGAGACCTCCCTGCCTTACCTTGTCTCTTCCCATCTCTCTGGGGTCCCAGCCTGGCCATTTCTAGGCTCATATTATGCGGGAAGGGTGAGGAAGGATTTGGAAATATGTGCCTCATTTCAGTAAAGGCTCTGTGGTCAACTTCAGCTTTAGCACCTGGGAGTGAGTCCATGTGTGTCCCTCAGATGGGATGGATCAGTTTGGGTGAGGGGATGGGAGAGAAAAGATCTGCTATCTTGGGTGCTGATTAAGGCAGCTCAGTTTGGGGTGGCAGTGAAGGTGGTCCCAGGCACCTAAGTGGAGGTGAGGAGCATGCAGGTATAAGTGAAGCATGGCCTGGTGCCAGTGGCTCAGGCCTGTGATTCCAACACTTTTGGAGGCTGAGGCAGGAGGATTGCTTGAAGCCAGGAGCTTGAGACTAGCTTAGGCAACATAGGGAGAACTTGTCTCTACAAAACAAAAAACAAAAAAATTAACCAGGTGTGGTGTTGCGGATCTGCAGTTCCAGTTCCAACTACTTGAGAGGCTGAAGTGAGAGGATTGCTTGAGCCCAGGCGTTCGAGGCTGCAGTGAGCTATGATCATACCACTGTACTCCAGCCTGGGTGACAGAACAAGACCCAGGGAGGAAGGAAGGAGGGAGGGAGGGAGGAAAAGAGGGAGGAAGGAAGGAAGGAAGGTAGGAAGGAAGAAAAGAAGGAAGGAAGGAAGGGTGAAGAATAGGACAGCACAATGCAGGCCTTAGTGGAACTTAACCCTACCCTCCATGCATCCATCGAGGCATGATGAGGGCCTCGCTGAGTCCCTAAAAGGGTCTATCTCCTATGCCTTGTCCTGCTTGAACCATCTCAGCCTTCAGAGCTAACATCATTATTTCAGTCCAGATTATGTTGGATTTAAATTTCTTCTTTATGTCAAAGCCCAAGGAAACAATCCCAACAAGCTGTCACTTAAATCAGAGGAGATTTATTACTTTTAACCAGGGAGAAGCTTGTTACCAATGGAGCAGCTTAGATGTCATGAAGATGGGGGCTGGGCTTGCAGTGCCCTTGGCTGCCTGTCAGGGGCTCATCAGTCATCAACACCACTCATGCCTTTGAGGCACAGTCATCGAGGGTGAGACAGGCTTATGACCCTTGCCGTGGAGCCTTAGAAAGAGAACTCAGGGTCCTGTCCTCAGAGGGAGAAGGACTTTAGATCTATGCACTCTGGCCCCACATGTCCTCTTGTTCCTTAGGATTTGTTTTCTCATTTCTGCAGAACTAGAAGACTCTCATTTAAAATGACCCTGGACGCTTATTCTGTGGTCAGTCCAAAGTGTGAGGGGGATGGAATTGTCCCTCCACAGGTAAGCCCTCGGGGAGGGCTGGCCAAGAGGGATGCTTGCTGGACCACAGGAAGATGAACAGGCTGGGATTGGCTGTTGCCCTTCACAGTGCTTGTGGATGGTACAAGCTGACATAGGGAATTAGAAGGCATGTGCCGTGCATAGAAGAAGGGGGGTCTTTGTTCTGTCTTTGAGTGAGAAAGACACCTCTCCAGTATCTCTTTAGGCTATGGACCAGGGATATTCCTGGCAAAGGCTGTGGTGGGCACAGCATCCAATCATTCAGAATGGCAGATGCCAAGTTTTAAAATGATGTCTGGTTGTGTTTGTGCTGAGTGTTAAAAACACAACTGGTAGAGAATGCAGGAAGTCTCTTGGCATCTGGGAGTATCTGGAAATAATCTCTGCCTCTCTGAGTTGTGGTCAGGACTCAGACTTAATAGATAGGAAAGTGTCCTGAAACTGTGAGGTGCCATGTAAATGTAGTCTTGCTATTATACAGGAACAAGCGGGAGGAGGAGTTTAAACTGGGCCTTATCTCCTCTCACTAGGTAGGAAGGCCTCCTCCAAGGTCATGAATTCTCATCCAGGTCCTCATATGCCTGCAGCTAAACTCACAGTTCTCTAAGGGTAGGGGCCATGCCTTTCACCCCATTTAAGCATTCCTCAGTGCTTAGTAAAACACAAGGAACACAAGAGAGGCTCAATAAATACCTGTGGAATAAGCTCATCATCTGCAGAAGGAATGAACTGTGGAATTAAAACCACAATCTATTAAACAAAAAGGGCCATCCTTACAAATGTGCATGCCTTCAGGGATCCCACAAATAACCTACACAAGTGAGGTGGACTGGGTAGAGCAATAGGGAGTGGTGGCAACTGGGGGGAACTGGAGCACCCCAGTCTCTTCTCTTCAAGGCAGCTGCTTCTCTTCTTGTTTGTCACAAGGGAACATATACTCAATGATGCCAGATCTTCTGAGTATTTTTTTTAATCCTGAAATATACATTTTAAAAATAATGACTCTCTCCATTTTTAAAATGTAGACAACTAAATCAAATATAAAAATAAGACAAGTATTGTGTAGAGCACTCAGCACACCTGCCAGCCAGGCTTGGTGTGAGGGCCATCCTACAGGGCCTCACGCTTCTCCCACTGCTCCTTTTCATGGATGGGGAGACCAAGGCCCAGGGATGGAGAGCCACTTGCCAGAATGCAGAACTGGTGACAGCAGATAGTTGTGATGGGGAGGAGAGCAAGTGAGTGGTTGGGAGCATCCATGTGCCTTCTGGGAAGGTGAGATACCTTTCCTTCGCTCATGGGGGTCCCTGAATTTTGTTATTCAGCCCCCTCTAAGAAGGCTCTGGAAAGAGCAGCCAGGGCACCGGATCTCACTGCCATGAGCGGTTGTCTTTGTGCACTAACAGAACTCATCATGGGGCTTACTCGCCAGGAGGGCCTTGGCACCAGCAGATGGAACAAGAGGAAAAGCAAGAGCTGTGATGCCACAAAGGAAAGGGGCTTCACCCCATTGCCTTGGACCCAGCGGTCTGGAAACAGCCCTGCAAGCCCGCTAACTCTGTGTAGACAGATGAAGGAGGGACGGGGAGGAGGGACAAGGAAGCCCAGGAATGAGTGTAGCAACTGCCATGAGGTGGTCCCTCCCCAGTAGCCCCCTCCCCTCCATAGAGCAATGGCTTGAAGCCCAGGAATCATTGGTTTGCCCACAAATCCAAATGGGATGACATGCACATCGTCTGATTGGCTGAGAATGGCTTGTTAATTAGGAAATCAAATCGGGGCTGCACACTCAAAGCTGTTTGTCGGTTTGTGGGAGTTTGTTTACTTTGCTTTATTGAGTGGGTGGCTCTTGCCATCATGATAATAGAGAGCTGATAAACAAAGAAAACACAGGAAATCATTTGGCCTTCAGCCCAAAATGAAGGCTGGAGGGAACCAGGGTTTCAGTGCTGGAGGAGGGGACAGCAGCTGTTCTAGCCTGTGCAGGGAAAGACTCATCTCTTTTTGGCCAGAACAGACCTCTGGGCCCAGGACGCCACCCCTGCTTCTCATCACAGCCCGAGTCCCTGCTGATAATCAGGTGTGGATGTAGGCTCCAAGGGGAAGCTTGTCCAATTGTGGGATCCTCTTTAAGAAAAAAGAACACGAAATTAGATATGAAAGTGAATATTGATTTAGAGCAAAAAAAAAAAGAAATAATGAAAAAAACAGTTTAAAAGCTGACTTAGATAGTGCTAGTGGCTTCCTGAAAGCTATACAGCACCACAGATGGGCACCACAAACATCAGAAAATCCAAAAAATAGCATGACGTTTGTATTCATTAACTGCTGACACACCTCTAAAATATTTTCCAAATTCTCTCTATGTATTGGCTTTATACTCTTTGATTGCCTCTTCCCATGACAATGATTATGTGTCTATAGGGAAATTAGAAAGATCCTTTTGCAGAAAAAAACTTCCATTTTGATGAGGCATCAGCAAAAGCCAGCTTCTTCATTTCCCATTGCACATGTCTGAGGATTAGGGGCACAAGCCACAGACTAGCTTCTAGGACCTACACTTTCTCACTCTTTTCTGGGGTCGAGTGCATTTGGGCCTGTTCATCTCATGATGTGACCTCTGGCCTTGTTTCTTCATGTCATGACACAAAGGGAGCGAGTAGAGATATTCCTGGAAGTCATGCCTACACCAGAACAGCTGGCAAAAGCTAAAGTCTCCATGAGATCAATTGAAAACTGTGTAAATATATCCCCTTATGTTCATGCTAGATGTAACTCTGACACAACCTCTTCCCAGTCAGATCCCCAAATGCCCACACTTTCCCAACATCGCCTGGCAGGAGCACATGGCCGGGGAAAGAAATAGCGGAGTCAGCTGATGTGGTTCAAATACCTTGCTTTTGCAGGTTGTACAAAAACATCTGAACATGTGAGCCCATTGCTAGTGCCTCTCCTGGGGCCCTGAAAAGGGTCAGTACATGTGAGGACCCTGGAAAGGGTCAGTGTGAATGAGGGTCCTGAAAAGGGTCAGTGCATGTGAGGGCCCTGGGAAGGGTCAGTGCGAGTGAGGGCCCTGGGAAGGGTCAGTGCTTGTGAGGGCCCTGGGAAGGGTCAGTGCGAGTGAGGGCCCTGGGAAGGGTCAGTGCGAGTGAGGGCCCTGGGAAGGGTCAGTGCGAGTGAGGGCCCTGGGAAGGGTCAGTGCGAGTGAGGGCCCTGGGAAGGGTCAGTGCGAGTGAGGGCCCTGGGAAGGGTCAGTGCTTGTGAGGGCCCTGGAAAGGATCAGTGTTAGTGAGGGCCCTGGGGCTTCATCAGCATCATGGTGACTTCCCTTCCATTAGCAAACAAGCTCTGCCAACTCTTTTGGTTCTCCTCTCCTCCACCTCAAAGCTTCTCAGGGTTGGCAGAGTGGAATTCCGATTCCCAGCCCTGGCACAGGCTGGCTGTGGAGCTTTCAGGAAGCCACTAGCCTTATCTAAGCCACAACCACCCTACCTAGATGATGAGAAAACTCCAGTTGCGAAGAGAAGATGAGTTTTCTCCCTTCCATTGGATGCATCTTTTGCAAAGGGAAGAGCAGAATCAGGCTGAATAAGAAACAGCACCATTTTAGGAGCTGCAACTGACCTTTGAGATGACTTAGCTCAGTATTTCCCAAAGACTATTCTGTGGAACACTGGTCAGCTGTTCAGACAACAAAATGTATTGAACACCTGCTATATAGCAGACACTGGTCTAGGCCATACAATCATAGCAGTGAATAACAAGACAAGGCCTCTGCCCTCACCAAGGTTATATTTTAGTGAGGGGGTGGGGAAGGGAAGACCTTTGAAAAAAATAATACTGTTTCAGGTAAGGATAAATGGCTTGGAGAAGACAGTAAACCAAGGCTAGAATGGAGGTTGAGGCTGCTAAAGCAGGTCTGGGGTGGTGACATTTGAGTTGAGGCCTGGATCATGAGGGACAGCCGTGAGAAGCCCTACCAAAGGGGTGATCAGGTGGGACCCTGTCCACAGCAGTCCTTGCATGTTTGCAGGGCAGACAGAGGCCAGTTGTGCTGCAGCACAGAGGATAATAGAGGATAAGAAGAGATGAGTTTGGTAAGGGAGCTGGAGCCAGCGTGCAGGGCCTTAATCCCAGGTAAGGAGTTGGGATTTTATTCAAATGGAGCTGAGAAGCCATTGGAGGGTTTCAAACAGGGGTATGATGTGATCTGTGGTGAATTTTCACAAGATTATTCTCACTGCAAGAAGAGTCTTTTATATGGATTTAAGAGCACAGCTGAGACCAGTTCAGAGACCATTGTGTCAGTCAAGAGAGATTAGGGTCGCCGCGCTAGGTTTATAGAGGTGAAGGTAGAGAAAAATGGTTGGATTCAGGATGTATTTTGGAGGCAAAACCAACATGATTAATATTTGAACTGGCTGTGGAGTGCAAGAAAAATGAAGAATTCAAGGATGACGCCTAGGTTTTTATTTTATTGGTCTGAAAAGCTGGGTCAATTTTGGTGCCATCTGAAGGTTGAGGAATGTTGAAGGTCAGGGTTTCCATGTTGGAGCAGCTGATTTGGGAGGTACACATTGCTGTGTAACAAATTACCCGAAAATGTAGTGACTTCAAACCACAATAATGATTGATTGTTCTAACAGCTTCTGTGTGTTAGGGATTTGGGGTGCTTGCTCAGGGTGTCTGATGAGGCTGCAGCCTTTTGAAAGCCTGATTGATGCTGGAGATCTGCTTCCAAGGCATCTGTCTCACATGGCTGGCAATTTGGTGGACATCTCAGTTCTTCCCTGGGCCCCTCCAGGGGGACTGAATGAATGTGTTTATGACATGATGGCTGGCATCCCCAGAGGGAGCAAGGTGGAAGCTGCAAAGTTCTTTATGGCCTAGTCTTGCAAGTGACATGCAGTGACTTCTGCGATATCCCATTGGTCACACATGTCAGCCCTATTCAATGTACGAGGGGACCACACAGGGGCCTGAGACATCCATGCCCTTTCTTTGCACATCTACTGACCTGTTTCAGCTGCAAGTGACAGAAAACACAGTTCAAGCCAGCTTAAAATGAAAAGAAATTTATTGGCTTACACAAAAGGGAAGTCCAATGGAGGAGAGATGCCCGTTTTGTGGAGCTCAGATGGTGTCGTCAGAACTCAGTATTTATTCTTTTCTTTTCTTGGCTCCCATTCTTACATGGGCCAACTCCTGAAGATGGTGAGGTGGCAGCAGTCTCGTTAGCTTCATAGTCTCACAATGCCAAGTCAAGCTGAGAAGACAGCCTTTCTTTCCCAAGAGTTTGAACAAAACGTCCCAGACCTAATGACCATTCCTACTGACTGACTTAAAAGCCAGGATGAGGCAGGGCGCAATGGCTCACACCTGTAATCCCAGCACTTTGGGAGGCCGAGGCGGATTACTTGAGGTCAGGAGTTCAAGACCAGCTTGGCCAACATGGTAAAACCCCATCTCTACTAAAAATACAAAAATTAGCTGGGCATGGTGGCACACACCTGTAATCCCAGCTATTGGGGAGGCTGAAGCAGGAGAATCGCTTGAACCCAGGAGGTGGAGGTTGCAGTGAGCTGAGCTCGCATCATTGCACTCCAGCCTGGGCAACAGAGAGAGACTCTGTCTCAAAAAAAAAAACAAAAAAAAACCCAGGGTAACACTGAAATTTCATGGAGATAGGAAGTGGGGCCAGATCTCCCAAAACACATGGATCAAGAGAGAGACAGAGCTGTCTCTGTGTTCTGCAGACACTGTGGTGGGAGAAATCAAGTGCTCATCCATATGGAGCTCACAGTCTGGTGGGAGAACAGATACATGCATATATGAATAATTAACATACGGGTGAGAAGTGCCATGCGAAAGGGGCCAGAGTGTGCTTCAAGAGGACCTGAGAGAGGCACCTGATTCTGCTTTGGAGATGGCTCTCTGGGTGAGGTCACACCTGAACTGAGTCTAGTGGTGTAAGAAATCACTGCATGAGCAAAAGTCGAGTCAAGAAATAGCAGAGTGGGGGTGAGTGGAGGACTACAGCCAGTTCTCTGTTTTTAGAGGGTTACAGCAGAAGTGACAGAGAAATGATCTGGCCTGGGAAGCTAGGCTTGGACCACTGCCAGGCTTGGGTCACCCCAAAATGCATGTGTTGGAAACTTAATCCCCAAAGCAACAGTGTTGAGAGGCAGGGCCCAGTGGGAGGTGTTTAGATCATGCGGGCTCCACGCTCATGAATGGATTAATGCTGGTTATAAAATGGTTTGAGGCTGCAAGTTTGATCTCTTGCTCTTTCTTTGCCCTTCTGCCATGGGATAACACAACAAGAAGGCCCTTACCAGTTGCCAGCCCCTTGATCTTGAACTTCCCAGCCTTCAGAATTATGAACCAATACATTTATGTTAATTATAAATTACCCAATTTCAGGTTTCTGTTACAGCAGCACAAAACAGTCCAAGACAACAAAGTGCCTTGCATGCCACAGTGAGGAATTTGGGCCTTTTCTTGGGATGCTGAGGAGCCTGTGGTTAGGCGGTGGACCACCCCATCAAGTTTACATTTTCAGTAAGTTCCTCTATCAAAGAGTAGAAGCAGATTAGCCAGGGCCAGGGCTGAACTTGGGGGTTGGCCAGTGAGAAACCGCCATGGTGATGGTTGAGGCAGGGGGTAGGTGGGTCTGAAGGCGAGCGGGCCCAGTGAAACGGATGAGAAGCTGTGAATTCGGAAGGCAAGGTGAGATCACCAGCCAGCACTGGTGATTGGCTGAAAGGGAAAAGAAAGACCCCTGGGTTCCTCGGGCTGGATAGTGGGTGAGGAGGGCAGAAGTGAATCCATTTCTTGGGAGCTGCAAGTCCAGCTATCTATGCCTGTCCCCAAAAAGCCCTGGCATGTGTCCCAAAGGGTCTTTACAAGGAAGTCCCCTGCAGTGCTCTCTGTGACTGAAAAAAATAAAAGTAGAATACAGCCTAAATGTCCTGTGATAGGGAATAATTAAATTAATTACGGTATATCCAGCTTGTAAAATAATATGCAGCAGTTTAAAAGGCTGATATTTACTTGAATAGGAAAAGAGTGAGTTGTCAAATGATATATTGACTATAAAGTCATTTAAGTAAACAAAACAGACAAACATGCATCTACATATCTATATGCGTGTGTTCACATGCACATGCCTTTAAAAAGATCTGGCCTCATGCAAACCAATCAATAATGGGGCTCCCCTCCAAGGAGGGGACTGGGGATGGGATGTGGTTCAGGGGGTCTTTAGCACTCTCTCTAATGTTTGGACATTTACAGTAAAATGGCTATTGAGTTTAGGGGCCTATAGTACCCCAAGTGGAGAAGTCCACCAGGCAGTTAGATATATAGTTCTAGGGCTTAGAGAAAATCCAGATTGGAGGCTTATTCAGTAGGTCCATGTTGCAAAATGCCATAGTTTCAGACTCTTTTAATCAAGACCGCTTTGGTTGCAAGAAACAAAACCACTTAAGCTGCTGTACAGCAGAAAAGGGAAGATGCATTATGAGGACACAGATCTGAGACCCCCAGGCAAGTAGTTTCAGGGCCAGGTCTCAGCAACATCTAGAACCAGGAGCTGCAAATCTACCAGGGATCCAGGCCGTCGTCCTGTGATGTGTGCTCTCCTTCCGGTCTGGGGAGGGCTTGTTAAAGATCCTTCCCTGGCTCAAAGCAAGGGGTTAGCTTAGATGGGGCCTTTCCATCCCTCCCAGCCCCAGAATTCTAGAGGTTATAAACTATGTCCCTAAACCTCACAGCCTCCCCCTCCCCAGGGGGAGAAGACCCTCAGCCCCTCACCTGAAGCAACCAGGCCGCCACCTCCCTCCTGCCAGCCCTGATCACAGCAGTGTCTGTGCTGTCCCCTGGGGGTGCCACACAGCTTCCCCCGCTCCTACCTCCTCTGTGCTAATTGAGCCCTGGCTTGGTTGCATCTGCTTTGCTGGCAACTTCATAGAGACTAAAGGGAGGCATCAAGGAAAAGGGGGGAAGCTGCTGGAGGCTTTCCTGTGACTCACTGCTAATAAAGTTGATTAGACTGACAAGTCTCTCTTGTCTTATTCCTGACAGCTTGTGTCCTCATTTTGATTTTTCACCACCACCCCTACCTGAGTCAGGAGTGGAGATTAGCCCAAATTAAAGCTCTGGTGACTCAGGAGAGGTGAGACGTGACAGCAGAGGGGGCTGAGGGAGGGGGAAGGTGGGCAGCTGACGCCTCATGGGTGGGATGTGGACAGGCCCAGGCAGGCCTCCTGGAACCAGTGAGGGTGTCCCTAGGATTGGCTTTCCTTCTCTCCATCTAGGGAGCTGGGAGGATTGGACTGTTTTTTTATCTGGCCATAAAGGGAAGAAAGTCCATGAATAAAGCTTGTGGGTGTTTTATGTGGCTCTGCCAGTCTCAGGAGGATAATAAACCTTAATCAAGACCCATCTCTACAGACACCTGGGAACGTGAGAAAAATTATCTCCAATATGAAGTTGTACATTCTGCCCTTGTCACCCTCTTTAAGAAGTACTGGAGCTGGGGCTGTAACCCAGCGGTTTCTAGGTGTAGGCTGGCCAGAGGTGCACAGGGCTGCTACATGTAAGCCCCTGGGGGTAGCATGGAGCCTTTCTGCAGACCCTCCATGAAGGCCTTCTTAAAGGTTCCTGGCTGCTTACAATTCCCAGATTTATCACTTAGCTGCGAATGTTGGCAATTTGACCCCAGGCTTTCTGTTTCCCCCGGAGAATCTCAATACCAGAGACCTCTCAGATCGCTTCAAAGAGCACAGATAGTGTGTGCTCCATCACTGGAGGTAATCAAGCTGGTCTAGGCAAACACTTGGAGGAGACTTGAGTAATGACTCTGAGATTCTTTCCCAAGGGGGCCTCTGGGACATGGTCATGAGTGGTGCAAGGTTAGAGACAACCAGGTCCATGCATGTTTTTGTCTTTCTGCAATGTCAGGTTTTTATTGATGCTGCTTCAATCACAAAAGCCATAACCTCCTCTTCAGGACTTCTCGTTCACTCAGGAGTCAGAGCCCACAGGCACACAGGATCAAGCCATTCTTCAAGTCAGTCAATATTGCAAACCATATATAATAGTATGCTTAATATACACATGTTCTAGATTGAACATTCCACAGTAAACAAAATAGCATTTAACACGAAGAGGAAAAAGGAGAGTAAAGGTTAATGAGCCAGTCCAGGGAGAATGAAGAAAACAAAAGGAGTCCTTGTCTGGTACTTCTTCCATGGGTCTCTCTGTCTGGGAAGAAGAGTCCTGGATGTGGCAGAGCCTTCTGGCTGAGGCCAAGTTCTTATCACGAGTAACTGCAAGACAGTGCCAGTGAAGACGGCCATTTTGAGCTGCAGAAGGCCTGCTCTTTTTTTTTTTTTTTTTTTTTTTTTTTTGAGAGAGAGTTTTGCTCTTGTTGCCCAGGCTGGAGTGCAATGGTACGATCTCGGCTCACTGCAACCTCTGCCTCCTGGGTTCAAGTAATTTCCTGCCTCAGCCTCCCAAGTAGCTGGGATTACAGGCATGTGTCTCCACGCCCGGCTAATTTTGTTTTTTTAGTAGAGACGGGGTTTCTCCATTTTGGTCAGGCTGGTCTTGAACTCCTGATCTCAGATGATCCGCCCACCTTGGCCTCCCAGAGTGCTGGGATTACAGGTGTGAGCCACTGCGCCTGGCCTGCTCTTTTATAGTCAGAGTCCTCTGGCGAGAACAGATTGTGGGAGAGTGCACTTGTGTGTATCCTTATCTGGTTGGATGCAGTCTTTATTTTTTTTATTTGTTTCTTAAGTGAAACATCTTATCCTCATTGGCAAAGGGCCCTATGAAATATAAAATGGAGTCTTTTTCTAAGATGGAGTTAGTTATGTCAAGGGTGCTCTGTACAGACACCAAACTGAGAAAAACCCTGGAATAAACAAGTAGAGCATTGATATTCACTGGGGTGGCCATTCAGCAGGAAAAATAAAATCTAGATAGCCCCATTATATACCAAAGATCCAGGGCTGAGTGGACAGGTCCTGCCTCAAGCCCTGCTCATGTCACTGTAACTCCATCAGCACTGAGTCTAGGCCGTAGAGCACAGTAGACACTCCCCGGGTGTTTGCTGAGTACATGAACACCGAGCTGAAGGAGGGAGTGGAATTCAGAGCTAGATGGTTAGAAGGCTGGTCCAGATAATTTAGGTCCCTACAACTCAGCTCTTAATGCCTATATCCAAGTGCTTTCCTGACATCTCCACTTGAGTGTCAAATAAAGATCTCAGTGTTAGACATTCAAGTCAGGACTTCGATTTCTCTCCTGTCTTCCTCATCTCAGGAGTGGGCAAGACATCCAATCAACCAACTGCTCAAAGCCAAAACCTAAGCGCCATCCCTGAATCCTCTCCTGAAATTTCTCCCCTACCACATGCACCAGCCGATCCCATTACCTCTACCTCCAAAATATACCCCATTCAACCACTTCTCACCCTCTCTCTGCTCCCATCCTAATTCAAATGTCCATCACCCCTTGCCTGGGCTACAGCTGTAGCTTTACAGCCAGAGCTTTCTAACTGTCTTCTCTGCTTCTGCGCCTCCATGCTATCCCATTCCAGCAGTCCGTTACCCATGCAGCAACCAGAAAGAGCTTTACAAAACATAACTCAGGACAATTGTTTCCTAACACAATTCCTTTCTATAAAAACCCACATGTTCTTACATGATACTCATATTGATTAACTTTTTAACTGTCTCTTATCACTCTCCCTTCACTCACTACTTTCTCACCACACAGACATTCATTTTTATTCTTCCACCCAAAACTTCTTTCCACCTAAGGGTCTTTGTATTTGCAGTTTCCTCTGTCTGGAAGGCCTTTCCCCCAGATCTTCACACAGTGGCTCCTTCCTTTCATTTAATCTCAGCTAAAATACTACCTCCTCCTCACCACTTTTTTTTCTTTCAGAAATGCCATTCCAAGCTTTAGTAGCCCTTTTACAACTTTCCCTATAGCATCCTCACTATCTGATGTTTTCTTGTTTACTTGTTTGTTTGTCTATTTATTTTCCATTTCCTCCTACCAGAATGCAAGCTCCATGAGCTAGTCGATAGTGTTCACTGTCGTATCCCCAGGGCCTAGAACAATGCCTGGTGTTTACATAAATAAATGAATATTTATTGAATGGATAGAGCCTAAAATATAGTTGTTCCAATCAAACATTAATATGGAGGCTGCATGGTCACATTTCTTATTCCTAAAGAAGCCAGGGCCGTTGTCTTTATGAACGGAGCTTAACCTTGGCATCAGGGAATCATGTCACCTTCAAGAGGAAGCCATGGTGATGGGATAAGAAAAGAACTCTGCAAGAACAATCCTCTACCTGCTGCCCAACTTCTCTGTTCTTCTCAACCTTGTGTAGCTTCTCTGTGTCACAGATTTTGTTTTCATCCATGTTGCCACCCACCCCCTGGGACATTTGCTTTGGGTTTCCAAAACCCACGCCTCTAATTTGCTTTACCTGGACTACAGCCATAGCCATCACATTGTCTTCTCTGTTTCCACTCCTCCATGCCACCCCACCCCAATAGTCCATTACCTATGCAGATCTGCAAAGCTGGACCAGACTTGAAGAAGCCTAACTTGCAAAAATAGCCAGAAATTTGAGCTTTCATCAGAGAAGATAAAACTTGTTGTATTGATTGGGGTAAAGGTAGGAGGGGTAAAAGGGAGCGAGAAGCAGCCAGAAGCTCCCATTTCTATATGATTATAATGAACTCAGAGGTTTAGCTTCTCAATTTCATTACACTGGGGAAGAAAGAAAGAGCCAACCTAACCCCACCTTCACAGTCTAACACAGCTGCAGGTAATATCTCTAGCTTTCCAAATCTTTTTTTTTTTTTTTAACAATTTTCCTTATTAAACTTGCACTAGGTGAATCTCCATTGGCCTATTGATTTGAGTATTAGACTGTGTATCAAAGATATGAAAATACAAATTGTTGTTTCAGAGAGAAATGACTGTCTTTATATTGTTTCTGTCTCTAGGGTTCTGAATATTCCCTGGAGTTTCCAGGCTGAATGGAATTAAAACAAGGGCATCTTCTTGGCAAATGTGGAGTAGATTCTCTGGATAGATCCTGAACGACTTCCTGGTGCTGTTGCTGAGGGGCCAGTAGCAGGACAGATTTTTCTATTTACTTTTTTTTAAACCACAGGTTTTCATTAGAGAGGGATCTGCATTGATACAGATCCTGTGTATATCGTTTCAGCATTTAAATCTTGGCAGTAGCCTCTGTGTAGGACCCTGTCCATGGCTGTGTGTGTCAGAGTCCTGGTACCTTTGATTATCTTTAGCCAAAGTGAAATTAACTCCCGAGCGATGGCAGAGTGAGGGGAAGAGGGACATGGAGATCTTGATGGAGGGAGAAGGGGAAGAAGGTGCAGTTAGCTATTGGGCTTTTTGCTCATTCTTAGAAGCAGGTGAAAGTAATCTCAGGCAGAGTTGGAATTGTGGTTCAGTCCATGGGTCTTTCAGGAAGCAGCGGTTCATGACGCTTGTGACATTCCTTCTTCTGCATTGGCACTGATTTACACTGGCCCATTGTATATGGCTTTGCAGATTATGACCTGAAGTAAGATGGCTGGCTGATGTGCTGTGGGACTGAAATGCTGCTGATGCTCTACTTGCAATCCCACCTTTCACACCCAGTTTGGTTTCATTCCATGTCTGCAAAGTACCCTCAACTTGGATGCTCCTCACCTTCTTCACGTCAATTTTAATTCTTTCAAGTGCTTTTTGTTTTTTCATTTTAAACACTATTTTTCATCTCTAGAAGTTCAATTTGGGTCTTGATATTTCCCCAATTTCTTCTTTTTATTCTTATGCTTTCTGTTACCTTCTTGAACATATGCAGTACATTTATAATAGCTCTATTAATGTCCTCTTCCACCACTTATATTCATCTGTGTTATTTCTGGGTCTGTTTTTACTGTTTTTTTTTTTGGGTGGGGGGTGTTGTATTTTCCTGATGCTTTCTTTGTCTGGTAATTTTTGACTGAGTATAAGACATTGTGAGTTTTACATTGTTTTGAGCTGGATTTTTTTGTATTCCTTTAAGTGTTTGTGAGCTTTGTTTAAAATTTATGTAAGTTACTTGAAAATTGTTTGATCCCATTAAGACTTGCTTCAAAAAGCTTTGTTAGCTCGTATCAGACTAGTCTTTAGAGCTAGTTTGGTTTTATTAGAGAGGCAATTCCTTTCTGAGTACTCTCTCTGATGTACTATGTAGTATGAGGCTTCTCCATGCTGGCTGTTGGGAATGCGAATCATTCCAAACTCTATTTGAGCTCTAGCAATTGTTCTGCCTGCTCATGTCCAGTGGATCTTTCCCCAGCCATGAACAGCCCCCTCACATGCATATGCAGTTCAGTACTCTGCAGAACACTAGAGGGGGAATCACCGGAGTCCTCTTTCTGTGCAGATCTCTCTTCTGTGGTACTCTGCCCTGCAAACTCTAGCTCCCTTGCCTTCCCCAAACTTCCAGTTCTATCTCTTCAACTCAGAGAGACCACTGAGCTCTGCCTGGAATGGTCGGTCTTCCCTGCACTGCAGCCTGAAAACCCTTTCCAGGCAATAAGCTGACAGAATTGAAGGGCTCACTTCATTTGTTTCTTTATCAGGAATCTTGCACTGCCTGTAGCCCAATGTCTGAAAATTGTTGTTCCACATTAAAAAAATTTTTTATTGTGGTAAAATATACATATACAGAAAATTTCCATAAATAGCGTAAAATTCACTATTTTAACCACTTTTAAGTATACAGTTCAGTGATATTAAATACATTTATTATGCCATGGAACCATCACCATATCCTGAGTCCATAATGATTTTCACCTTGGAAAACTGAAATTCTGTACCTGTTAAATACTACTCTCCCTTTTCCCTCACCCCCCAGCTCCTGGCACCATGGTTCTACTTTCTGTCTCTATGAATTTGACTACTCTAACTACCTCATATAAGTGGAATTATACAGTACGTGTCTTTTTGTGACTGGCTTATTTCACTTAGCATAATGTCCTGAAGCTTCAGCCATGTTATAGCATGTCAGAATTTCCTTTCTTTTAAAGATGGGCAATATTCCATTGAATATATGTACCACATTTTGCTTATCCAGTCGTCTGTTGATGGACACTTGGGTTGCTTCCATGTTTTAGCTATTGTAAATAATGATATTGTGAACAAGGGCATACAAATTGTTCCATATATTTTGTCTGGTTTCTTAGTTGTTTAAGGTGGGAAGATGAATCTGTTACTTTATTTTGGTCAGAAGTTAAGGTGCCTCATGTCAATTTATATAATGATTTTCTCTCATTCAAAAATATATTGCTTTTAACAATTCAAATCACTTTTTGTTTCTGTTTGTTTGTTTGTTGTTTGCCTGCTTGCTTTTACAACAGTCAGCTGGCTTCAGTGGAACAGATATTAATAGTCGCCTGATTTTTTTTTTTTTTTTGAGTTAGAGCCTCACTCTGTCGTGCAGGCTGGAGTGCAGTGGTGTGGTGTCAACTCACTGCAACCTCTGTCTCCTGGCTTCAAACAACTCTCTTGCCTCAGCCTCCCGAGTAGCTGGGACTACAGGCATGTGTTATCATGCCTGGCTAATTTTTGCATTTTTAGTAGAGACAGGGTTTCACTATGTTGGCTAGGCTGGTCTCGAACTCTTGATCTCAAGTAATCTGCCCCTTTTGGCCTCCCAGAGTGGTGGGATTACAGGTATAAGCCACTGTACCTGGCCAATTAATATCCCAATTTTAAAAATAGAAGAACTGAGGGTTCTAGATGCCTACCCAACAAGATCATGCAGCTGGTGAGTTATAGTGACAGAAGCCCAAACCCAAGCCACATGCCATGTTCTTGCCCAACTAAACCACTGTGCATGTCTTTACTTCCTCAGATCTCACCACTCAGCTCCTCAGAGATCCATCCCTGACTACCCAGATAACCAGTGCATTAGTCATTCTTGCGATTTTTGAGATTGAAAATATTTTCCCAATTCTTTCACAGGGGATCAACAAATATTTGTCGAATGAGCAGAAAAGACAAATTCCCAGGAACAAAACCTCTTTGATCTAGGGTTCAAGACAGGGTTTTCTTGGACACGTGAGCTGGCCTTCATGCTGCCCTATTTGTGCCATTAGGACTCATTCAGTCGCAAGTGACAGAAAACCCAGCTTAAATTGGGTTAAGCAAAAAAGAGTATTGTCTTACCAAGTTATGTCAGCTTCAGACATGGCTAGCTCCAGCCACTCAAATGCTCCTTGATCATATCCCAGTTTGGATCTCCTCTGTATTGGCCTCACCCTGGGACAGGTTGTCCTCATGAGGTACCAAATTGTCTGCAGGCAGCCATGGGCCCATGTCTGTAAAGATAGCTTCTAGTCCCAATAGTTCCATCTAAGTTTCAAATCTTTCCCTTATTGGACCAGCTGGGATCACTTCTTTACTCCTGAACCAATCACCGTGGCCAGGGAGATGGAATGTGAAGATTGGGTAAGCCCAGGTTAAGTGCCCACCTGTGAAACAAATGGGGATAGGTGTCAGCCACACCCTAACCACACAGAGGAAGAGTAAGGAACAGGTCCTTCTTCAGAGGACAGCTGAGTAGCCATTGCTAGAACAAGAGAAGAATGAATTTGGGCAAGCAGAAACAACAGATATCCACTGAGTTACCTTAGATTGTGTGTGTGTTTGGGTGAGGGTGTGGGTGGATAGCCATTACCTAAGACTTCCTCTGATAAGGACTTCCTTCCAAGTACTTCTAGAGTCATGTGGCCAAGTGGAGACTCTTGAGGCTCTCAGAAGGGAAACCACCTAGAGGAGAAAACACATCCCAAGAGGGTCTGCTGTCCATTTCTGGGCACCTGGTTGCCCACAGATAGGAATGAGTCAGATGACCCACGGACCAGCCAAGATTTCATGTGTCTTATCACCAGTCATAGAGGCTATAGCTCAGGGTTAACTGAGGCTACAGTATGCTCAAGGAGTTCATTTATTCATCATGCATGTGCTGAGAGTCTGCCACATGCCAGGCACCATGCTAAGGGCTGTGTTGGATAGGACCTGTTCAAGCTGGACAGTGAAGCCATCTGAAGAACAAGATTGAGCAGGGGGCTTAAGGAGCACATCTCCATGAGGCTTGAAGTTCTGGCTCAGAGAGGAAATGGCAGGCTGCCACTTCCTTCCACTTCAGGATTTTGAGGACAAGACATGAGCCTTCTCAGGCCCTAGGACCAAACTGTAGACCTAGCAGCAAGTCCAAGATATGCAATAATGTGGTTCAGACCTTGGGTGTTTGGGAGTTTGGGTAGCTCCCTTCTTTCTGTGAGATGGGCGATGCTAAATCCCAGGTGATTAGAAAAGCAGAAATGACCCTGGTTCTAGTCTCAATGCTTTCTGGCCTTGTAGCTCTGAGAATGTCCTCCCCACCACCTATCTATACTTACAGGTCCAGCTCATGAAACCTCGTCCAGAATGCTTCTTGGGACCCCCCAGTTATGTTCTCTTCTCCTTATTCCCACGGAACTCTGGCTTCCTTCATGGCTTATTCTGAAGTCCTTGCTATAGTATTGGTGATAATGAGAGTACTAATGATTGATGATGATGACGATGGTGATGATTATGATAAAAACGATACAGATAGCATTTACCAAGTATGCACTATCTGCCAGGAATTTTACACGTGTTATCCCATTCAATCCTCACTGCACCACTGAGATAGGCACTGTTGTTATTCTCACTTCACCGAGAAGAAAACTGAGACACAAAAACACAGAGTCTTTGTTGCTTGCTAAAGAAATGTGGCTGATGTCTATGTCTGGTTCCTGGCTGCTCATAGGTTGGGCCAAGCTGGGATTCTGAACCTAAACTTTCTGATTCCAGAACCTTGCTTTTAACCTCATTGTGCTACATCTATTGTTGGTGCCCGTCCTCCCAAATAGCCCATGTTCCTGAGGGAAAGATTCCAGTCTTGCTTATCTCTCTCCATTCCCACAGTGCCTAGGATGCTGTTCACACCTAGTAGATATTTGACAAACTATCCCAGAAAGGAGTGCCAAGAGCAGGAACCTCTACTCTGAGATAGAGATGGAGTTGTTTACATCAAATCTTCTTCTCTGCCAGGCTCATCTTTTTTTTGCATAGACACTAATAGCTCATGTAAACAATATTAATCTTTTGGAACAGCCAGCTCCCTCAGCGGAAGGACTGCAAGGATCTTAGTGCAGGATCTATGTGTATGTGAGAGTTGGATGCCGCATCTTGCCTTGCCATGGCCCTTCTGCAGTCTCATCCATTTATCATCCATGGAACTGATGGTTTGTCTCTGTTAGAAACATGTCTCTGTTTTCAGTATCATGGCCATGGGGAAAGGTATTGGAAGGTTTTTGCTGGGACCAACTGGTCCATGCTGTGTACTGAGGATGTCAGTGTAAGTTCACAGGCCTGCTTCATGAAAGGTTAGGCCATGGGTTAGTGACAGAAACCCAGTGCAAGCTGGCTCAAGTGCACAGGATGCACTGTCTTATGTAACTGGAGACCATGGCCTCCAGAGGCTCAGGTGAGGTTGCTTTCTTCCTCTGTTCCTCTCTCTCATTTCATGGATTCTCTTCATATTGGCCCCCATCGCTTCTACCACTGATGGACTCTGTCCCTGCATGCAGGGAGAGTAGGCATTACCTTGCCCAGATCCAGGCTTGCATCATCTAACTCAGCAACATCAAAAGAAAGAGTGTTTCTCCAGCCACATGGGAGGCAAAAATCCACGATGGACTCTGATTGATCCAGCTCTGGCCTTTAGGCCAATCCTGGGCCAGAGATTGCTGCCTATGGGGAGGCAGACTATGATTAGCCAGGCCCGTGTTTATGTCCTTTCCTTGCACCACTGGGCAGGGCAGTGGGATTGGCAGCCACTCCACAAACATGTGGCATGGGAAGGGGGAATTCAGCAGCAGAAGCAGTTTGCTCTTGCAGGATGGAAGGGTTGTTAGGCAGATAAAAACAACTGCTATCCTTTGCACACTAAAAGGGCCAGTGAAGAATCTGGATGGGCCACAATGCTGGTGGTCCTAGCAGATGGGACATCAGAACTGGGGTCTGAGCCTGGGT
Source organism: Homo sapiens (assembly GCF_000001405.40). NCBI lineage: Eukaryota > Metazoa > Chordata > Mammalia > Primates > Hominidae > Homo > Homo sapiens. The sequence continues at coordinate 48,981,908 of NC_000016.10, forward strand.
TGCTGGAGCCTTCAGGTGGGGATGTTTTACAGCTGCCCTAGGCCCCCTATTGCCTTTTTAGCAGGAGGACCTCTGGTCTTCCCAATCCCACACACCCATTCTGGCCTACCATTCAATTTATAGAAGACCCTGCCAGTCTCTTACCAGGACTTCAGTATGAGAAGAAAGTTACTGAATTTAAGATTTTTTTTTAAAATCAAAATGATTATTGAGGTAATTGTAGATTCACATGCATTTGTCAGAAATAATTCAGAGTGATTACTTATACACTTCGCCCAGTTTCTCCCAATGAAAACATTTTGCAAAATTATAACAATATCACAAGGAGGATATTGGCATTTACACAAAAATAAAATGAAAGTTCCAGAAGTTTGCCTGCCTTGAGGAAAGGGTCCAAGCCCTGGTGTTGACTTTCACTTGCAAATTTCTTAACCATGGCCTTGAGCTCTTTAATAAGCTGATCCCTACCTACATTCTCCACATTGGAATTTGGCTCGTTTTTAACTTTGAATTGAGTTTTCCGGTAATGTTTATGTCTTGGTCATCATGGTGAAATCACTTCGCCTTTAGGTTCTTATTTCTCATATGGAAAGGAGGTTAAAAAAGCACACTTGGAAAAAGGGCAAACAGGGCCAAGTCCTCACTGGATTAACCCACCCTGACATCCCAGTTGTCCTTCTACCCATAGGTGACATTCAAAATATGTAACATCCTATATGGCAAAAGGCACCATGGAATTAGAACAAATGCCAGTTATATAAACCAGGCCCTGCTCTGCCAGGTGTGAACCCTTCAATTTTCAAGCTGTAGGGAGATCTGAGACTCTCAGAAGATGGCCCAGGGCAGTGGAGGTTGCAGAGGAGTTTTGGGGGGAGCTCAAGGTAGTAGCTATTTTAAAAAGAGCCTGGACTTATTTTAGTATCTTAACAACCAATACAGCTCCACTAGTGAATGCCAACTAAATGCCTCTGCTTCTTCCCTTACCCCAGCACCCTTGATTGCTGAATTATCACATCGTTCATGTCAGGGGCCGTATATCTGTCTTGGTTACTACTGTACCTAGTGTCTAGCACCATGAGTAGGTGCTCAGTAAATATTTATTGAATTGGTATATGCATGGTATGTCCTGCCTATGTCCGGGAAACTGTAATACCTCTGATCACTTCAAGCAATAATGATTTTTCTCCTTTCTCTGACCTCTTATGTAGGCTAGACAAATGCACAAACAATAAGGAAAAACAAAGACTAGGATATAGCAACGTTTCAGTCCTGGAAGGCCAGCCTTCCCTCCCCTCCCCTCCCCCTCTTCTCCCCTCCCCTCCCTCCCTGCCTCCCTTCCTTCCTTCCTCCCTTCTTTCCTTCCTCCCTTTTCCTTCCTTTTCTCATCTTTCCTCATCTTAGAAAACATGCATTTTTCTAAGCAGTGGAGATGGAACAGTAGACTAGACAAAGAGGATAACAGCTCATGTGGAGCTTCCACTCTGGAAACATAGAGCAAACGAGAATGAGCAGGAGCTACCAGGAAGGCTGCATGGATGAAGTAGGCTTACAAAATGAGTGAGATTTGGGTATCAAGAACAAAGTCTAAGGGGGCAAGCAAGTAGAGGCAATAATTGGAGGAGTAGGATGGGGTTAGCGGCAAACGTGTGGGAGGAAGACCATGTCAGCTGAACTGGCTGGGAGCAGTTTTGCCTTGGGAAGCAGTGAGCCATTGAAGAGAGAGAGAGATACACGCATGAAACCATGGTCCTGGATTGTCAAGAGTCACAGTGCCCGGAGGAGATAGCATGTGAGCAATTGTCAGGTGGTTCGATCTGTACTCTAGCAGGACTGAGCACAGGGGAATGCTGATGCGGGTGTGGGGCAGAGGAGGAGCAGAGCCACAGAGCTGGAAGGGGAGGGTGCTCTCTGATGGCCATGGACCTTCGATGCCCTGAGGAGGAAGCAAATAATCCCTCAAAGGTTTGTGAGTAGGGGAGTGGCAAGACCAGGGTGATACCTCACAAAGAGAATTTGGGGGGTTGTGTGAGGAATGACTGGGAAGGACAGAGTAGTTGGACAAGGCGATCACACCCAAGATGGTAGGTCATTCAGGAGAGAGATGGCGACAGCCAATGACTGATGGGTGAGGAGGTGGGGCAGGTTACAGAGGCAGTCAGAAGCCACAACAGGTTGTTCATTGTATGCAGGAGATGAGCAAGGGGAGAAGTTTGAAATGAGTGCAGTTTCCAGCTTGAGGGATGAAGCGAATCAGGATGCCATAAACCAGGATTGAGGACACTGCATGCGCTGCCCATGTTGCACAGTGCAGGCATGGCAAGGGGTGGCGTGGAGAGGAGGAAGAGGAGAGCTGCGTTTCAGACACATGGATTTAGAAGTGCCCTGCAGACCTGCTGGTGGAAGGTTCCAGGATATCTTCTAAGTGGACGAAACAGACAGACAGGACAGGGCATTCAGAGCCACAGAATGAATGCAGGAAAGATAACCACAGCTTCTTCCCTTCAGGACACCAAGAGGTGAAGTGGGGAAGATGCCATCCAAGCAGTTTTAGAATGTGGTTATGGGCTTCGCCAATATTCTGCTTTGCGATGCTATGACCTCTACCTGGGGTCCTGGAGTGAAGTCTTCCTCCTAGAGACTGTCTCCAGAAAAACATGCATTTTATATCTGCCTCTTCCTGACATCCCCAACCTCCTGGCACCAATTAATGTATCAGTGGGCCTCAGAAATTTTCACCCAAGATGTTGCTTCTGCTGGGAACATCTGGCAACATCTTTAATTTTATTTGGTTTCTTCCTTTTTTTTCTTGAGGAACATCCTGAAGGGAGCAGATGGCAATGTGAAAGGGCAGATCAATGCTGAGGAAAGTGGCCCTCTTTGCCCTTGGATTCTCAGAGGCGCATTCTCTGTTCCTGAGAGTGGCTATTAGAAGCAAGCTCTTTTTTTTTTTGACAAAGTTTCATTCTTGTTGCCCAGGCTGGAATGCAGTGGCGTGATCTCGGCCCACTGCAACCTCCGCCTCCTGGGTTCAAGAGATTCTCCTGCCTCAGCCTCCCAAGTAGCTGAGATTACAAGCGTCTGTCACCACACCAGGCTAATTTTTTGTATTTTTAGTAGATACAGGGTTTCAGCATGTTGGCCAGGCTGGTCTCAAACTTCTGACCTCAGGATTACAAGTGTGAGCCACCATGCCTGGCCAAGATGGAGTCTTATAATGTAACATAATCATGGGAATAATGTCTACCACCTTTCCCATATTCTACTGATTAGAAGCAAGTCACAGGTCCCACATGCACTTCAAGGGGAGGGAATTACACAAAGGCATGGGCACCAGGAGGCAGAGGTAATTAGGAGCCACCTTAACGTCTCTCCACCATAGCCATGGAATAGTTGTACTCTGACATCTTTTTTTTTCCACTTCTTAAGCTCTTAAGGCTAATTATTTGTGTGTCCCAAATATCTCTGGGGAGTCAGTGCTTGTTTGACTTGTTTACAGCTATATTTCCAGACTTTAGTGCAGAGCCAGGCCCACTGCAGACGCTCCAGAAATGCATACATTTATGCAGCAAATATTTATTGAATGACAACCATGTTCTAGGCACTGTTCTGGGCACTGGGGATTTAACAGCAAACAAAATGAACAAAAATGTGTGCCATCACACAGCCCATATTCTAGTCATTTTGTTGATTGGTTGGTTGACAATCAAATTTTCTATTGCTGCCATATGCCAAGCAGTGTTCTAGGTGCTGGGGATATAACACAGTGGTGAGCAGTCCAACATGCTCCTGACTCCAGGGTCTTGCATTTCAATGGTGATACAACATCTCATCAGATCTGCCCAACAGTTAGGAATCTTTGTTTACAAGCTACAGAAATGGGTGTGGGTTACTTTGGGCAAAGAGTAACTTATTAATATTAGAAAACTACTAGGGTGGCTGGGCATGGTGGCTCATGCCTGTAATCCTGGCACTTTGGGAGGGCAAGGCATTTGCATCACCTGAGGTCAGGAGTTCAAGACCAGCCTGGCTGACATGGTGAAACCTCATCTTTACAAAAATACAAAAATCAGCTCAATGGCAGGTGCATGTAATCCCAGCTACATAGGAGTATTGGGGGAACCCACCCCCAATATTTCAATGTAGGTTCTTTCTATTTTCCCTAGGTGTCAGCTGGTCTGAGAAATAAAGAGAAAGAGTACAAAGAGAGGAATTTTACAGCTGGGCTGCTGGGGGTGACATCACGTATTGGTAGATCCGTGATGCCCACCTGAGCCACAAAACCAGCAAGTTTTTATTAGGGATTTCAAAAGGGGAGGGGCTGTACAAACAGGGAGTAGGTCACAAAGTCACATGCTTCAAAGGGCAAAAGGCAGAGCAAAGATCACATGCTTCTGAGGAAATAGGGCAAGGACAAAATCAAAGATCACAAGGCAAAGGGCAAAATTAGAATTACTGATGAGGGTCTATGTTCAGCTGTGCACGTATTGTCTTGATAAACATCTTAAACAACAGAAAACAGGGTTCGAGAGCAGAGAACTGGTCCGACCTCAAATTTACCACAGTGGGATTTTTTCCCCCACCCTAATAAGCCTGAGGGTACTGCAGGAGACCAGGTTGTATTTCAGTCCTTATCTCAATCACACAGGACAGATACTCCCAGAGCGGCCATTCATAGACCTCCCCCAAGGAATGCAATTCTTTTCCTAGGGTCTTAATATTAAATATTCCTTGCTAGGAGAAGAATTTAGCGATATCTCTCCTACTTGCACATCTGTTTATAGGCTCTCTGCAAGAAGAAAAATATGGCTCTATTCTGCCTGACCCCGTAGGCAGCCAGACTTTATGGTTGTCTTCCCTTGTTCCCTGAAAATCGCTGTTGTTCTGTTCTTTTTCAAGGTGCCCTGATTTCATATTGTTGAAACACACATTTTACAATCAATTTATACAATAGTGGTCCTGAGGTGACATACATTCTCAGCTTATGAAGATAACAGGATTAAGAGATTAAAGTAAAGACAGGCATAAGAAATTATAAGAGCATTATTTGGGAACTGATAAATGTCCATGAAATCTTCACAATTTATGTTCCTCTGCCGCAGCTCCAGCCGGTCCCTCCATTCGGGGTTCCTGACTTCCTGCAACACAGGAGGCTGAGGCAGGAGAATCGCTTGAACCTGGGAGGCAGAGGGTGCCGTCAGCCAAGATGGCGCCACTGTACTCCAGCCTGGGCAAGAGAGCTGGACTCCTTCTCAAAAATAAAGAAGACTATTAGGGTATAGTGGCAGAGGGGAGAGAATTCAGGAGACACTGTTGGTTGTCTAATGCCTAAACTATCTCTCTCATTGCCTTTTTCCTTGATAGTAAAGCCCTGATTATATGCATGTGTTCATAGAATTAATCAATCTTTATACTGCTAAACCTTTGAGCTTCCAGTCCTGTGAGATAATACAATCTCCATATTATTTTCAGAAAGCTGTTATTTGCAACCACACACAGCCTAACTGATGAGAAGTGTTGGCATGAGGTTTAGAAATAGGCAGAGACCATGAAAGTTTGGGATGACTGAGGTGCAGAATGCAGAAAGCACAGCATTCTTATGACCCAAATTAGTTACTCTTCCACCCAGAACACCCGAAATGGGAAAGCAAGGTTTTTGTAATTAAAAATACAGTTGTAATTAAGAGAGAAAATTGCTTCTGGGAGACAAAATTGAACAGCTATGGATTATACTCTGTAAAGTAAAGTTGTGATGGACCAGCACTTGCTAAGAGTGACACCTGGCCTCTTTGGAGACTGTGTAGTGTGGTGGGAAGAAGCCTGGATCAAGAGGCTTAATTTTTTTTTAATTACAGATAGTAAAATAGATCACCTTTATGGGGGTGTACAATGGTAAGAGTTTTAACACATAGACGTGACTACAGTCAAGATGCAGAACAGTTATATCACCCCAGAAAATCCCTCATGCATACCTTCATAGTGAAACCCTCACCCTGTCCTGATCCTTAGCAACCACTGATCTGTTCTCTGTCCTTACAGTTTTGCTTTTCATATGTATGGAATCATAGGGTGTGCAGCAACCTTTGTCTCTGGCTTTTTTCACTCAGCCTTTGAGATTCATGTTGCTGTGTGCATCAGTAGTTTGTTCCTTTTTATTGCTGAGTAGTTTTCCATTGTATAGGTGTACCACGTTTTTTAATCCATTGAAGAATATTTAGGTTGTTTCCAATTTTGAGTGGTTATGGAGAAAACTCCTATAAACATTCATATGCAGGGTTTTGTCTGAAGACAAGTTTCTATTTCTGTAAATACCTAGGAGTGAGATAACTGGATAATATATTAAGTGTATGCTTAACTTTGTAAGAAGCTACCACAATTATTTTCCAGAGTGATGTGCTATTTTGCCTTCCAACCAGCAATGAGTAAGAGAGTTCATTACTACATCCTCAGCAGCACTTGCTATCGTCAGCTTGTTTTTTCCTTTTTTTTTAAAGTTATTCTAATAGGCGTACGGTAGTGTCACATTGTGGCCCTAATTTGCATTTCCCTAATGACTAATGATGTTGATCATCTTTTCATCTAATTATTTGCCATCCACATATTTTCTTTGTGAAGTGTGTTCAAATATTTGCCCACTTTTTAATTGAGTTGTTTTCCTTATTGTTGAGTTTTGAGTTATTTAAATATTCTGGGTACAAGTAGTTATGTAATTTGTAAATGACTTCTCCTTTTCTGTAGTTTGTTTTTTCATTCTCTTACCTGTCTTTTGCAGAGGAAAATCTTTTTAGTGAAGTCCAGTTAATTACCTTTTTTCTTTTATTGTGTTTTTTTTGGTACAAAAAATGTCTAAGATCTCTTTACCTCACCTAAGGTCACAAAGTTTTTCACCGTATGTAGTCTTTTAAAAATTTTATAGTTTTATATTTAAGATCTGTGGTCTATTTTGAGTTAATTTTTGTATAAGGTGTGAGATATATATCAGTGTATTTTCTCCTTCCTCCTTCCCTCCATTCCTTCTTTTCTTTCTTTTTTCTTTCCTTCCTTCCTTTTTTTTTTTTTTAAAGAAAGTTAAGTCTCTTTTTCCTCCTTTCTTGGGCAGAGGTGTGTTCAATTGTTCCCACACCATTTGTTGAAGAGGCTATTCTTTCTCCATTGAATGGCCTTTGCACCTTTGTCAAAAATTAATACACTCTATTTATATGGGTTTATCACTGGACTCTCCATTCTGTTTCATTGATCTATGCGTCTATCTTTGTCTAATACTGTGCCATCTTGATTACTATAGCTTCATAGTAAGTCTTAAAATCAGATAGTATGCAATGGAACAGAATAGAGAATCCAGAAATAAAGCCACGCACAGCCATCTAATCTTTTACAAAGTTGGCAAAAATGAGCAATGGGGAAAGAACTCTCTATTCAATAAATGGTGCTAGGATAGCTGGCTAGCTATATGCTGAAGAATGAAATTGGACCCCTACCTTTCACCATATACAGAAATTAACTCAAGATGCATTAAAGACTTAAATGAAGACCTCAAACTATAAGAATTCTAGAAGAAAACCTAGGAAACACCATTCTAAAAATCAGACTTGGGAAATAATTTATGACTAAGTTCTCAATAGGAATTGCAACAAAAACAAAAATTGACAAGTGGGACCTAATTAAACTAAATAGCTTCTGCACAGCAAAATAAATCATCAACAGAGTAAGCAGACAACCTAAAGAATGGGAGAAAATATTTGCAAACTATGTATCTGACAAAGATCAAATATTCAGAATCTATAAGGAACTTAAACAACTGAACAATCAGAAAACAAATAACTCTAATAAAAATGGGCAAAGAGCATGAACAGACACTTCTCAAAAGAAGACACACAAGTGGCCAACAAACATATGGAAAAATTCTCCACTTCACTAATCATCAGAAACATGCAAATCAAAACCCACAATGAGATATCATCTCATACCAGTGAGAATGGCCATCATTAAAATAATTTTTAGAAAATAGATGTTGGTGAAGCTGCAGAGAAAAGGGAATGCTTATGGACTGTTGGTGGGAATGTAGTTAGTTCAGGCATTGTGAAAAGCTGTTTAGAGATTTCTCAAAGAACTTAAAACAAAACTACCATTCAACCTAGCAACCCCATTACTGGGTATCTACCCAAAATAAAACAAATCATTCTACCAAAAAAGCACATGCCCTTGCATGTTCATCACAGCACTATTCACAACAGTAAAGGCATGGAATCAACTTAGCTGCCCATCAACAGTGTATTGGATACAGAAAATATGGTACATACACACCATGGAATACTATGCAGCCATAAAAAGGAAAGAAACTATGTTCTTTTACAGCAACATGGCTGAAGCTGTACACCATTATCCTAAGGAACAGAAAACCAAATACTGCATGTTCTCACTTATAAGTGAGAGCTAAACATTGGTACTCATGGACACAAAGATGGCAACAATAGACACTGAGGACTACTAGAAGGGGAAGGGAGGGAAGAAGGGGGACAAGGATTGAAAAACTAATTTTTGGGTACTATGTTCAGTACCTGGGTGATGGGATCATTTGTACTCCAAACCTCAGCATCATGCAATATACCCAGGTAACAGATCTGCACGTATACTCCCTGAATCTAAAATAAAAGTTGAAAAAAAAAGCAGACAGTATGAGATTCTCCAACTTTGTTCTTTTAAAAAAGGTTTTTGGCTATTTTGACTTTCTTTGTAAATGTTACAATTAATTTGTCTATATCTATAAAAATTCATGCTGGGATTTTGATTGAAATTGCATTAAATATCTGGATCATTTTGGGAGAGAACTGGTATCTTAACCATGTTGAATTTTCCAATACATGAGCACAACATGTCTCTTCCATTATTAGATCTTATTTAATTTCTTTCATCATTGTTTTGTAGTTTTCAGCATACAGATCTTGCATACATCTTTGTTAGATTTATATCTATGTAGCTAGTTTTTCTGAAACTATTGTACATGTTATTTTTTAATATTCCAGTTTTCAACTGCTCATATCTGGCATGTAAACAACTCTTGACCTTGCTAAACTCAATAGTTCTCATTTTTGTTTTTGCGTTTTTTGAAGATAGAATTCTTTGGGATTTTCTATGTATACAGTTCTGTTATCTATGAATAAAGAGGATTTTCTTTCTTTCTTTCCCAGTTCTGTGTCTTTTTTGGTTTTGGCCTTATTACCTACGACAGGATTTTCACGACAAATTGGAGAATTGGAGTTGTGTGAGTGAACATCTTTTTCTTGTTTCCTATCTTAGGATGTAAGCATGTATTTTTTTTTTTTCATCATTAAATACGATGTTGGCTGTAGTTTTTTTGTGGATGTCCTTTATCAGGTTAAAGAAGTTCCATTTTATTCCTAGTTTTCTGAGAGTTTTTATCATGGATAAATGTTGAGTTTTTAAGAATGCTTTTTTTTTGTATCAATTGGTAAGACCATGCAATTTTTCTTCTTTAATCTGTTAATATGGAAGATTACAGTGACTGATTTTCAAATGTTGAACCAGCTTTGCATTCCTGGGATAAACTGCATCTGGCCATGATACATTATCCTTTTAATATATTACTGGACTGGATTTGCTAATATTTTGGTGAGAATTTTTGTGTCTATATTCATGAGAGATATTGGTCTGTAGGTTTCTTGTATCGTCATTTTCCGGTTTGGGGATCAAGGTAGTTCTGGCCTCTTAAAATAAGTTAGAAGTGTTTCCTCTTCTATGTTTTTGGAACAACATGTGTAGAAAATTTTCTTTAAATGTTTGCTATAATTCACAGAGAGACAATCTGAGTCTGCAGTTTTCATTTTCAGATGATTTTAAGCTATAATTTCAATTTCTTTGTGGATAATGGGCTACTTAGTCTATTCTGGATGAGTTTAGTAATTTGTGGTTTCAAGGACTTGAGCAATTTTATCTAAGCTGTCAAATTTGTATGTATATGGCTGTTCATAGTATTTTCTCATTAAACTTTTAACATCTGTATAATCTGTAGTGAAATTTTCTCTTTAATCCCAAATAATAGTAATTTGTGTTGTTTCTATTTCTTTGAGACTCTGGCTAGACTTTTATCAATTTTATTAATTTTTTCAAACAACCAATTTTGTTTTTTTTATTTCTCTATTTTTCTGTTTCTTAAATTTCATTGATTTCCACTCATTAGTATCTCCCTTTTCTTCTGCTTGCTTTGGATTTTTTATCTCATTTAGTTTTTTTAAAAGATAAATACTAGGTTGTTAATATGAAACCTTTACTTTATTAAATATAAGTGTTTAATGTTGTACCTTTGTCTTTAAACATTGCTTTAGCTGCATCCCATAAATTTGACATGCTGTGTTTTATATTTGTTCAATTATTTGTTCAAACTATTATTTAATTCTCCCTGAGATTTCTTTCTGACCTACGGATTATTTAGAAGTATGTTGTTTATTTAATATCTATATACTTGAATATTTTTTTCCAGATATCTTTGTTACTGATTTCTAGTTTAATTCCAAGAGGCCTGCGTTTTGAGCCTCATATCCTAGAGCTGGAGGTAGAAATTGGGGCTAGCTTTGGGAATAGGTACAGCAAACTCTTTAGAAATGTTTATACCCTTTGACTCAACATTTCCACCTCTTTGCTCATATCCTAAGGAAATATTTATTAATGTAGACATAAATTTGAGTAATTCCCCCAAATCTGAAACAAACCCAGATGCCAAACAGTAGGAGACTAAATTATGATAATCCAAACAGTGGAATATTATGCAGCCATTAAAACTTATGCCTCTAATCCCAGTGCTTTGGGAGCCTGAGGCAGGAGGATTGCTTGAACCTAGGAGTTCAAGACCAGCCTGGGAAACAGAACAAGACCTTGTCTCTACAAAAAATAGAAAAATTAGCTGGGCATGGTAGTGCACACCTGTAATCCCAGTTACTTGGGAGTCTGAGGCAGGAGGATCCCTTGAGCCCAGAAAGTTGAGGCTGCAATGAGCTATAATTGCACCACTGTACTACAGCCTGGGCAATAGAGGGAAGTCCCTACTCTTAAAAAAAAAAAAAAAAAAAAAAAAAAGACTCATCCTGAGGTCAATGTGGAGCATCATGGGAAGGAGCTAATGATCTATTAAGTACTGGGTTTTAGGTCAACTCCCGTTAATCTCAATGAAATAACAAACTTTGCCTCTCTTGTTTATTGGTTTTTCTTTAGTGCCTGGAACATAGCACATACTCAGAAATATTTTAGTAAATAAATAAGGAGGATGAAAGTATATTTCCCCACCTCATTATTGAGATATACGTGTGTGTACACCTGGTTCTGCTTTTATTTTATTTTATTTATTTATTTATTTTTTGGGGACAGAGTCTCACTCTGTTACCCAGGCTGGAGTGCTGGTGTGATCCCGGCTCACTGCAACCTCTGCCTCCTGGGTTCAAGTGGTTCTCCTGCCTCAGCCTCCCAAGTAGCTGGGATTACAGGCGCCTGCCACCATGCCCGGCTAATTTTGTATTTTTAGTATAGCTGAGGTTTCACCATGTTGGCCAGGCTGGTCTCAAACTCCCGCCCTTAGGTGATCTGCTCACCTCGGCCTCCCAAAGTGCTGGGATTACAGGAGTGAGCCACCGCGCCTGGCTGTTCTGCTCTTTTTATGTGAGTTGCATTCTTGTTCCTCACGCTGGCTATATGTCATAAGCATGTTTTCCCTTCTTTTCCCTGTGATTCATTCCAGATCCATTTCAGCTGACACCCGGACACTTCTCCACATTTGCGGAGTGAGTCCTATTTGGGAGGTATTCACAGTCATCATCTTTGATCACTAATTACGTACAACATCCTTACAACTAGCAGGTATAAGTAACCTCATTTTTCTGAAGAACAAATGCAGACAAACGTCACTGCCTAAAGGTCTGGGGTAAGTGAATGGCAGAGAAGCGTCTTGGGCCAGGATGTCCTGCTTCCAGCCCAGTGTCCTTCCCTTCACTCCCCATCCCAGCAGCCCTGGCCTACCCGAGACAAGGGCTCGGGAGCGTCTGGGACCCCAATTTCATCAGAGGTGTCTAGCTTACCAGTGCCACGTGAAATGCCACAGTGGCTCTACAATCTTGCTGGTTCCTATGTTTCCCAAATACCAAAAGGGCACAGTCTTCCATAGCAACTAACAGTCTGAAAATGTAATGACTTTTTAAAAATCTTGGGCAACTGGGCCACTTGTGCTTTGCTGCTCTCTAGCTTATGTAAAACCACATAAAATACTGCAAGTGCACTCAGAAACCCTCAGCAGGCTCCAGTGAAAATAAAATGGGCTTGAGGGTGAACTGATCAAAAATTTTGGCCCTGTCACTGCGTGAACTCAGGCACATTACTGAATCTCTCTGAAAGTCACTTGCCTCATCTGATAATTGTGATAAGTGGGCGTTAAAGGTAGTATTACAGTGAAATGATGAATGTCTTGTGCCTGGAAAATAGTAAGGGCTCAGTAAAGGGGATTTGCGCTATAACTCTCCTAGTCGGCAAAGATGCTCTAAATTCCTAAGTGTCCGACTTTTAAGGGAGGAGTACTCCAGTGGAACCGGAGTGAGCTCTGCCTGTTCCGGACCTGCTTTGCCTGTTTGACTTACTTCCCTCTTGTCTTTTCTTCCTTCCCCAAGATCTTGCACAGTCTCAACAAGAGTCCCTGATGGTAGGTGAGATCTTGCGGCTTCACCAGCCTAACTTCTGAGATGAGGGACGTGAGTGGAGCTTTTCACCTGCTCCAGATCTGCTCTGAATGGTCTTTGTTAAGTGTATGAATTGATACTAGAGACTGTTGAGAGACACTTACATTTGGGGAACTTTTTCTGAGGCTGAGAAACTGGAAGACTCCTTGGCTCTGAAGGAGAATTTCAGAGCTGGTTGTCCACACTCACCACAGGCCAAGGCTCCATGGGGGAAGGACAGTGTGGATACTGGAGGCCCAACTCCCTTGCCTAGCACCGTCTCCTGCCCTTGTGTCTCCCCAGCATCTGAGACCTTCCTCCATTGCAACAGCACCCCCCAACTGGTAGCATAAGCACCTGGATTTATTTCCACTGTCCCAGCAGACTAGGAGCATCCTGAGAGTAAGGGCTGTGGCTCGCTCATCTCTCTATGCCCAGCACAGAGTTTAGTGACTCTTCCCTGAAAGAAGGAATGAAAGATGAGTTCATTTGAATCCTGAACTGCAGGCCACTGGGTGTAAAAGGAAAGCAAAGCTCTCGCCCACCCACCCACACCTGAAAATGTGGATCCTTCAAACAAGTTTAGCAAACAGGCTTTGTTCTCAGGTACAGAGACAGCGTGACATTGTGTGAGTTGCTCTTCCTTTCCCTCTGTCTCTTTAGTGTCTGAGCAAAATGTTCTGCTTTTCATTGTCGCTCTTCAAACAGCATGTTATTGTCATGCTTCTGCCTCCTTTTAATAAAGAGGAATGAGGAGGGTTTTCTTGTACACGCAAAATTAACACAAATCAAAACTGCTGCTGTTCTTTGATCCGTCCTGGACTCTGATTCGTGTCAGCCTTTTCATTTTCCCACTGAGAGTGTACAGCTCAGGAAGGATTACACGGGGAGGAAAACCGCTTACCACTTCCCATTTGATTAACACAATTTAATGCAGCAATAATGCCAGGGAAGTTCATTACCAGGGAAAAGCTCTGATGCAGGCTGCCCACAGTGTCTGGGGACGGGGTCTTTTTATTTAAAATGCAATCAAGCCCCTATGGTGAGTGGATCCGTGAAATCCTTCCTAAGCTGGGGAAGGTGGAATTGCCATTTAATGTAGACAGACAAAAATCCCTCCTGTTTGTACAGCTTTTGACAATTTATTCACGCTGTCTACGAATATTTAGTGTGGCTTCTTATGCTCAAAACCTTGGGATGAAGAAAACTGAAAGGGACTGTACCCTCATTGTGCTTACAGCCTAGAAGGGGAAGTGGACATTTTTCAAAGACGAGCACATTGCTGACAGGTCAGGATGTCATGAAGGGGTCGCGCTGGGAGTGTGGGAGCAGGTGGTGCAGCACCTGTCTGGGAAATCAGGGAAAACCACCCTGAGGAGGTGACATACAGGCCAAGCTCAGAAGCATGAGTAAGAGTTGATGTGGAACAAACACAAAGGGGAGAGGTAGAGCTCTTGAAGTTAAGAAACTCCTGTGTGAGTTGCGAGGCAGCAGGAGCCTGGCCCGCTAGCAACACTGTCAAGTTGTCCATGTGCCTGGGGCAGATGGGGCAGGGGACAGATGGGGATGGCACCGGAGAAGAGTTTTGACGTACCCAAGGCCCCAGGCTGCCTCCTTCTTGCTCTGTGGCAGCCTGGTGTGAACAACGTAGAGTCTCCCTCATGGCCAAGGAAAGATCAGGAATGTGTGCTCTCTCAGCCTGGGCAAGATGGCGAAACCCCATCTCTATAAAAAATAAAAAAAATTAGCCGGGTGTGGTTGGCGCACGCCTGTGTTCCCAGCTACTCAGGAGGCTGAGGTGAGAGGATTGCTTGGGCCTGGAAGTTGGAGGCTGCAGTGAGCTGTGTTCAAACCACTGCACTCTTGCCTGGGTGACAGAGTGAGATCCTGTTTCAAAAAAAAAACAAAGAAAGAAAGAAGGTGAGAGACAGAGAGAGGGAGAGAAAGAAAGGAAGGAAGGAAGGAAGGAAAAGAAAGAAAGAGGAAGAAAGGAAGGAAGAAAGAAAGAAAAAAAGGAAGGAAGGAAGGAAGGAAGAAAGAAAGAAAGAAAGAAAGAAAGAAAGAAAGAAAGAAAGAAAGAAAGAAAGAAAGAAAGAAAGAAAAGAAATCTGTGGCCTGCAACTCAGAGCACCCCCTGCTTCTCAGCCCCACGGGGACCCTCCTCAGCTCCTAGGATGGGAAGACGACGGCCTAGAAGGTCCAGGCTGGAAGCCCATCCTGAGTTATCTGGTTCACTTGTGTCTCAGTTTCTGCCTCTGCAAAATGAGCTCACTGGGGTCACTCTTTGCTTGCCTTGCAGCACTATTGGATGGACAACCTAAGATAGGAGACTCAAGCAGTTTCACAGAGTTCTGGAGAAATATCAGGGCTAATCAATGGTAACCACTGGCAGAACCTGCAGGGTGGGAACCAGATCGGCGCTGGCTGGGCATGAGGAAGGTGCCTTGAACTACGTGGAGATTGGGAAGATTCTGCCTGACTTCCAGGAATAGATTTGAGTCTTGTGAGGAACTGGGGCTCTGAAATCATCCTTGTGTCACCATAGGCTAAGATATGTTGCAGTAAAAACAAACCTCAAGTCTCTTAGTGCCACAGAAGCTTATTTCTTGTTCACATGAACCTGGCTTCAGGTCTGGGCAACCATCCAGGGCCACCGTCCTCGATACCATGGGTCAGCTGTCCAGGGGAGGGAGGCTGCGGCTGACTGCCACAGGTCATCAGAGTCTCACCCCACCTGGAAGTGACATGGTCCTTCCACACTCATTGCAGCGGCCAAAGCGGGTCACATGGCCATACTCATGCTCAGGGGGCAGAGGCACTCCATGGTCCTGCGTGGCTGAAAGAAGAGGAAAGTGGGAAGTTTGGGAGAGCAGCGCTCACAGCTACTGTCCTCCTCTTGGGACTCCTCAGCTGTGTTCACAGGACTCCAGACACTGTCCATTCCCAGCCCTCCCTCGACTCAGGACAAAAGCCAGACCCTGCTGTAATGAAGGAGCTTTCCAGTTGGGCCCCCACTGTGTGTCCAGCCCACTCTCCCGGCAGCACCAGTGCCAGCCAGACTCAACTGCTTTAAGTGCCCTCCCCCTGCTTCCTTTCCTCCGTGGCTCTCAGCCAGCTGCTTCCACTTTTGGAACCCATTCCTTGACTTCACAGAATAATCCCTACTGAGGGCAAGCATCCCTGCTTTGCAAACCTGCCCTGCCCCGCCCCTGCTCTTCCTCTCTCCACCCCCAGCCTGGGCCAGCTGCTTCTCCTCCAGTCCTGACAGCGTTCAGGCCACTCTGCCACCTGCCCCCACAGCCCTGACCATGGGCATCCTGCCTCCTTAGCCCACATGCCTCCTTTGACCCCATAACATTTATCACCTTTTAACACACTACATATTTGTTTGTTTCTTATGCACGCTGTTTGTTTCCTGTCTTCTCTTCTGGAATCTGGACTCCACAAGGCAGGGATCTTGCTCTCTTTCATTCACAAATGCATCCCACATGCCTAGCATGGGGCCCGGCACTTATTAGGTGCTCAAGAAATATGTGCTGAGTGTCCCCAGGGAATGCCCAGCCATGCCTTGGCTCCCCCAGCTGTCTAGTCCCAGAGCATAGAAGCCTCTCTTTCCAGATCATCTTGCTTGCATTTAGAGGCAACTAAAACCCCTCTGAAAATGAAGGATCTCCTGGTCAGCGTGTCTGCCCATCAGGACATTAATAGTAAATGACAATGCCTCACTGAGGCCCACTGAGAGGAAGGGAATTGTTGAAGGGTGTTGCCACCATGGCTGCCTGCCTCTGGCCAGGGAAGTCAAAGGAAAGGCCGGGAGAGGCCTGATGAGCAGCCCAGTGGGAGGGAAGCCCAGGAGAACAGGGTCTCCAATCCCTGAATAATCCTTAAAAGGAGAGAAAGACCAGCTCTTTCTCATTTCCCCTGAATGGCAATGGCAGAGGCTGTCTTGAGGAAGTACAGATTGCTCTGATTACCAGATTTGAACCAGAAAATTAAAGTAGAGGCTAGCGATATAAAGAAAAAGACACACAGGCCAGGGGCGATGGCTCACACCTATTATCCCAGTGCTTTAGGAGGCCAAGGCAGGAAGATTGCTTGAGGCCAGGAGTTTGAGACCAGCCTGGGCAATGTAGCAAACCCCTTTTCTACAAAAAAGTTTAAAAATTAGCCGGACGTGGTGGCGCACACCTATAGTCTCAGCTACTTGGGAGGCTGAGGTGAGAGGATTGCTTGAGCCCAGGAATTCGAGGCTGCAATGAAATTGGGCTTCACTTTGTGGTCTTGGGTGGAGGGGACCAGACTGAGGGCTTGTCGAAGTTTTCTTACTATTTCCTATCGGTGTGAATTCAGCTTTCTCATCCTGTACATAACTGTCACATGCAATCTTAGGAACGCACTTTACTTCCCTCTTGCAGGCAGAAGACACATCTGTAATCAGCCTCCTCTGTTGGAGAGAAAATACCTGCATGAGCGAAGCGAATTGAATAGGGGGAGGAGAGCCTCTTTTTGCCAGCTGAGAGCCTGAGCCTGGCTCTGTGGAGCCACCTGGGCCTTGCATGGTGACAGGAACTCTTTGCTGACAAGCCCTTAGTCTGTGGGAAGGTTTATCTGCCAGCGCTTTAATAAACTCTTCATTATAGCAGCTCAAACCTGGTGACCTTTACCCTCTGTGGGGGCCTCCATGTGTCACGCACTATTTATTCACTGCCTCGAGACTTCCAGTCAGGAAGGTCGAGACCTGCTGTAATTTGATAAGCATTTGGGATGTCAAAGTACAGAATCCAGCTTCTTTTCTCCTTTGGACAACAGAAATAGTGTGCTGATGTTTGGTGTTTCTTCCTCTCCCATTCCTCTGCAGTAGTGATTATACTCTCATGGCTTTCTTTCTTTTGGTTTGTCACATCTGTGGATGAAAGGGAGAGATGGGCTTGGGTTTGGCCTCTGGAAGCATGTGAAGAGTTAGTCCTAACGTTGTGTCTTCTGTTTGCGTGATGCTCTGACCTTCCCAAGGGCCTCCACGTCTGTGTTTTGTCCTTACAGCTTCCCGGCCAGGAAAAGCAGGACAAGGCGTGTTCTATTTGCAGATGGAGCTGTTCAGGCTCAGAGAGGAGCTGTGATCTGCCTTAGCATCCAGAATGAGCTAAAGACAGACTTAGTGAGAACCCAGCTTGCCTGGATTCTGTTTACTAAGGTGTCTGGCAAATATTTAGTGAGTTGTTACCCTGTGCCAGGCATTTTTCTAGGGGCTGGAGAGATGCTGATGCAAAAACAGACAAGGTCTGTGCTTGAGTAGAGTATCCATCTGAAAGTAGAGGTAGATTTAGGATATTCTCATACTTTTCTGCCAAATGGTTGTGTTTTCCTAATTTAACTTTAAAACAAGGCTTAGGATGTAGCACTGTCACTTGGAGTCTCTCTTTCTTTCTCTGTTTTTCCTTTTCTCCCCTTTTCTCCTTCTTTTCCTCTTTCTCTTCCTTTTTCTTTTCTATTAGGACCTGCTGCGGAGGGTGGGGGGGGGTACAAATTTATTGCCACAACTGTCTACTTCTTTTCTTTCTTTCCTTCCTAATGATTTCAATACTTTTTGATACAATGCACCAAAGGCTTTTCTTGCACGGGAACAAAAGGTGAAATGTTAATATGATTTTATCTGGGCTCAGATTGGATAAGGAAGACCTTTTGTTTCCTACCTTTCATCTTCAAGTCGGCACTCGTTAATTAAATCAAGCCTGTGGAAAGTGACCTTTGGGGGATGGAGACTCCTGAGAATAGAATATTTTAATCAAAAATGGGCAATAAATAAATAAGCAAGAAAACAGCGGTTAGACAAGAAACACTCTGAAAACTTTCAGATGAGGGCTCTTGAAGGAAAGGTAATTTGCTTTTTTGGGGGGTGGTGAAAGTTCATACTTAGGTTATGAGCCACGACGGTCCTGCAAATGGGGCCACTTGGACAAAATCATTCACCCTTCCTTCCATACATCCTAGAACAGGGAACAGGCCCCTGCTGATTTTACACCCCCAAGACCACCATGGTGCTTTTCTTGCAGTCGGATTGCAAAAGGGGAAGCCCCATTTCTCTGAGCCCTTGCCTTACCTGGCCACAAGGGGGCGTAAAAGAGACCCTTTTTTTTTTTTTTTTTTTTTTTTTCCCTCTGCGTGCAGAGGTAACCTGTGAGGCTGCGCACCTCTGGGCCAGGTGTGGCTGATGGATGACTCGGTCCGCTGGGTTTGGGCGGACTAAAAGGGCGCTGGACATCTGCCTGCTCATGGGAGTCAGCCTCACCCCAAATCTGAAAATTCATTATGCTGGGGCAAGACAGGCTTCCGCTGTACAGGAAATAAATGGATGGGAGGACTGTGGCGGGTGAAAGTGTGGGCTTTGGAGGCTCTGGGACTTATTTGCTGTGTGATTTTAAGTGCACTAGTTAGCTTTTTTGAGTCTCAATTTCGTAAACTATAAAATGGGGATAATAATCTCACTTTATAAGGTTCATGAGAGGAGTCCATGAAATTATAAATATAATAAGTTGGCATGAAAGTGACGGGTACTCAATGCAGAATGGTCATTATGATGGCTCTGTCCCTCCGCAGCCCCACCCTGCCCACAAAATGTGCTGCCTGCAGAGAATCCAGGCATATCCCACTGCCTTTTTCATATTTTAACAGAAAGTTCTACTTAAATATACAGTAAGTCTTCTAATGGAAGTTGTCTTTTTTTCTTTTTTTTTTTGAGACAGGGTTTCACTCTGTCACCCAGGCTGGAGCACAGTGGCACAATCACAGCTCACTCCAGCCTCTAGTTCCCAGCCTCAGGCGATCCTCCCATCTCAGCCTCCCGAGTAGCTGGGACCACAGGCACATGAAACCACTCCTAGCTAATTTTTCTATATTTTTTTTTGTAGAGATGGGGTTCCTCCATATTGCCCAGGCTGGTCTCAAACCCTTGGGCTCAAGTGATCTGCCTCCCTTGGCCTCCCAAAGTGTTGTGATTACAGGCATGAACCACTGTGCCTGGCCAGAAGCAGTCTTTGAATCTAAATATATACATATGTGTGTGTATATATATTTATTCATGCATGCATTAACTACTGAGTGCCTAGCATGTGCCAGGTACTCTGGAGGCGCTGGGCATAAAATTGAGAGCAGAGAGCAAGCCCAGTGCCTGCCCTCATGGAGCTCCCAGTCTAGGCCAGTAATGTTCAATAGAATGTTCTGTGGTGATAGAAATACTTATCTGTGATGTCCAATATGGTAGCCATTAGCCACATGTGGCTACTGAACACTTGAATTGTGGTAGTGACAGGAAGTGTATTTTCATTTTAAATAGTCACACATGACTAATGGTTACTCTATTGGATGGTAGAGGTCTAGAGGAGAAACATGAAAATGTTTAGCACAGAGCCTGGCATACAGTCAGTATTCAATAAGTGCATCTTTCCTTTCCCTCCCTCCACTATGTGGCACCTGGTACCATGTTTGTTAACTCCTCTGCTGCTGTTACATGTTCTTAAGGATGAGTAAGGTCATCTCAAACAGACTCTAGAAAGATAGGCCTCACCGGGAGGCGGAGCTTGCAGTGAGCCGAGATCCCGCCACTGCACTCCAGCCTGGGCGACAGAGCGAGACTCCGTCTCAAAAAAAAAAAAAAAAAAAAAAAAAAAAAAAAAAAAAAAAAAAGAAAGATAGGCCTCAGTGTGGATTATTTATATGTGTCTTCCAGGATTTTGCACACAGTAAGTGCTCTTTAAATGCCTATTAAAGAGACAATATGGTGTAAGAAAGGGAACATGCTTTGGCACTAAGAAGAAATAAATTTATATCTTGGCTCCATCACTCAGCCGCTGCACAACCTGAACAAGTTACTCAAGCTGTCTGGGTCTCAGCTTTCTCTCTGTTCAATGGGGTGATGATGGGCTACTCTGTGGGGGTAGTTGTGAAAACAGATGAACTCATGCATGAAAAGAACCCAGCATGGATCCTTACACAAAGCTGCTCTCCAAACAGGAGAAAGCCAACCAGAAGACAAATGATGATGCTTCTTTGGATGTTCCCAGCTTCACAGATGTGGGCCCTGTAACCATATTCAATGAGTGTGACTCTGTTGTCCTGGCTGTGATGACTTGCTGAGGGATTAGCATCTGATTCTAGATAAACAAATCATATTACTTACCTGTTTGTTGTTGTTGTTATTTATTTATTTATTTTTACAGTAGATCTAAGGGGAG
This sequence comes from Homo sapiens, assembly GCF_000001405.40. NCBI lineage: Eukaryota > Metazoa > Chordata > Mammalia > Primates > Hominidae > Homo > Homo sapiens. The sequence goes on from NC_000016.10 coordinate 49,002,846, forward strand.
AAGTTCATCTCTTCTCTGCTGGTCCCAACCACAAGAACTTCTCATTACCAAGTTACCCCTTAGGTGGAGGAAGCTGGTCTGCAGTAAGAAATAATAAAATCAACAACGCATGCAAGAGAAACTGTAATACATAGTGGGAAAAGGCATGTAAGTCCTGGAAATGTTCACGCCCTGACCCCTGACCCCTGATCCAGCCTGCAGACCCAGCAGAAGCCCTCCCAGGTCACAGGAGGCTCCTTACTCATCCTTCACAGACATTCTCCTTTCTGCCTGAGCAGATTTGAGCTGGGTTTCTCTCACTTGCAATGAAACAATTTCTAATCAAAACAGCAATCATCCAGACATGCCGTCTGTCTTCTATTCATCTGCATCCCATCAGAACTTTGCCTTGAATTCTGTCCTGCCTTCTCTTCCCACATCTGCTGTGGCATAACTCAGAACCTGGAGTGGTTTCGGGGCTGGGGAGAGTGCTATGTCCCTGGGAGTTAATTAGGGCAGTTGGAGTCATTTTCTGTAGTGTTTATGTGATGTTGCCTCAGGACAATTTAGTAGCAAAAGAGCAAATGCAGGTGTCTCTGAAGTGCCCCTCAGAGAGGCAGCCCCATGTGTGCAGCAGAGAGCAGGCTGAATCAGGAGACAGAAACACAGGTACAACGTCCCCGCCTGAATGCTCGCCAGTATGAACTTGGACAAGTCATGGCCTGGGCCTCAGTTTCCTTGCTGGCAAAATAGAGGTGATAATATATCATGCATGTCTCATGGCAAGTGCTGTGTGTTTAGATAGAATTCATAAATTCAACACACCTTTATGGAGGGGCTGCCCTGAGCCTGGCACTGTGTGTCCATGCAGAGCATTTTGAGAACTGTAGGCTCTCATCCATCTTCATCCCCCCTCCGTTAAGGAAGAACTGGGAGGTGCATCTGGGGAGGACAATCTTTACCTGTCCTTTCTCAGATATCAGATGAACCAAGGAGGCAGTGGTCTCATAGCAGTCTCTTAACTTACGTGACAACCAAACGGCTTCCTCCTGAGACCAGCTCACATCTTGGGCTCACCTTTCCCTGAGATGATCACCCCAGCAGGCGCCACCCACTCTGTTCCCTACTGCTGAGTGTGGAGGCCTCCTTCCCTTTCTGGAGATCCAGAAACAAGAGGCTTGCTTCTCCCACAGTCGTATAGTTTCTTGCCCCTGTCTTCCCTTTCTCAACTGGCCAAAGCCAGGATCATTTTTGCCTTGGGCCCTGTTGCGTCTTGACCTTACATGGTCACGGTTTCTGGGTCCTTCTCTGAGTATTCCCAGCTGCAGCTGGCTGGCTCCAGGCATGAGCAAAGCCACACAAACTGAGAGCTGGCAGCCCTGCCTGGGTCCTGGTCCTGGCTTTGCTCTCAGACCTTGGGCACGTCATATCTCACACTGCCTGCTCCTCAGAGTCCTCATCTATAAAACAGGGATAAAAATACCTGCCCTTCTGACCTCACAGATAGGAAATTAGATTAGAGCTGTGAGATGCAGCAAAGCACTATGTGACTGCAAGGTGCTAGTATTATTTTTTATATAACCTTAAAAATCTTATTACAAAAGAGATATATGCTTATAGGAGAAAACTTAGAAAATGCAGATAAGAGAATGATGAAAATAAAAATGGTCTGCCATCCCATCATCAACAGAGGAATGTGTAAATAATTCAGTGGATATCATTCTAAGATCTACACCTATTTATTTGAAATAGGATCATACTTTTTGTGCTATATTTGCAATCTGATTTTTCACATAATAGCAGGTAATCACTGGAGGTATGCCCTGCCAGAAATTAAATGTGTAGGATTTCCTTCCTCAATTCAGAGCCAGAAAATCACCCTGGAGTTGTTGAAAGTCATCTTCCCCGTCCTCCAAAGAGTAGATGTTCCACATCTACTTGACTCACTTGGGACCCTCATTCCAGAGGAAGGGCTGTGGCACAGTGTCTGGGGAAAGAGGGTTATATAGTCAGACCCTTGGTGCTTTCAGAGTAAAGAAGGAAACCTGCTTGTTCTCTAGAGGAGGGTCCCTGGGAGGTAGGGGTTGGTGGCCCTAGTATAGAGAGGAGGTAAGAAATGGATCCAAGGCTGACCCTGCATCCCTGGAGCTGCCTAAATCCCTCAAGGTGGTGGGGGACCAGGAAGAAGAAAAGTGATCTGCACTCCTGCATGTAAAACTCTAGAGACCCCTGGGCCAAGCTTGGCACTGAAGGAGTGATATTGCTGTCTCTCCCTCAAGAACAAGACGGCCTCTACAGTGATCTAGACTAGGAAGAGATAGTAGCAGCAGCTGACCAGCATTCAGCTCAACACAGTGTTGGATGGCCCACAGCAGTGGTCCTCAGATCCTTCCCAGAGTTTTCTCCATGTGGAGAGCTGGATAGACCCTCTGTTTCCTCTGGACTGCATTAAGTCCCCAGGAATCCTGGACAATTCATGATTGGTGGGGACCTTAAGAGGGAGAGAGTAACTCTTCTACCAATTACAAAGGTGAAGCATTGAACAACTAGTTAGAAAAGTGTAAGAGACATCATTACTTGCAGTGGGTTGAATGGTAGCTCCCAAAAGATATGTTCATCTAGAAGCTATGAATATTTCCTTATTTGAAAAAAGGGTCTTTTGCAGATGCAATCAAGTGAAGATCTCGAGATGATGTCATCCTAGATTTATGATGGGCCTGAAATCCAATGACAGGTAACCTTAAGCAAAACAGAAGGATATTTAAGACAAGGCAGGGGGAATGGGTGGGGGTCACCAGAGGGGTATGGCTTGGAACACCCCAGTCCCTAAACTGGAGAGCAGAGTGAGAAGGGTGTATTTGGAGCTGAGATTCAGCAGGTGTGGTATCTGGCACAAGAGCCAATGGTTCTGTCTATATCCACTCCTGGTTTTACAGTGTTCTAAGGACACTGAAAGTATCTTTTGGGCTTCCAATAGATCCATTTTTGTCAAGGCAGCCAGGGTTGATTTTTATTGCTTGCAACCAAAAAACCTACCAGGTACAGATGTTAGCTTATGGGGTCCTGACACAACTCCATGAAGAAAGTAGATAGTGTGATTCCCCTTTTACAGATGAGTAAACTGAGGCTTGAAGAGGCTAAGTCTCCTACTCGAGCCTTGATATGGTTTGGCTCTGTGTCTCCACCCAAATTTCAAGTTGAATTGTAATCCCCACAAGTTGGAGGAGGGGCCTTGTGGGAGGTGATTGAATCATCGTGGTGAACTTCTTCCTTGCTGTTCGAACTATAGTGAGTTATCACAAGATCTGGTTGTTTGAAAGTATGTAACACTTCCCTCTAATTCTCTCTTCCTCCTACTCCCACCATGTAAGACGTGCTGGCTTCCCCTTTGTCTTCCTTCATCATTGTAAGTTTCTGAGGCCTCCTCAGCCATGCTTCCTGTACAGCCTGCAGAACTATGAGTCAATTAAACCTCTTTTCTTTATAAATTACCCAGTATCAGGTAGTTCTTTATAGCAGTATAAGAACGAACTAATACAAGTGTGGTCAGTGATGGGGTTAGGGCTAGATCCAGTTCTTCATCTAAGATCTTTCCTCTCTATTTGCTTCTTACCTGGCCTAAGAGGACCGGAAAACAGAAGAAGCTCCTGAACTTCTTCAGGATTGATGATGAGCTCCACTTTTTGCAAAAAGTCTGTGTATATTCCTTGCAGTCAACTGTTGCAATGAGTCTGTTTAAGCCAAGTGTTGGTCTGCCCACCTTGATGGAAGAGAATTGAGTGTAACAACTTTAAGTTGTTGAAGCAACAACAATTTAAGGCAGTTGAATTTGAGATAAGAGGCCTTTAAATTTATTCCCAGAATGACTTTGAGATAAGTCTGAGAGACAGGGAATGTTGCTTTCCTTCCAAACCCTCTCCTGCCTCATTTCTCCAGTAATCTCTCAAGTGTCATGAAAAAAAAAAAAAAAGTGGGAAAGTTTGTTCCCTATGAGGGCTCTTTCCTATGGATTCAGGGTGAAGCAAGGGTTTTCAGTCCCTGAAATGAATCTTTTTAGGCATTCTTGAAAGTTGGCCATAAAGACACATTGTAGGGTAAGGTGTCTGCGCATACTCTGAAATGGAATAAAATCTCTTCATGGTTTAGAAAATAAAAAATGACTGAGACACCTTCTATTGATTTTCCTCCCCTCATCTCACGCCACTAGGTGAATAAATTATTCTTAGAGGTTTTGTACAAATTACTCAATAAAGTCACAAGCAATGCGCCTGGTAAATGTGGTCTGCTTTGATTCCAAATTTGTAAGGCAGGAATTGCTTTTAGAAAAGACTTTATGGGTCATGGAATCCAACTGTCACTGCACAGGTATGAACAATGGGAACAGAGATTGGGAGACTTACCTGGGAGTCGCAGAGCAATTTGGTGACAGAGCTATTAGCACTCAGAACATTGGGCTGCACCATAGTGTCTCCACATTTGCAGGTATGTGAGGTAAGAAGGAGTCTTGGGTGGGTCTCTGTGATGGTTGGTTTTATGTGTCAGCTTGACTGTGGATCCCCAGACACCTGGTCAAACAGTATTCTGAGTATGTCTGTGAGGGTGTTTATGGATAAGATTAATATCAGAATCAGTAGACTTGGCAAAGCAAACTGACTTCCCTATATGTGTAGGCCTCATCCAGGTAATTGAAGACCTAGATAAAACAAAGGCTGAGTAAGAGGGAAATCCTTCTACTTCACTGCTTAGAGCTGGGACATTGGTCCTTTCCCACCTTAAGACTCGAACTGAGACACCAGTGCTTCTCTTTTACTTTGTTTGAAACAGGGTCTCAAGACAGAGTCTTGCTCTGTCTCTTCAGCTGGAGTGTAGTGATACAATCATGGCTCATTGCAACCTCTGCCTCTCTGGCTTAAGCAATCCTCCTACCTCAGCCTCCCAAGTAGCTGGGACTACAGGTGCGCACCACCACACTTGGTGTTGCTAATTTTTAAATTTTGGTATATATAAGGTCTCACTGATATTGCCCAGACTGGTCTTGAACGTCTAGGCTCATGTGATCCCCCTGCTTCAGCCTCCCAAAGTGCCGGGGTTAGAGGTGTGAGCCACTGTGTCTAGCCATTTAAAAAAAAATACTTATTTTTCCTTTTTATTTTTTAAGAGATGGGGTCTCACTGTGTTGCCCAGGTCAATCTCAAACTCTTGGCCTCAAGAGATCCTCCTGCCTCAGCCTCCCAAAGTGCTAGGATTATAGACATGAGCCACTGCATGCAACCTCAGCTCTTCTTACGTCTTGATCCTGCTCACTTTCATATTAGAACTAGACATTGGCTCTCTGAGTCTCTAGCTTGCTGGCTGCTGATCTTGGGACTTCTCGGGCTCCATAATTACATGAGCCAATTTTTAATAATAAATTTCTTTGTGTGTGTGTGTGTGTGTGTGTGTGTGTGTGTGTATCTCCTGTGGGTTCTATTTCCCTGGTGAACTCTGACTAATACTGTTCCCCAAAAATGGGAGGAAAAAATGATGATTTACCCAAAATCTTGACTTCTGAAGAAGGTGAAAAAGATATTCAAGAAATATTCAGCATTCTTACCTGAAACATGAATCCTGAAGGGATCCTGAAGGGATCCATGTTTCTTCATGGATTTCTTGTTTCGCTTGTTTTGTTTAATATAGAGCAACTTTAGCCAATAAAATTGCTATGCCATTTCTTCAACTACATCTATAGATATGGTTTATAGCAGAGGTTGCAAATGATAGCTTTGGGTTGGTGTTGCCCTAAAGATGTGTTCTGTTTGGCCCACATTATAGGCTTTCTTTCCCTCCCTACACACACTGTATTTTTGCAGTTGCTTTTAACATGCTGGGTCTAAAGCATTGTTAAATTTACATTTAAAAAGCCAAGAGATTGTGCATAAAAATCCTATGTTTTTGCTTTAAAAACAAAGATCTGGTAACACTTGGCTCCTAAATGGACACAATCAGTGAAGGCTAAGTAGCAGCTGTCTTTTCCATTCCTATATCTGTTGTTAGCTCACTTTAGTCCCCACCCTTCCCAAATGTCTCCCTGATGCTGGAGCTGAGGGTCAGTGCCATTTGTTATCAGGGTTTTGCTGCCCAGATCAATTATCGAATAATTCAGAATATCTTTGGAATGAAGACATTGCTTCAATCTATTATCATTTCTTAGCTACTAACTATAATCCTGGAACAACGTTAGGAGGTGGCAATGCAAAGACAAATTTGATGTGGCTTTTACCCACAATGAAATGCAGTCACAGAGAAGTGGTTTCTGTATTCCTGTCTCAATCCATATTTTTGTAACCTCATCAGTTACACAGGTTGCTGGTTTGGCTGGAGAAGGTGTGTATTGGAGAGAAGTGAGGGTTGGGTAGAGAGGTAGGGCAGTGTGAGGGCCATATCTGTGGATGTGAGGATGTTGTAGAATAGTTTCTGAGTGGAAGTATTGCATGATAACAACAACAAAATAACTGTGGCAGAGACCAGTTGTCCACAAGCCACTCCTCTTCTTCCTGAGCACTCAGCTGGACTATGTTTCCCAGCATTCTCTGCAGTCAGGCAAGACCATGTGACTGAGTTCCCATTAAAGGAACAGTGGGTGGGAGTGATATGCTCTTCCAGACCTGGCTCCTCCAACTCTCCCATGTGAGAGCTTCCATCTTCTTTCTCCTCTCAACAGTTGAATAAATAGATCCTGAGGCTGTAGGTGTATCATGGAAAGAGCCTCGATCCCTGAATCATTGTGTGGAGGGGACACCTGCTGTGGACTGTGATGTGAGCAAGAAACAAACTTTACTTTGTTCAGCCACTGAGATTCTAGGATTTATTTATTACAGTAGATATCATTTTCTTAACTAAAAGCAGTAACAACAAGAAGAATGTATTAAGTGCTTACTCTTTGTTAGGAACTGTTGTAAGTACTTTTCATATATTATCAAATTAAATCATCACAATTCTATGATGTAGGTATTATTATTATTATTGCTACTTAATAGGGAACTGAGGTACAGAGAGGTGAAGTCATTTGCCCAAGGTCACACAACTACTAATTAGAATCTATGCTTTATGGCACGATTATTCTGGAGCAGAAGAGAAGCATGGAGGGAGAACAATTAAAGGAGGCAGAGAACCATCTGAGCACAAAGTAAAATGACTTACAATTCCATGTGGTTCTCCTGAGACTAATTCTGAGCCAGCAGTGATTCAGAAACTCAGGACATGGGGAGAACATTACATGCCCCCATGTTTCTCACACCCATGCTGGGCAGGACAGGACCTTGCTGTGTGGGAGGATAGCTGGGAGCTGAAATTGCATCCTTAGCCTTGAGGACTCTTTAGCATCACCAGAGAGCCCTTGTTTCTCTCTGGCTTCTAAGGCAGTGAGTACATAATTTTGATAGAAGGGCCTTTGAGGAGGAAGTGTCCCCAGGGCCCAGAGATGTTATTTAGGTGGGAACTTCAATCCAGAGCCTGAAAAACCACTCCACTGGTGCCTGCCCAGACCAAAGAAGAGGGGCTCTGGGGCTCAGGCAGCAGCCCTGGCCCTTGGTGGGGTTCATTCCCTGAGTTCCGGGAATCCTGCAGGAATCTCTATGAAGAGTGGTGACTCAGTGATAACTCCCATCAGAAGAGACTTCGCCTGCAGAGGCGTTTCTCCTCCTCATTCCCAGGTCACACTGACCCAGACTTTGAGCTCAGTCATCAGAGAAAGCAGGAAGGAGCGGTGGAGGCAGCTGTGTTCCCTCTCAGCTTCCTCTCAGCAGCCAGATCCAGAGCTCTCCTGGGGGGCGAGGGTTGGGGGTTGCTGCACTGGATCGTGGTGGGGGGGCAAACCCCCCACCTTGCCTGCTGCCCTCCGTTCCTGAGTGCCTCACACAGTCAGCCAATGCTCATCGAGCATGGACTTTGTGCCAAGCACTGTGCCCAGTGCTGGGGAGAGCACTCTCAGCCCACAGGTGAACAAGAATCTTCCTCTCCCTCCAGAGCTCCCATTCTTCCGCAGGGAGATGGCTGGAAAGCAAGAAAATGGATGGAGGAGATCTTTTCAGAGCTGAGGAACATGGTGGCCCTGTGGTGGGGAGGGGGGCACTGTAGCCGGGAGGTGGTGTCAGGGAAGCCCTCTGAGGAGCTGACACGTGTAGAGAACGAGATGCAGACCAGCCCATGAGCACTGGGGGAAGTACCCTTGGAGGGGACAGCGAGGACAGAGGCCCTGTGCTGGGAGAAGCTTCTGCGAATGGCATAGAGTCCAAGCTACAAAAGGGTGGTCCGGGGGCTGGAGTGGGGTGAACTGAGAAAGAGAGCAGAGGTTGGTGGGGGAAGAGGGACTTGGTCATGTGGGCTGTGTGGCCACAGGGAGAAAGGAGCACCGGCCTCCACTTTCTCTCCTTTGGGGACTCTGGGGAATGAGATGCCTAATAGGTGGCCCAGTGCCTGTTCTCTGGAGAAACTTGCTCCACTGCAAGTTTCAGGGAGTTACGTGAGGTCTATGTGGGAGCATTCCCTGGGGTTGGGAGAGACAGTATAATGAGATAGTGACGGTTGGGGAATCTGAGAATCTTAAAGTCAGATGACCAATCCTCAAATCTCCAACATTCAAAATTCTAACAGTGTGTTACAAAATGTAACAGTATCTTACATAACTTGGGTTCTACTTTTTGTCATCAGTGTAAAACGAATAATAGTATACCTACCCTTTGGGGCTGTTGTGAGGGTTCAATGCAATGGTGAATTCTAAAAGTGAGCACGGTGTCATGCTCCATAAATAGTAGCTATGGGTGTTATGGTTAATGCGATATGTCAACTATTAGGACGGTTTGTTGAGGAAGTTAAGTTCTTAATCTCCTCAGTCCTTTTGGAATAATGGTTCTATTAGGCCATTCTTGCATTGCTATAAAGGAATACCTGAGACTGGGTAATTTATAAGGAAAATAGGTTTAATTGGCTCACGATTCTGCAGGCTATATAAGCATGGCACCAATATCTGCTCAGCTTCTAGGGAGGCCTCAGGGAGCTTTTACTCATGGCATGGACTTTTACTCATGGCAAGGAGGCAAAGTGGCAGCAGGCATGTCACATGGCCAGAGCAGGAGTGAGTGAGAGAGAGAGAGAGAGAGAGAAAGAGAGAGAGAGAGAGAGAGAGTAAGGGAGGGGCTGCACACTTTAAACAAGCAGACCACTCTGGGGGGCTGTGAAATTCCAAGGGGTCACTGGGCTGAACAGATGGCTGGCAGATATTGGTTTTAACTCACACCTGGCTGAGTAAATAATGTTTACTCAAGAGGACATTCCTGAGGACAGGAATGTCGTGAGGACAGCACCAAGCCATGAGAGATTCGGCCCCATGAGCCCAAACTCCTCCCACCAGGCCCCAGCTCCAACATTCCATGAGATTTGGAGGGGACATCCAAACTCTATCAATGGAGACAGTGGTGAAAACATTGTACTATGGCCCAGACTCTGTGCTTGCTGATCTCATTAAATCCTCAGGATCCCAGGAAGAAAGAACTCTTTTAATCCCATTTTTCAGATGAAAACAGCAATGCCCAGAGAAGTCAGTTGACTTTCTAACCATCCCATGGCTGCTGCATGGCAAAGCCCAAGCTGGACACACAAGTGTGTCTAACTGGAACCCAAGACCATGGCCACCTTGCTAAATGTACTCTGTAAGGATTTTCCCCTCCCTCTTTGAGTTCCTCAGCTTTACCCCACATGGCACATCCCTCCCCACCTCCACACGTGAGATGCTACTCAGACATGTGTATTTCCTGCTTCTCTCCTTAAAGACATGTAGTAGATCCACCATTTCTAAAGCACCCTGCAGTTTTTCAAGGCCATGCACATCTATCGTCTTTCTTAACCATCACTGTAACCCCCATCCCATCCCCAGGCGTGTCAGCCAAGGCTCTGAGAGGCTGAAGCACAGCTTTTCCAGTGGCAAGGCTGGGACCAGTCCCCAGTGTCCTGATTTCAGTTCATCTCTTCTGATGGACAGCATGCTGTTTCCTGGCACCTGGGGCTAGAGCAGACACTCTCAAAGTCATTGCTGAGTTTGATTGAACTGAATTGGGAGGGAGATGGGTTCCAAAACCAAAAGCAGGGGAATGCAGCATCCTGGACGCTCAGTCCCAGAATTGTCCTTATCTGCAGGCTTCAGCTCACCAGCTGATGGCCTTGATGTCATGACCAGGCCTGGGTTGAGCCAGGCCTCCGGGAAAACCCAGCCAGGAGCCACAGTGTGGGAATCCACTGCACAGACACAAGCCATGACGGCATCTCTTGCCTGCCGGCCAAGCTTTCCTCCCTCCCCCTGCCGACGGACGCCTCCACCCCAACCCTCACCTCAAGCACCAGCAGGAGCTCTCACTCTCCTCCTGCCCCCACTCTGCTGCCATCTGCCAGGCTGTGCACTGGCCTAGCTGTGCCCGGGACTGGGCACCAAGCCATGGCAGCACACGGGCCTGCAGGCTGGGCGGCCGGGTGAGCATGTGTGAGCCCTGCATGTGCTGTGAGGCTGCAGCGCAGCCGGGCTCCTTGTGCCGGGGGAGGTGGCCATGTGGCATGATTGGCAGGAAGGGTGGGGGTGGAGGCCTGGGAGGGAATGCAGGCAGGGGGCACACTTCTGCAGCTGCCCAAGTCGGACCCCCAACCTGCAATGGGACTAGAGGAGTGGGTCGAGGAGAAGTGGAGCAGCTGAGCTGAGCTAACAGTGCAGCATCCGGCGTCGCTGCTGAGTCAGCTCTGGACAGACGTGGAGGGGCTTAGAGTCCTCTGCCTCTTTGCAAAAACCTGTTTTAGCAACAAAAGAGTGGCTCCCATTCATTGAGCACTTACTGCACGCTGGGCATTATGCCAAGCAATATCCTTAATGGTACCAAATCCTCACCACAATCCCATGAGGGAGAGGCTACTACCATCCCCATTCCATGACAGAGGAAATGAAGATTAGGGTTGCTAAAAGTTATCCTGCCAGTAAGTGTGAAAGCTGGAACTCAACTCCAAGGCTACTCAGCTCCAAATGCCACGTTTGCCTCCTGATGGTGCTGTCCCCAGCATCTGAGTCCTCCACACTCAGGAGGCTCTTGCCGGCTCCCTGTGACCTGTGTTTTCTTAAGTGGCATTTATGGAACACTTAAAGTTTACTCGAATGTGTTGGATATTAGTGGGGAGCACATAATAGAGATGGCCGTCCAGCCACGTATTATCTCACTGAGAGAGTAAAAAATGAGCTGGCAACCAAGCAAAACCAGCTGGCAACTAAGCAAAACAGCTAGACCAGAGCCTTAAACCCTACTAACAATGAGACCCACCAGGAAAGCTTAAAAAATACCAATGCCCAGGACCTACCCTGGCTCCCTGAGTCCAAGTCTGTAGGAGAGGGTGCTAGGATCTGGACTATTAGAAGTTTCCAGGGCAGTTCCAGTGACATATCAGTGCTGAGATCCTCTGGGATGGAGAGTTCATGGTACCAAAGCTCAGACGAAGAAATCATTCCTGGAGGTTGATGTGGTCAAGGGAGGCTTCCTGGAGGAAGAGAAACTCAAGTGTGTGTGTGTGTGTGTGTGTGTGTGTGTGTGTGAGCACGTGCGTGTGTGTGTGTGTTGAGGGGTGGAATGGGGAGAAGAGGGTATTTCACATGGCAGGTGGAGCAGGGACAATAGGCGTGAAGCCTTGGGCAGGCAGGAGCAGCACGTGTTTGTGGATGGAAGGAAGCCCATTCAGTCAGAGCACAAGGACAAGAAGTGAAGTCCTCGGGGAAGAGGACAGAAAACAAGAGGCCAGTTATCACTGAAGGCTCAGATGCCAGCCTGAAGAATTCCATTTATTCAAGTCAACAAACATTTGTTGAACACCTACTGTGTGTTGGGCACTGTTTCAGCCCCTGGGGATTCATCAGTGATTAGACAGATTGGAAGTGGCATGTTAGCTGTGGAAAAATAAGTGAGCATATAGTGAGTGAGAAGATGATGCTATACACGGTGCTGGGTGTGTGCTCCTTAGAGAATGAGTAGGGGCTTGGATGATGTGAGGGGAGGACGCTGTCTGGAGGAAAAACACTGCAGGCAGAGGCAACAGCAGGAGCACAGGCTCTACCCCGGGCCAAGACATGCTGGGAGTGCCCAGGGAACATCTCTAAGTTCAGTGTGGCCGGAGCAGAGTGGGCAATGGAGAGGGTGGCGGGCTGCACTGTCGGGCCTGGCAGAGCAGGGCAAGGCGTTTAGATGGAATGTGAAGACCTTGTGCCTTTCCCACTTTGGGATCAGGCCCTATTTGTAGACTGACTTGAGGTTGTGTGACTAGAGATGTGAGGCTTGTGTGGGGCCGGGGAGCCTGGGTGGGGAAGAAGCTCCCGGTGCACTCTTCCCCTGAGATTCCTAAGGATTTCTCTCTCCTGCCCTCTGACAGCACTCTCTGCAACCCCACCTTTGCTCAAGCTCCCACACCTGCCTTTGTCCCAGTGATTAGCTTCACAAGCCACCTTGCCACCTGGCCCTCTGCAGAGGAGCCCACCCTGCCCACACAGCGAGTCAGCCAAGCTACCGCCCCAGCTGTGTGATGGGCTGTCCTCAGGATACCCAGCTCGGCGCTGAGTTCCCTTCCCCACCCCCTCAGCAGCCCTTCGCTTGATGCCTGGAGTTCCTGAGAAGACAGAAGAACTGGCTTTAATGGTGGCTTTGTTCCGTAGGCAGGCAAATTTGAGTGATTTGTCTCCTTCACACTTATAATTTACTGTACAATTGGCCCAATGCAGCAGCATTAAGAAATTTAATGTTTTTAAGTAAAAGTTAATTGATTGAAATTAGGCAGACAGCAACAGCTGCGGAATGGCAAAAAAAAAAAAAAAAAGCTCTCATTTAACTGATGAAGCTCAAGTTAAACAGGGTCTAGCCATGCAACCACTCAGCTTGGAATGATGTGAGCTGTGTGTGAGTGCACACACATCCCTGTGCCTGCAGTGTGTGTGTGTGTGTGTGCATATGCTGTGAGCATGTAAGGTGTGCATGTGGTGTGTGGTGTGTGGTGTGCGTGTGTGTGGTAACTGTGTATGATGTATGTGCGCACATGTGTGCATGTATGTGGTATGTGTATGTGGTGTATAATGTGTATGTGTGGCATGCATGTGTGTGCATGTGTGTGTGGTTTGGTGTGGGTATGTGTGAAGTGTGCATGTGGTGCATGTGTGTGGTGTATAGGTGTAGTGTGTGTGGTGCAGGTGTGTGTGGGGGGGGTGTATGTGGTATGTGTGCATGTGTAGTGCATGTATGGTGCATGTATGTGTGGTGTGTGTGTGTGGTTTGTGTACGTATGGTATGTGTGATGTGCAGCTATGTGTGCATGGGTGTATATGGTGTGTGTGCCCGTGTGTGGTGTGCACTTGGTGCATGTGTGTGATGTGTGGTGTGTGTATGTGTGGTGTGTGTGATGCACAGGTATGTGTGCATGGGTGTATATGGTGTGTGTGTCCATGTGTGTAGTGTGCACTTGGTGCATGTGTGTGCTGTGTGCATGTGCATGCCTGTGTGTAGTGTGCATGTGTTGTATGTGTGTCTGTGCATGTGTGTGTGATGTGTGTGTGTGGTGGGAGAAGTGGGAATCAGATTACTCTCATAATCTAGAGGTTCATCTGGCACAACTGCCCAAGCATGGTCTCACTAGTTCCCTTCCTTAACCCAGGGATATGCAGAAAACCTTTTTGACAAACGTTTTTATTACAAAAATTCTTTCTCAGGCATCCTGCCAAAGCAGCAAGGTCAGGGAGGGGGACACGCAGGGAAGAGGGCCAGGACCGGTGTCATCACCAAGAGCATCAATGCCAAGCTCCCCTCCTTGGGAACTGACATTTTGACCAAATCTATTTTGACTTTATTTTGGCGAAGCCACCTAAGAGACAAGGCAGAGCTTAATGTAATCAGTACATGGGGCTCTGGGTGCAGAGAGCCAGCGTGTCCACCGTGCTGAGGGGGAACAACTCATTAAAGACATGCAAGAAGGCACTCACGATCTGTGCCTCGGGGTGCTGGAGACCCCGCCTGGTCCCAGGCTCTGCAAAAGAAATAGACTCATTAGGGCTGGTAGATAATAATGCCCAACACTGATTCAGCGTTTCTGCATGCTTCAATACATTCCCTCCCTTTGTCCCTACATATTGAAAAAAATCACAAAAGGTATTTACATAGTGAATCCCTTTTCAAATATTTTCCTTCAATCAAACCAAGGCCAGTTCCACAGATATTGAATTAATCACATGTAGGTCCTTATAAACTCAAGCTCTCATGATCCATTTTTCAGGATCTTCCTTCTCTTTTCTAGTCAATTCCTCCCCTTCCTTCACAAGTCCTACGTTCCAGCCACACTGACCTTCTTTCTGCCATTAAAGCTCTGAGCCCACCTTTGACTGAGTCCTACTTCTGTTTCGACTTTGCAGTATTTAGTGTTAGCTGACATTCTGATTTCAGCCCAAATTTTACCTCCTCATAGAGTCACAGCCACCTTAACCAAATTGGTACCTTCACCCTCATGATTGTGTCACAACACACTGCGTCATTGTCCTGTGTCATGGCCATGATCCAAAATTGTCACATTTCTATTGATTCCGTACCTATTGTTACTCTTGAACAAGGATCTGCAAACCATGACCCATGGGTCAAATCGAACAAATCCAGTCCACTGCCTATTTTTGTATGGCCCAAGAGGTAAGAATGCTTTTTATGTTTAAATGTTAAAAAAAGAAAAAGTCATATTTCATGACGTGGAAATGATAGGCTATTCAGATTTCAGTGTTCAAAAACTCAGTTTTCCTGGAGCACAGCCATGCTCATGTGTTTCTGGATTGTCTATGGCTGCTTTCATACATCCACAGTAGCAGAGTTGAGTGTTGTGACAGAGACCATATGGGCCGCAAACCTCAAATATTTACTACCTGACCCTTTCTAGAAAAATTTGCAGGCCCTTGGTCTAAATGAGAGTTGTAAGCAGCAGAGATTTATCTGCCTTGCTCTTCATTTTTACTATTTGCTGAATGAATTTGCATTTTCCTTGGTCAACTCTTTTTTTTTTTTTTTTTTTTTGGCAGGGTTTTGCTCTGTCACACAGGCTAGAGTACAGTGGCATGATCACAGCTCACTGCAGCCTTGACTCTCCTGACTCACATCATCCTCCTGCCTCAACCTCCCAAGTAGATGGGACTCCATGTGCCACCAAGCCCAGCTAATTTTTTGTATTTTTTGTAGAGCCGGGGTTTCGCCATGTCATTCAGGCTGGTCTCGAACACCTGGACTCAGGCAATCTGCCCACCTTGGCTTCCCAAGAATTGGGACGACAGGCATGAGCCACCACGCCCAGCCTCCTAGTCGACCCTTAACTTGGCCTTGAGGACCCAACTGAGATCCTGCTCTGACAGCCCTCACTGACCTCATCCCCAAGGCTGGGCTGAGTCTTTCTCCCTGTGAGCCCAGGGATCCTGGGCTGCTACTCTCACAGACTTGGTAGTAACAGCAGCTGCCATTTGTTGAGTCTTTGCCCTGGGTGGGTCATGGCTCCATGTTACTTACTTTGCTTGCATTTTCTCTGTCATCACCACATCCCAGCGAGATAGTGACTATTAAGATGCCCATTTTACAGATTAGGGAGCTGAGGCACAAAGGTTACCACCCCAAGGTCACACAGCTTTTAGGTGACAGACAGGAGTGTAAACTCAAGCAGTCTGACCCCAGAGCCACACTGATAACCACCACAGGGAAAATTTGGTAGTTTTATTCTCTTATTTGTCTCCCCACTCAGAGGAGCTCCTTGGGGGTAGTGCTCATGCCTTATTCACTTCTGCATCCCAAGCTTGATGGAGTAGGAGCTCAAAAATAATTCAGTGAATCCATTTCTGCTGTGCCAGCAAATTTGGGCTTGTCCACCATGTACATCTGCATTCTTATCACCCATTCATACAGACAGGATTCATCCAAACATTTCTTCCCTATGAGGATACTCAGGACAATGCCAACACCCTCATTGGATGCATGGGGAAATTGAGGCTCGGCAGAGTTAAGAGACTTGCCATAGGCCAGTGAGTGGCCACTTCAGGATAAAAGCGCAGTCCCACCTTGACGTTTCACCAGACCCAGCTCTTTGATCTGTGGACAGAGAAACAATCTTATTGACAGGCAGACCAAAGGGTGTGTAGTCATGCCACGTTCTTTGTTATCAAGGATTGAAACATGACCAGCTCCCCCCACCCCAGGCAATTTACCCAAGACACCCTTGATGGTGATTTTGCCTGACAGGTACTGCCCAGGCACACACTCCAATAAAGGGCTGGCCTCCTCCCCATTATGCCCTCTCCCTGCCTCTTTCCGCACACAGGCTCCTGCCTCCAAGGGCACTGGCTTCCTGACCAGCCAGCCATGCTCTAAAGCGCAAACAGGGTAGGAAATGAAAACCCCAGGAAGAGCAGATGATGCGGGCGGGGGGTGGAGGTACCTCCACTCAGTGCGATCTGTCGGCTCCCCAGGCTGGCAAGAAAAACTTAAACATTATTTACTCAGCCATGTGCGAGTTAAAACCAATATCTGCCGGCCATCTGTTCAGCCCAGTGACCCCTTGGAATTTCACGCCCCTTCCCGGTGACGTCAGCATCATTCCTTCTCATCTTTCTCTCTGCTCCCTGGCTCTGCTCCCTTCCCCAGGGCTGAGATGGGAAGGGGAGGGAAAGGTCGGTGGTGACCAGGGCAGCACCACAGAGCTCCTTCCAAACGCACAGCCATGGAGGTTATTGTTAAACTTCCCGCACTTGGCATTCAGGGTCACTTGTGCCTTATGAGGTTTCTATCATATTCATTGGGGTTCAGTGGGAGCCCTAGATCCTACCATTCACTTCCAGTGGCCCTGACTCTGAATGGTGTGACCTTGAGCAAGTTGCTTCCTAGCAGTGCTGGGTCTTGGCTCCTGATGGAGGAAACGGACCAGCCCTTCTTTAACATCCCCTTGAGTTGTAATGTCTCCCTAACCCCTCCTTCTTGGGTTTTATACCCCATTTCTGACTCAGAACCCTCATACCAGACATTGCCACGTTCTCCTCCTCCAGGGAGGCTCCATTCCCTGCTGCGCCCATTTATCTATATCTGCCAAGGAAGGCTCCCCACCACGATGCCTTCCTGTTACCTGGCAACCATCATCACCACACAGGGCTGCTAGCCTGCCGCCCCGCCTTCCACGTGTGCACACACTTATATACACAGGGCCGGGCCAAGGAGACTGTGAGGCACAAAAGCGAGCTGTGGCGCCTGAGCAGGAACCAGCAGGGAACGTGCAGGGAAAAGGTCCTGGCACAAAAAGCGCTGGGTAGAGAAGGAGAGTGGCGCTCCAGCTGCAGTGCTGAGGTCCACTGCTGTGCGCCCTTGCATAAACTGTTTCTGACTCTCAGCTGCAGTTTCCCATTTGTGCAGCCAGGGTGATGAATTCAGTTATTCCTTACCGGCTCTCCAGGACAATTATTTTGCATAAGAAAATACCTGGGTAATCTTGGACGATATCTGGAGTTGGGCATAGTTCTTATAGCCATGGCCCTGCTGCATTTCTCTACTTGCAGACAGGAGTTAAGGTAGTGACTGAGGTCAATCAGGTGGTGGCTGTGACTCCCAACTAATGGTGTGCTAGAGACCCTTCCCAACTGGGTGTTCAGTGAAGTTGTGTCAGGAGCTTGGACACTACATTGGCCATAGTGGGTGTATTTACTTCATGAAAATTGGCAAGTGCTACATATCAAGGATTTTTATTTTGAGAGCCGGTTGTTACACATTTATCAGCGCACTTACTGTCTTCAGCCCCTTTAGACAGCCTGCAGGAAGACTTCTCACCAAGGGAACTTCCTTCCTTCCTGAGTTTCCCCCGATGACTTCCAGACCTATGTGCTTTAGGGAAGGTGTTCCATTGCCCACTGCCAGCTTTCCTGCCTGGCTTTCCCCCGGTGGGCTTCCATGAATGCAGATACAGAGTCGGGAGAGAGAAGGGAAACGGGCACTTGCTTTTAAGGACTACGTGTTCGTGGCAGGCCAGAACAAATTGCACAAAGGCTAGATTACTTATGTACTATTAGGAAGATCGTTAATATCAGGGTGTTAAAATATGTAAATAGCATAAATATGCCCCACATCCTAATTACTGTTTTGCATGATCAAGTCATTTACTCTTTATGACATTTTATGATTGTTCAGCTGTGTCAGCGAACACTTAGCACAACCTCCTACCACAGATGATGAAGCTATGGAGTTTTCCCAGTTTCCTGGCCAGGAACAGCGGGGTGGGGGTGGGGGCGGCATCAAGGCAAAACAAAGCCTCCCTG
The DNA here is from genome assembly GCF_000001405.40 of Homo sapiens. Taxonomy (NCBI): domain Eukaryota; kingdom Metazoa; phylum Chordata; class Mammalia; order Primates; family Hominidae; genus Homo; species Homo sapiens. The sequence goes on from NC_000016.10 coordinate 49,021,177, forward strand.
TCCCTATTCCAGGTGCCTCCACTGTGGAGGAAGACACCCATTGTTGGAGATTCTTTTTGTGTGAGCAACATATGTTCCTGCTTCCTGGCATTTTCCCCAATGTTCTGTAATACCGATTCTGGTGGAGGCAGATTTATATGCAGGCTAATGAGAGCTGACATTTCTTGTGCTGGTTGCTACATTTGCTGTGTTGATTTAACGCAGTGCAGGTTCAACCAACCGCAAAGCAAGTTTCCCTGAACCTTTCTGTAAAGCAACTTAACAGTCACGATTGGAGAAGCTGCCTGCTCCGTGAAGCACGGTGACTTTCGGGATATCCAACCAGGATCCCAGAACGGATTTCTGCCTGCTCTTTGGGCTTTCTGCTCAGCTTCAAAAGAAGCTTCTCGCTGGCATGGAAGTGTTTGAATTTGATGGCCACTTTGCTTTTTTTGAAGAGTTAGTTTAAACCAGAGGTCTCACCTGGGTGGCATAAAAACCAGTTACTGTTCATAGGCATATTTTGTTTGGCTCTCACGGTGTTAAAAATGATTTTATTTGCCAATTTTAAAAAATCGGGACATTTCACATAAAATTTAGATTTCTGGCTTCTCTGAAAAAATACAAAGGTCTGGAAATGATTGCCTGACATTAACACGAGGCAACCTCCAACTGGGGGCGTAGGCGTGCATATAGCAGAGTGGGCAGGATATAGCTTCGGACTTCATTCAGATGGCCTGGGTTCAAATCCAAGCCCCACAGCTTAATTGCTGTGTGACTTTGGGCCATTTACTTAGCTTCTCTGTGCTTCAGTCTCTTTATCTATAAAAAAGGAGATAGCCCCCATGGCACTTAGTTATAAGCACTAGAACAGTGTCTGGCACTTATTAAGAGCCGTTTAAGATTTATTCATTATGATGAACAGCTACTGCCTTTAGATGGGGCTTATGCATGTCCTGTGTGAAACCCTGGAAGTTTCCTGAGTTAAGACACAAGATGTGAAGCAGAGACTACCTTGTGGTGAGTCTCATGAAGCTTCCAGCTATCAGTAATATTGAGGGTGCGGGATTTGGGGTCCTTCTGCACAGCCGGAGAGGAAGCAGGAGGAAAAGGGAACATCCTAAGGTTCTCCTTGCATTTTTACCATCAACTGTTTACAGCAGTCAAGGTCCAATGTATTCCCCCAAATGACAGGTTCACAGAGCTCACATCTGCATACTGGAGATTATTAAAGATAGGGTATTGCTGGCAGGAAGAAGGGAACGGAGAGGTGAATGGAAACAATTTCCATTAAAATGGAGTTTGGAGACAAAAGGCACATGGAGAACTATTTTAAGCCTAAGGCAGGTGACGCTGGATTCAAAATTTAATGAGCCTTAAATGCCATTGGATGAATATAGCCGGAGACACATGGTTACATCAGAAAGGGCCCACACAGTTGCATGCTTTCCCACAATACTCCATTTTTTTAAAGGCTCCTTAGAACTAACAAGCTAAACCTCAGTCAAATGAGGAGTCATAGTCATTTGCAGGTAAGTGATCTTTCAGCTGCACAGAGAGAGGTACCCTACTTGGCTGCTGGGGAGCCGGCGGTGACTCAACCTGGGCGTGGGGACACAGACTTCCATGCTTGCGGGAAGGTCCCCTGGCAGATCGACCATCTGCAAGTGCCCTCCATGTTTCCTGGATTTCCAGGTCTTATGCCTCCTCTCCCCCAAGCCCTCACTGGGACGTACCCTTGGCTTCGCGGCGGGGTGGGTTTGTCTGCTGTCTGGACAGTTGTGTTTCCCTGCAGGGTGCTGCTCAGTGGCTGGGCTCAGGTAAAGAGCTTGCATTTGTCCAATGCATAAACGGGGGAAGCAAATTCATTTCACAGCTGAGGTTGCCAGCCTCTGACAAGACCAGGGAACTTGGAAAAAAATGAAGCCCCCTGCTGCCTGTGAAATGCCTGTAAAATCAGATGCAAGAGCCCCCACAATAGCATAAGTTCCTAAGGGCCTTTCTGGCCTCCCCTGCAAGCCTGGGCAGCTTTCCACATGGACTGTAGCCATGGGAAACAAACATCCGGGGTCGGATTTTCCTGGATCAGTTATGGAGAAGGAGTAACAGAGGTGTCAGGGCTGACTAGAACCCTCTCCTGCCCCCTTCACGCTTGCTGACTCACACCCCTGCACCACTCCACTCTGCCAATTTCCTGCAGATCAATGCTGCACACACTTGCTCATGAAAATACTCATCTCCAAAGCTTCCGCTGTTCTCACCCCACTGTGCTGATTTTTGCCACACCCCTCCTGTCAGTATTTACTTAGTGTAGGACATTTTAACACCTATGCTAGCCTCAGCATCAGCCATAAAGCCTGTAAAATCACAGGTTTGAGGTGCCAGCTTTATTGTTTTCTACTATACATTAAAATCAATCCTAACCACGTGACAAATGTTTCTCTGCGTACCACCTAACATGATCCTGTGAACCACCTTTGCTGGAGGTATAATACTTCTGGGACACCATGCTGGAGGAAATGGGATGAACTTGTTGCTGTGGAAAATCCCGGAGGGGATGCAGCACAAGGTTTGTGGCTGAAGAGGACTTGAATTCAGACCCAAAGAATGAGAAAAGCAATCTCTTGAGGTGTGGTTGGGAGATGCATTCCACCCCCACCTCACCAAAAGACTTGACTGGTCTTTCAAGTTAAAGATAGCAAGCATTTTAGGCTTAGAAATCCAGACATGAAAATGGAAGCATAAAGAGAGAGGGGTGGGCTGAGAGACGGGCACTGGCTTTCATTTGGGAAGGAGGAAGGGGCATGTTTTGCAAAGTAGCTCCTGGGAGCTGGCAGGAGGGAAGGTTCATGCTGCCTTTGGAGCTGTTCTTCCTGGACCGCAGGGCCACAGAACAAAAGGTCTTAAGGCCTGAATTTGTGCGCTTTGGCTGGCATAAAAAAGGACCACAGGTCGGGTGGCTTAAACAACAGGACTTCATCTTCTCATAGCTCTGGAGGCTGGGAGGCCAAGATCAAGCTGTCGGCAGGGCTGGCTTCTCCGAGGCCTCTCAGGTAGGCTTGTAGCTGGCCACCCTCTTACCATGTCCTCATATGGTCTTCCTTTTGTACAGTCTACGTCCCAGTTTCCTCTTCTTACATGGGCACTGGTCAAAGTGGATGAGGGCCCACCCGAATGACCTCATTTAACCTTAATTACTTCTTTAAAGACTCTGCATCAATCAGATCACATTCTGAGGTATCTGGGGTTAGGGCTTCAACATATAAATTTGGTGGGGTTGGGGAGTAGGGGCAGGGAGAAAAGTCAACTCATAACAAGGCCTTTAGAATCAAAAAAGAAACTGATGGGTTAGAACTCCAACTGCTGCCGCCAGTGATGGGAATTCTGGCTCAGCCTCAGGAGTTCAAGGAGAACAGGAACCTCCTGGCATCCAGGAGAAGCTTGTGTTTAGCCCTGTGGGATCCAGCGGGCTTCAGGGACTGGGGTCCTGGCTCCTCCTCCACAATAGGGGTTGGTGATACAGAGGAAAAATATCCAGAAGAATTAATGAGGGATCCCCTCTGGTATTTCCTATTATCTCACAACCCTCCCCACTGGGTCAGGAGACCATGGACCCTACAATCTTCAAGAGAGAGGTGTCACATTAGCATCGGAGGGCAAAGAAATCAGACTCATAACCCAAGGTTAAGGCTGAAGACGAAGACTTAGAAGCACACGTGACAGTTTCAGGCAGGTTTTGCTGCCCCAGAGGAAAATTCTCTAGTCTTGGACAGGAAGAGAAAAATTGGACAGGAATATAAAGAGTGACAAGGCCTGTGGTTTTCAGAAGGCCATGAGGCAGCCTCCCAGCACTTCTTGGGATTCCAGACTAAGGTTGGAGGGCGCCCATTCCTCCCCTGCCCGCTGCATGTGAGAAGAGCAGGCAAGTCACTGACAGCAGGAGCCGGGCTGGGAGAGGCCCAAAGGTCAGGAGTGAAGGGCGCTGCAGACACAACCCACGTGTTGTGACAGCCAAGAATCAGATGCATGATGCACTACTTTCAAGGACACCGGCATGGACACGTCACAACTGAGGACCAGACACTCCCACCCCCATCTCCCACTGCCTGTGAATCCTGCCCCCAGAACTTAGAAACGACCTTCGGGGAAGGGGAAATCTCAACTTGACTGAGTGTAAGTTTCCATTATCTGGTGGGATACAGACATAAATAATCATTGAAGTTTAATGTATCAGTTTTTTACCAATGCCGTAACCAATTCCACAAACTTAGTGTCTTGAAACAATACACATTCATTAACTTACAGCTCTGCAGGTTAGAAGTCTACATGACTGCTCCCCAGGGCTAACATCAAGGTGTCAGCAGGGATGTATTTCTTCTGGAGAGTCTAGGAGGGAATCTGTTTTCTTGCTATTTCCTGCTTCCTCCGGCCTCCCACATTCCTGGGCTCGTGGGCCCTTTCTCCAACTTCAAAGCTGGCAATGGCAGGTTGAGTCCTTCTCACATTGCATCACCTGAACATCCTACAAGGTCACATCTCTTTCTCTACCTCTGTTTTTCACTTTAAGAACCCTTGTCATAGGGCCCACCTGAATAATATTAAAGTAAGCTGATTAGAAACCTTAATTTCATTTGCAACCTTAAGTCCCCTTTGCTATGTGGTCCTGATCCTGGGAACGAGGACATGGACATCATTCAGGGACCATTATTCTGCTTGACACACTTAGTGAATGCACAAATAGACACATTCCTTGCCTCGCTGAAGTGGTGGCCTGAGATTTGTGGTTATGAACTGATGTGTCTGTTACAGGGACAAATTCTGGTTTTGAGGTTCAAGATGGGGGTCTGAGTTTTCATCCCTGTAGGATGCTGCTCTGAGAAGCATGGTCAGACCAACCACTGGGCCCAATCTTGGGAGTGAGACTGAACTCAGAAGTCACAGATTCTACAATCTTAGAACTGTAGAATCCATAACACCTCAGGCTGGAAGTGGTCAGGGAAGGCCACTGATCCAACCTGTCTCACCTGGGACAGGAATCCATCTATATTCTTATACTTCCATCTTCACCTCTACCATCAGCTCCAAGAGTTTATTGTTTCACTCCAAGACTGCCTCCCAAGTCAGCTGCCTGCCTCTGTTGTTCCCCTGCTGGTCATATGACCACACACTTGCCAGAGAGATCTTCTACAGGGGCAAATCAGATTATATCACTCCCTCACTCAGACCCCCCAAGGTTCCCCTTCCTGTTAGGTGGAAATCTAGACTCTGCACCGTGGCCCCAGTGGCCCACCTGGTGACTCACCTGTCTCCCTGACCTCATCTTCCACCACACTTCCCTTCTGTATGTTCTAGCAAACTTGGTTTTCCCTCTGTTCTTAGCCCATGTCAAGCTGGTTCTCATCTCCTGATTTGAGGGTTGTTGTTCCCCATACCTGAAAATGTTCTCTTCTAGGTATTTCCATGGTTCCCTTCCTTCTATGGGTCTCTGTTCCTTTGATGGGCCTTCCTCAGCCACCATCTACTCCCTTGTTAGTGTCGTTCATGGCCTGTACCACCAGCTTTCAACACATGACAGGTGTTTCCTCTTTGCTCTCTGTTTCCTTTTCTAGAGTATACATTTTCTGAATGCCAGGACTCTGACAACTTTATTTATCACTACATCCACTGTATCCATCACATTGCCTGGCACATAAAAGATGCTAAGTAAAGAATTGTTGAATGCATGAGAGAGTGACTCTCCCAGTGGGCCCCAGGGGCATTTAAGAAGCTCCTGTTGCCTGGGACTACTGCACTAAGCTATTAATCAATGAGACCTTTACTTCATTCAAAATTAGAGTAACCACTGAATGCATATCCATCATTAGAGAGCACTGTTCAAAATCAGTGGGCGGTGAGGACTTCCCAGAATAGGTAACTGGGAGATATCCGGCCTCCGTGAGTTTAGACAAGGCTCGCAGCATGAGCACTAATCACATGTCAGGATCATTGTCGGTACACAGAGGATAACAAAGACAGACAAGAGACAGCCCCTTCCCTCAAGGAAATTATAGACTGGTAGGAGAAGATAGACACATACACACATTTTTCTGTGTTTCTGACATAGGAAGAGTGGCATAAAAACATGAAATATGGATAAACCTCAGAAGAAGCAAACAAACTTTGGCACCTTTGCTGCCTCTGCAATGGTGACCTGTGTCTCCTGTCAGCTGGCTTCAATAGGAGGACTTTAATTATATTGCTTAATTACACCAGAGCACACCAGAATTTTTAATTTTTTTTTAACATTAATTCCCCTCTGGGTTCCTGATATTTGCCTTACGTTATTGCCAAGCACTGGAGAGGAGCGACAAACACAAGAAGGGTCTTAATATTTGGAATTCTCAGCCCTGCAGTGTGTTATTTGCCTTTCCATTTGGAGCTCGAGGATGCAAACCCTTCATCTGTTCATGGTGACCTCTGAGCAGAGCTCCAGGAACCAGGGATGCCTGGGACTTCATGGCAAAGCATCCAGAGGCTGCCCTAGACTTTGTGAAACACTGAAAGCTTTCTTGTTTGAACTTTTCAGCAACTACATGGAGGAGATCTCAGCTCCACTGTTTTACAAATGAGGAAACTGAGGCATAGATTGGTGAATTGGTTTGTTTGCCTATAAATAAATCTGGTCAGAGCGAAAGATGGGACTGAAATTTATATCTTTAAACTCCAAGCCACTAGTGTTTGCCACGAAACATGAGCTTTTTGCCAAGATATTTTCATCTGTGCCAAATCGTATGACAATATGCTGGGTAACTTATTCTTTACAAATATTTATTTTTTGCCTTTTGGCAGCTTCAGGTTAGCATATGTGTTTAATTAACATTTCTAATTAAAATCACAATGTGTAAAAATCAAATATTGTCCATGAGTTACATTCTGCCTTATCTCTAAATGGTGCCAATTTGCACATGGTAGGTAAACTATTTTAACTTTTCTAGTAAGATCTTCTGGTAAAATTTTATAAAATAAAATCAGTGGGAAGAAGTTAAAAACTCTTAGCCAGCTCTCCACCAAGGCTGAGATCATGAAGCAGGAGCTGCACTATGGGCATTGCTTACTGCAGCTGGAATGGGTAAGCAAGTTCACTAGGTGCAATAAGCTAAATCTCTGTGTCCCCCAAAGTTCATATGTTGAAACCCTAATTCCAGCATGACAGTATTTGGAGGTGAGGCCTTTGGGAGGTAATTAGGTCATGAAGGTGGCCCTCTCATGAATGGGATTAGTGCCTTTATAGAAACAAGCCAGAGAGCTCTCAGTTTCTTTCTGCCATGTGAGGATACAATGAAAAGCCAGCACAGTCTGCAACCTGGAGAAGGGTCCTCACCAGAATCTCACCATGCCGGCAACCTGATCTCACACTTCCAGCCTCCAGATCTATGAGAAACAGATTTCTGCTGTTTATAAGCCACCCAGTCTATGAGACTTTGTTGTAGCAACCTGAATGAACTAAGACCCCTGGGCAACATGCATCTTCTCCTTAAGAAATTCATTTAGGGTAGAGTTCCAAGATGGCCAAATAGGAACAGCTCCAGTCTACAGCTCCCAGCGTGAGCGACATAGAAGATGGGTGATTTCTGCATTTCCAACGGAGGTACCGGGTTCATCTCACTGGGGCTTGTCGGACAGTAGGGGCAGGACAGTGGGTGCAGTCCACCGTGCATGACCTGAAACAGGTCAAGGCATCACCTCACCTGGGAAGCGCAAGGCGTCAGGGAATTCCCTTTCCTAGCCAAGGGAAGCAGTGACGGACGGCACCTGGAAAATTGGGTCACTCCCACCCTAATACTGTGCTTTTCCAATGGTCTTAGCAAATGGCACACCAGGCATATCCCACTCCTGGCTTGGAGGGTCCCACACCCACGGAGCCTCACTCATTGCTAGCACAGCAGTCAGAGATCAAACTGCAAGGTGGCAGCGAGGCTGGGGGAGGGGGGCCCACCATTGCTGTGGCTTGAGTAGGTAAACAAAGCAGCCAGGAAACTCGAACTGGATGGAGCCCACTGCAGCTCAAAGATGCCTGCCTGCCTCTGTAGACTCCATCTCTGGGGGCAGGGCAAAGCCAAACAAAAGGCAGCAGAAACCTCTGCAGACTTAAATGCCCCTGTCTGACAGCTTTGAAGAGAGCAGGGGTTCTCCCAGCACAGAGTTTGAGATCTGAGAATGGACAGACTGCCTCCTCAAGAGGGTCTCTGACCCCCGAGTAGCCTTACTGGGAGGCACCCTCCAGTAGGGGCAGACTGACACCTCACACGGCTGAGTATCCCTCTGAGATGAAACTTCTAGAGGAACGATCAGGCAGCAACATTTGCTGTTCAGCAATATTCGCTGTTCAGCAATATTCGCTGTTCTGCAGCCTCCACTGCTGATACCCAGGCAAAGAGGGTCTGAAGTGGACCTCCAGCAAACTCCAACAGACCTGCAGCTGAGGGTCCTGACTCTTAGAAGGAAAACTAATGAACAGAAAGGACATCCACACCAAAATCCCATCTGTACGTCACCATCATCAAAGACCAAAGGTAGATAAAACCACAAAGATGGGGAAAAAGCAGAGCAGAAAAGCTGAAAATTCTAAAAATCAGAGTGCCTCTCCCCCTTCAAAGGAATGCAGCTCCTCGCCAGCAACAAAACAAAGCTGGGCAGAGAATGACTTTGACGAGTTGAGAGAAGAAGTCTTCAGACGATCAAACTTCTCCGAGCTAAAGGAGGAAGTTCGAACCCATCGCAAAGAAGCTAAAAACCTTGAAAAAACATTAGACGAATGGCTAACTAGAATAACCAGTGTAGAGAAATCCTTAAATGACCTGATGGAGCCGAAAACCATGGTACGAGAACTACTTGACGAATGCACAAGCTTCAGTAGCTGATTCGATCAACTGGAAGAAAGGGTATCAGTTATTGAAGATCAAATGAATGAAATGAAGCAAGAAGAGAAGTTTAGAGAAAAAAGAATAAAAAGAAATGAACAAAGCCTCCAAGAAATATGGGACTATGTGAAAAGACCAAGTCTACGTCTGAATGGTGTACCTGAAAAGTGGCGGGGAGTATGGAACCAAGCTGGAAAACACTCTTCAGGATATTATCCAGGAGAACTTCCCCAACCTAGCAAGGCAGGCCAACATTCAAATTCATGAAATACAGAGAACACCACAAAGATACTCCTTGAGAAGAGCAACCCCAAGACACACAATTGTCAGATTCACCAAGGTTGAAATGGAGGAAAAAATGTTAAGGGCAGCCAGAGAGAAAGGTCGGGTTACCCACAAAGGGAAGCCCATCAGACTAACAGCGGATGTCTCAGCAGAAACTCTACAAGCCAGAAGAGAGTGGGGACCAATATTCAACATTCTTAAAGAAAAGAATTTTCAACCCAGAATTTCATATCCAGCCAAACTAAGCTTCATAAGTGAAGAAGAAATAAAATCCTTTACAGACAAGGAAATGCTGAGAGATTTTGTCACCACTAGGCCTGCCCTACAAGAGCTCCTGAAGGAAGCACTAAACATGGAAAGGAACAACCAGTACCAGCCACTGGAAAAACACGCCAAATTGTAAAAACCATCGATGCTAGGAAGAAACTGCATCAACTAACGAGCAAAATAACCAGCTAACATCATAATGACAGGATCAAATTCACACGTAACAATACCAAACTTAAATTTAAATGGGCTAAATGCTCCAATTAAAAGACACAGACTGGCAAATTGGATAAAGAGTCAAGACCCATCAGTGTGCTGTATTCAGGAGACCCATCTCACGTGCAGAGACACACATAGGCTCAAAATAAAGGGATGGAGGAAGATCTACCAAGCAAATGGAAAACAAAAAAAGGCAGGGGTTGCAATCCTAGTCTCTGATAAAACAGACTTTAAACCAACAAAGATCAAAAGAGACAAAGAAGGCCATTGCATAATGGTAAAGGGATCAATTCAACAAGAAGAGCTAACTATCCGAAATATATATGCACCCAATACAGGAGCACCCAGATTCATAAAGCAAGTCCTTAGTGACCTACAAAGAGACTTAGACTCCCACACAATAATAATGGGAGACTTTAACACCCCACTGTCAACATTAGACAGATCAATGAGACAGAAAGTTAACAAGGATATGCAGGAATTGAACTCAGCTCTGCACCAAGCGGACCTAATAGACATCTACAGAATTCTCCACCCCAAATCAACTGAATATACATTCTTCTCAGCACCACATCACACCTATTCCAAAATTGACCACATAATTGGAAGTAAAGCACTCCTCAGCAAATGTAAAAGAACAGAAATTATAACAAACTGTCTCTCAGACCACAGTGCAATCAAACTAGAACTCAGGATTAAGAAACTCACTCAAACCACTCAACTACATGGAAACTGAACAACCTGCTCCTGAATGACTACTGGGTACACAAAGAAATGAAGGCAGAAATAAAGATGTTCTTTGAAACCAGTGAGAACAAAGACACAACATACCAGAATCACTGGGACACATTTAAAGCAGTGTGTAGAGGGAAGTTTATAGCACTAAATGCCCACAAGAGAAAGCAGGAAAGATCTAAAATTGACACCCTAACATCACAATTAAAAGAACTAGAGAAGCAAGAGCAAACACATTCAAAACCTAGCAGAAGGCAAGAGATAACTAAGATCAGAGCAGAACTGAAGGAGATAGAGACACAAAAAACCCTTCAAAAAAATCAATGAATCCAGGAGCTGGTTTTTTGAAAGGATCAACAAAACTGATAGACTGCTAACAAGACTAATAAAGAAGAAAAGAGAGAAGAATCAAATAGATGCAATAAAAAATGATAAAGGGGATATCACCACCAATCCCACACAAATACAAACTACCATCAGAGAATACTATAAACATCTCTACACAAATAAACTAGAAAATCTAGAAGAAATGGATAAATTCCTGGACACATACACCCTCCCAAGACTAAACCAGGAAGAAGTTGAATCCCTAAATAGACCAATAATAGGCTCTGAAATCGAGGCAATAATTAATAGCCTACCAACAAAAAAAAAGTCCAGGACCAGACGGATTCACAGCCGAATTCTACCAGAGATACAGAGAGGAGCTGGTACTATCCCTTCTGAAACTATTCCAACCAGTAGAAAAAGAGGGAATCCTCCCTAACTCATTTTAGGAGGCCAGCATCATCCTCATACCAAAGCCTGGCAGAGACACAACAAAAAAAAGAGAATTTTAGACCAATATCCCTGATGAACATTGATGCAAAAATCCTCAACAAAATACTGGCAAACCAAATCCAGCAACACATCAAAAAGCTTATCCACCATGATCAAGTAGGCTTCATCCCTGGGATGCAAGGCTGGTTCAACATATGCAAATCAATAAATGTAATCCAGCATATAAACAGAACCAAAGACAAAAACCACATGATTATCTCAATAGATGCAGAAAAGGCCTTTGACAAAATTCAACAGGACTTCATGCTAAAAACTCTCAATAAATTAGGTATCGAAGGGACATATCTCAAAATAAAAAGAGCTACTTATGACAAACCCACAGTCAATATCATACTGAATGGGCAAAAACTGGAAGCATTTCCTTTGAAAACAGGCACAAGACAGGGATGCCCTCTCTCACCACTCCTATTCAACATAGGTTGGAAGTTCCAGCCAGGGCAATCAGGAAGGAGAAGGAAATAAAGGGTATTCAATTAGGAAAAGAGGAAGTCAAATTGTACCTATTTGCAGATGACATGATTGTATATTTAGAAAACCCCATCATCTCAGCCCAAAATCTCCTTAAGCTGGTAAGCAACTTTAGCAAAGTCTCAGGATACAAAATCAATGTACAAAAATCACAAGCATTCTTATACACCAATAACAGACAGAGAGCCAAATCATGAGTGAACTCCCGTTCACAATTGCTTCAAAGAGAAAAAAATACCTAGGAATCCAACTTACAAGGGATGAGAAGGACCTCTTCAAGGAGAACTACAAACCACTGCTCAACGAAATAAAAGAGGACACAAACAAATGGAAGAACATTCCATGCTCATGGATAGGAAGAATCAATATCGTGAAAATGGCCATACTGCCCAAGGTAATTTATAGATTCAGTGCCATCCCCATCAAGCTACAAATGACTTTCTTCACAGAATTGGAAAAAACTACTTTAAAGTTCATATGGAAGCAAAAAAGAGCCCGCATTGCCAAGTCAATCCTAAGCCAAAAGAACAAAGCTGGCGGCATCACACTACCTGACTTCAAACAATACTACAAGGCTACAGTAACCAAAACAGCATGGTACTGGTACCAAAACAGAGATACAGACAAATGGAACAGAACAGAGCCTAATGAATAACATCACACATCTATAACCATCTGATCTTTGACAAACCTGACTAAAACAAGAAATGGGGAAAGGATTCCCTATTTAATGAATGGTGCTGGGAAAACTGGCCAGCCGCATGCAGAAAGCTGAAACTGGATCCCTTCCTTACACCTTATACAAAAATTAATTCAAGATGGATTAAAGACTTAAATGTTAGACCTAAAACCATAAAAACCCTAGAAGAAAACCTAGGCAATACCATTCAGGACATAGGCATGTGCAAGAACTTCATGTCTAAAACACCAAAAGCAATGGCAACAAGAGCCAAAGTTGACCAATGGGATCTAATTAAACTAAAGAGCTTCTGCACAGGAAAGGAAACTACCATCAGAGTGAACAGGCAGCCCACAGAATGGGAGAAAATTTTTGCAATCTACTCATCTGACAAAAGGTTAATATCGAGAATCTACAAAGAACTCAAACAAATTTACAAGAAAAAAAGAAACAACCCCATCAAAAAGTGGGCAAAGGATATGAACAGACACTTCTCAAAAGAAGATATTTATGCAGCCAACAGACACATGAAAAAATGCTCATCATCACTTGCCATCAGAGAAATGCAAATCAAAACCACAATGAGATACCATCTCACACCAGTTAGAATGGTGATCATTAAAAAGTCAGGAAACAACAGGTGCTGGAGAGGATGTGGAGAAATAGGAACACTTTTACACTGTTGGTGGGACTGTAAACTAGTTCAACCATTGTGGAAGACAGTGTGGCGATTCCTCAAGGATCTAGCAATAGAAATACCATTTGACCCAGCCATCCCATTACTGGGTATATACCCAAAGGATTATAAATCATGCTGCTATAAAGACACATGCACAAGTATGTTTATTGTGGCACTATTCACAATAGCAAAGACTTGGAACCAACCCAAATGTCCATCAATGATAGACTGGATTAAGAAAATGTGGCACATATACATCATGGAATACTATGCAGCCATAAAAAAGGATGAGTTCATGTCCTTTCTAGGTACATGGATGAAGCTGGAAACCATCATTCTCAGTAAACTATCACAAGGACAAAAAACCAAACACTGCATGTTCTCACTCATAGGTGGGAATTGAACAATGAGAACACTTGGACACAGGAAGAGGAACATCACACACTGGAGCCTGTCGTGGGGTGTGGGGAGTGGGGAGAGATAGCATTAGGAGATATACCTAATGTAAATGACGAGTTAGTGGGTGCAGCGCACCAGCATGGCACATGTATACATATGTAACAAACCTGCACGTTGTGCACATGTACCCTAGAACTTAAAGTATAATAAAAAATAAAATAAAATAAAAAATAAAAAAATTTAAAAGAAGAAATTCTTTTCGGGGAGGCAGGTGATTGGATGGTGTGGGACGTAGAAAAGGACTTTGCTGCCACACAGGAAAGAGAAAACAAATCTATAAAGCTATGGCTGTAAAGTGAAGGGGATTTTAAATGAGAATTACTTTGATTTGTGACTCTATTTCTACATGGCTCCAGAGAGGATTAAAAACAAGTTATAACATTTACCTACCAACACACACAGTGGATTGCTCTTCTCTGCAACAGGATTTCCCAAACCTTAATCATTGCTCAATTTTTGTCACATCTTAGAACAACTTGTTCACCTAATAATTTTACTTTAAATTGTTTCATTCAACTTAAATAAAATTTTTACAAAGAAAATTTCACGTCACTATCATAAGTGGAAAACTGGTGTAAATAATATGTATGTATATATACACATGCATATTAAAATAAATAACCACTAAGAAATGTCTGTGGGCCTCCAATAACTATCTCACTGCTGTTGATGGCCTGTGTATTACGCTCTGGAATGCACTGGACTACATTCTATTGGGGCATCTTCATAGAGAATTGATAACGTTTTGGAAACGTAGAATAACTTGGTGACAGTAGTCTTAAATTCATAACTGAATTAGTAGACAATTCATGGCTGAAAAAGAATAGTGATAAATGAAAGAGCCTTTAAAAAACAAAGCACTAAGGAAACAAAAGCAAAACAAAATACGTGACCTAACCATGCCTTTCCTGCAATTACCCTCTTAGGGAGGCAGATATACCTCTATCTTCCCTTTCCCATCCCTCTTCCCTCTACCCCAGTATTTTGGCTGTGCAAAGTGCCAAGACATTACAAAGCCCCTGGAATCTCAAGCACTGAAGGATTTCTGTTGGGGAGTCCATCATCCCAGCCCTCATGGTCCCTGGAGCTGGTTCTCTGTCCCTTCCCTCCCAAGCCTGGGATGCATGGCCCTCACTCTTTGCTGAGGCTGGGATGGGAGCCTCTGCATTTCCTCCCTGTTACCCTAAAGACACTTCTCTCACCTGCTTCTTTCACACCAGAACTAGGTAGCCCTTCAAACTGAAATCCAGAAACATCAGCAATTAAATTTTTTACAATATGTGTGAAGATGGGCATTGCTGTCTCCTTGAGTGCAAATTGGGCATGATCTGCCTCAAGGTGAGAGTCTGGTGTAGCCTTTTCTTCCACTGCAGCAGGAAGACAAGGAAGGAAACAGAGTTAACTTTCTAGAGTAAAACCAGCTGATTGTTCATGTATTGCTGGTATCATCACAACACAATTTGGTTTTGACTGAGGGATATTAAGCATCAGGCATCTCATCTCAGTTTGTCCACACCACAGCCAGGAGAGAGGCACTGCTGTTATCCCTGCTTTAACACAGATGAGAACATTGAGGCACAGAGAAGCTGAGCAATGAGCCCAAGACCACCCAGCTGGGTAGTAAGTGATCAAGTCAGGTCCTACATTTGGACCTCAGCCTGGTCACCTGGTTACCACTTTGCTCAAGGACCGCGAGGCTCACTGGTTGGTTTGCTCATCAGAAGCATCTTGCAAACCACAAATACCAACATGAGTACCAGACATTATTGTTATTCCAAGGACCACTATAATTATTCTCCTTACTTGCAGATAAGGATGATGAAGGAGGGACATGAGGAACTCTATTCCCATTGAATCTTGGCCCAATGATGCCTATCTTGGCTATTGGTGCCCAAGCTAAAAAAGAAAACAAAGAGTACATTGGAAAGGCTTAATCATTTTCTAATTATAAAGGGATATGTGGTGAAAAATTAGTACTGATAATAAAAGTGATAACAAAACAATTTGGGACATTTTTTCTGGAGGAAAGGGTGGTAGAATTACTACAATTTTGAAGAGCATGTAGCCTGTGACCTAGCACTGCTGTTTCTAGATAACTCTCCTCAGAAGATCCTTGCCCAGGTACCCAAAGAGGCACAACTAATGAAGTTTGTCTGTAGAGCAAAAATTTAGAAATGATGGACATTTTATCCAATGGGATACGTGGAGTGTGTCCATGCTGTGGAGTTCCATGCAGCAGCTAAAAAGTGGGGGCTAGATCTCTGTGAGGACACTGAGAACTCTCCACAATGCATAAGTAAGAGGAAGAAAAATAATTTGCAGAATAATAGACATATTGTGTTTCATGTATTATTTGTGCTTTTAAAAAGTGCAAAAAGAAAACCTACATTTTTCTAAGTGTGTGTGGACCTCAGTAAATCAATAACAAATGGTCTGCTAAGACATGAACCACACTGATGAAACTGATATTTAACTGATCAGCTGGCAGGTGAAACATGAAAGGGAATTTTCTTTCTTTGTCTGTACTGTTTGATTTCTTTTTTTTATAGTGAGGATATTCATGTTTCCTGTGTAACTCAAAAAAAAAAATTAATAATGTTCACTTAGTCCTATGCTTAGTACCCAGGGGATGAAATAATCTGTATACCAAACCCCTGAGTTTACCTATATAACAAACCTGTACATGTAACCCTGAACCTAAAAATAAAAGTTAAAATATTTTTTAAAACATAAAACAAATTAAAATTTTAAAATAATGTTCACTTAGATCATTTTAAAATACAGATATGTACGTAAGCTATAGGGAAGATAACATAAATTAACACCAGGAGACAATCACCATTAACATTTTCACATGTTCCTTTTGATCTTTTTTTCTTGGTTACACACACTCTCATTCATGTCTTTTATGTAATTGGGAACTGATACATCTATAATTTTGTATCCTAATTTTTTTAAATAAGGTATTTCCTGTGTCACTACACAGAAAAGATAGTTTTCTTTTAAATTTACCTACTAGTAAAGTAACACTTTTCATACTTTTATACACTATTTTTAAAAATGTTTAATGAGATAAAACTCACAGAGCATGAAGTTCAACAGTTGAACTATTTTAAAGTGGTAATTCAGTTGGTTTTAGTATGTTTTGCAACCCTCACGACTACTTAAATTTCAGAACATTTTCATCACCTGAGAAAGAAACCCCATATCCATTAAATAGTCCCTTCCCATTTTTTCCTGTCCCAGCCCCTGGCAACCACTATCTACTTTCTGTTTCTAAGAATGTGTCTTTTCTGGGCATTTCATATAAATGAAATAATACAGTATGTGCGCTTTTGTGACTGGCTTCTTTCATTTAGCATAATGTTTTTGAGATTCATCTATGTTGTAGGATGTAACAGAACTTCAATTTCATTATATTGTGAAATGCTATTTCATTGTATGGATATACCACATTTTATTTAGGCATTCATCAGTTGATGAATATTTGGATCATTTCCATTTTTTGGTTATTATGAATAATGCTGCTATGAGCATCTGTATACAAATTTTTGTGTGGACACATGTTTTTAATTCTCTTGGGTACATACACAGAAGTGGAACTGCTGGGTCATATGGTAACTATGTTCAACTTTTTGAGAAACTGCCAAACTTTTTTTCAAGACAGGTGCACCATTTTACATTCCCGTGAGCAATGTATGAGAGCTCCAATTTTTCCATATTCTTTGCAACACTTGTTATTTTCCATTTATGTGAGTATAGCCATCCTAGTTATGAATTGGTATCTCACTGTAGTATTGATTTGCATTTCCCTGATTACTAATGATGCTAAGCACCTTTTCATGTGTTTGTTGGCCACTTATAAAGCTTTGGAGAAATGTCTATTCAAGTACTTTGCTCATTTTCCAATTGAATCTTTTTGTCCTTTAACAAAAACTATGAGTTTATCATATATTCCAAATACTACATTCTTATCAACATAGTAAACAATTTGCAAATATTTTCTTCCATTCTGTGAAATGTTCTTTCACTTTTTTGATTGTGTCTTTTGATGCATAGAAGTTTTAATTTTTATGAAGTCCAAATTATTTGTTGTTTTCTTTGGTTGTTTGTGCTTTTGGTGTCATATTTAAGAAACCTTTGCCTAATCCAAGTTCACAAAAATTTACACCTATTTTTCTGTCTAAGGGTTTTCTATGTTTAGCTCTTCACTTGATCTTAGCCAAAAGGCCAAGAAGCAATATTGAGCTCTTAAATTCAGATCTTATCCATTTTTGAGTTAATTTGTATGTATGGTACAAAGTAAGAGCCCAAATTCACTCTTTTGCATGAGGATATCCAGTTTTCCCAACAGCATTTGTTGAAAAGACTGTCTTTTCTCCATGAATGGTCTTGGCACTCTTGTAGAAAAATCAACTAACTATAGATGTATGGTTTATTTCTGGGCTTTCGATCTCTTCCATTGACATATATGTCTACCCTTATTTCAGTACCACACTGTTTCTCTTACTGTAGCTTTGTAGTAAATTTTGAAATCAATCATGAAGTGTGAGTCCTCCATCTTTGTTCTCCTTTGCAAGATTGTTTCAAGTATACTGTGTGCCTTGCATTTCCATGTGAATTTTAAAATCAACTTGTCCATTTTTGCAAAAACAATGTTTGGAAATGTTATAAGGATTGCAATAAATCTGTAAATTAATTTGGGGAGTATTGCTATTTGACAGTATTAAATTTTTCAGTCTATGAATGTCTTTACATTCATTTGGGCCATCTTTTAATTTTTTCCAACACCATTTTGTAGTTTTCAGTGTACAAAACTTACACTTCCATGGTTAAATTTACTCCCAAGTATTTTATTCTCTTTTTTACATTATTGTAGATGGAATTGTATTCTTAATTTTATTTTCAGATTGTTCATTGCTCATGTATTGGATTACAACATATTTTTGTGTATTGATCTTGTATCCTGCAACATTGCCAAACTCAATTACTAGCTCTAATAATTTTGTTGTTCTGTCTTTATGATTATGTATATGTAAGATTATATCATCTGTAAGTAGAGATAGTTATACTTATTCCTTTCAAGTTTAGATGCTTTTTATTTGTTTTACTTGCCTATGTGCCCTGGCTAGAACTTTCAGTGTAATTTGAATAATCACATTGAAAGCAGACATTCTTGTCCTATTCCTGACCGTAGGAAGAAAGTTTTCCATCTGTTCCCATTAATCTACTGTTAGCTGTGGGTTTTTCATAGGTGCCCTTCATGACGTTGAAAAAGCTCTCTTCAATACCCAGTTTGTTCAGTTTTTGTTTTTAATCAAGAAAGAGTGTTGGATTTTGTCAAATGCTTTTTCTGCATCAATTAAGATGTTCATGTGGGTTTTTTTTTTAATCCCTTAATAATGTGTTGTATTGCATTGATTGACTTTCTTGTGTTGAATCTTTGCATTCCTGGGATAAATTCAACTTGATCATGGTGAATAATCCTAATGTGCCGCCGGATTTGGCTTGCTAATATTTTGTTGAGGATTTTAAAATATAATTTTGATAATATTTTACGGAGGATTTTTGTTGATGATATATGCATAAAGATCTGTATTTTCTTTTCTTGTGATGACTTTGCCTAGATTTGGTATCAGGATAAATAAAACTGGTCTCGTGGAATGACTTAGGCTGTGTTTTTTCCTCTTCAATTTTTGAAAGAAGTTGAAGACTGATGTTGATTCTGCTGGAAACATCTGGTACTGGGCTTTTCTTTGTTGAAAGTTTTTTAAAATTAATCACTCAATAGCTTTATTTGTCGTAGATCTATTCAGATTTTCTATTTCTTGTTGAGTCAGTTTTGGTAATGTGTGTGTCCTGGAATTTGTTCGTTTCAGCTAGGTTATCTAATTTATTGGCATACAATTGTTCCTAGTATTTTCTTATAATCTTTTTTTTTTTAGTATCTGCAAGGGCAATAGCAATATCTCCACTTCCATTCCTGATTTTAGCAATTTGAGTTTCTTTATTTTTTTCTTTGTCAGCCTACAATAGAATTGTCTATTGTATTGATCTTTCTGTTTTCAGCATCAAACATTTATTGTCTACCATGTTCAGCATTTTAAATGTATCTCATTTGACTCCCAAACACCTCGATGAAGTATATACTCTGATTGCTTCCATTTTAAAGATGAAACAGAAACTCAGAGTGACTTAAGTGAAGTATCTAGGGTCACAGAGATGGTATCTAATGCGACTTGGCGATCAGAACACGGATCTATCTGCCAGCAGCTGTTAGGCCAGCCCCAGCCCTCCACCACTGCATTATAAGGACCATGTAGGGAGACAGCTCTGATTGCTGGGTCTCCAGCCACTCAGCCCTTGAGTGAGGAGGCCCTGTGCCTGAAGGCTGTAACCTTGAGTAAGAAACAATGTCATTTCTCTTCTCCCCCCGCACCTGCTCCTACAATGAGGTTACCAGAACTCTACGCCTATTCCTGGGGCTTGTTTCTGCTGCTTTGGCAGAAATGGGCCTCTCAGTTCTGGTAACTAGACCTGTTCAAAGGACCCAAGACCCTGAAACAGGCAGAGCTCTCCCTTCCTGAACTCCTTCCCAGAATAGTGAGGGGAAGGAGGAAGAAAGACACTTTCCTATGGAGAGCAGAAGCCCAGGGAGGAAGGCCTGCTACATTGTACATGTGTGATGGAGCTGGCCAGCCCCTAGGTCCCAGTGCCAGCTCTGCCTGCCAGCCCTGGATGGGTCTCTACTGGCTAAATTCAGCATGGCAGTACTCCCTCCGGTGAAGGGCGTCCTTCATTCCCTCAGGAATTCACTTACACCTCACTTGCTCTAAAAAAACCTTTCCTGAACCTGCAGATCAAGAAGGCCTCGCTTTAGAGTCACCACGCTGGTTGTGTGTCTACCTCCCAGAACGTAAGCTCCCTGACTGTGCGTCTTGCCTTCAGCTGTCTCTCCAGAGCCTTGCCCAGGGCCAGGCACAAAGGGGGTGCTTCAATAACTGTGGAATTAATAAGTGAATCAGCTCCCTACACTTCAGCTTGTTCATCTGTAAAACAGGAATAATAAAATAGCTACTTCGTGGACTTTGTTTTAAAAATTTACTAATCTTTTTAAAGAACAAATTTTTGTTTTTATTTTCTCTATTTTTTTATACTCAGTTTTATTTATATCTACCCTAATCTTAATGATTTCCTTCTTTCTGCTTGCTCAGGTTTAGTTACTTTTATTTTTCTACTTTCTTAAGGTTGAAGGTTAAGATATTTACTTAATGTCTTTTTATTTAGTGAAGGCATTTAAAAATTATTTAAAAAAAATTTTTATTGACAAAAACAATTGAGCAATTGAGTATATTTATGGGGTACAATTTTTTTTTTTTTTTTGAGATGGAGTCTCACTCTGCCACCCAGGCTAGAAGGCATTGGCGCGGTCTCAGCTCACTGTGACCTCTGCCTCCCAGGTTCAAGCAATCCTTCTGCCTTAGCCTCCTGAGTAGCTGGGATTACAGATGGCACACGCCACCACACCCGGCTAATTTTTTTGTATTTTTAGTAGAGACGGGGTTTCACCATGTTGGCCAGGCTGGTCTCAAACTCTTGACCTCAGATAATCCACCAGCCTTGGCCTCCGAAAATACTGGGATTACAAGCATGAGCAACTGCACCTGGCCACAATGTGATTTTTTACATATGTTTACATTGAGAGATGATTAAATAAACCTAAGTAACAAATTATCAACTCACATAATTATCATTTGATGGTGAAAACATTTAAAATCTACTCTATTGGCAATTTTCAAATATGCAATGCATTATAATTTCTTAAAGCAATTTACTGCTATAAATTTCCCTCTAGCACGGCTTTCATAGCATCTTATAAATTTGATTATATAGTCTTTTCATTTTTGTTAATCTCAAGATTTTTTCTAATTTCCCTTGTGGCTCCTATTTTGACCTACTGGTTATTTATAAATGTGTTTAATTTCCACATATTGGTGAATTTTCCAATTTACCCTCTATTATTGATTTTCAACTAAATTCCACTGTGGTCACAGAAGATATTTTGTATGCTTTAACTCTTTCAAAATTTATTAAGACTGGTTTTGTGGTATAACATATGCTGGAGAATGTTTCACGTGCATCTGACAAAAATGTATATTCTGCTGTTGGGTCGAATGTTCTGTAGATGTCTGCTAAGTCCAATTGGCTTGCAGTGTTGTTCAAGTCTTCTATGTAATTGATAATCTTCTGTCTACTTTTCACATCTATTATTAAAGGAGTTATCAATGCCTTCAACTATGTTACAGTTGGACTGTCTATTTCTTCCATCAATTCTGTCAGCTTTTTCTTCATGTATTTTGGGGATTGATTTTAGATGTGTATGCACTTACAATTTTTATATCTTCTTGTTGGGTTAACCCTTTTATTGTTGTGTAATGTCTGTCTTTGTCTCTTGTAACTTTTTTTATCTTAAGGACTATTTCATCTGATATTAAAATAGCCACTCCAGCTCTCTTTGATTTCTCTTTGCATGATGTATCTTTTTCCATTCTTTTACTTTCAACCTATTTGTGTCTTTGACTCTAGCCTAAGTGTCTTATAGACAGTTTATAGTTGGATGATTTTTTTTTTAAATGCATTCTGTCAGTGTCTGCCTTTTGACTGGAGTAAGTCCAATGTTTGGACTTCATCAGGGATAATTTCTATTGATTTCTTTTATTTTTCTGTATGGGTAATACTTTCTTGATTCTCTGCCAGCTTTGTAGTTTTTAGCCAATAACCTGACATTTTGCATATTATAATGTGGTTTTCTGTTGCTGCTTGCTGTAGTTGTTTGGTGACTTTTCTGAACTGATTTTGTAAAGTCTGCATTCTTTGTAATGTGTGACCACTGACATCTCTGTTTCACCAGCTTAATAGTCAGCTAATAATTGGACAGAGATTTCATTAATGCCTGGAACCAAAACATCTTCCAGTCTTTGAAGATGTACTGTGTGTATTATGGGATATGCCTTCAACAATCAGCCAGGCAGTTTACAAATGTGCTTTAGCCTTCACTTCCTATTTGCACAGAATTTCAACATCAGCCAGAGGTGAGATCTTAGGGCTTTGGGCTTTCTTAGTTCTCTCTTGAGCAGATGCACAGCCTTGGGAATGCACATGGCCTTCTAGATTCCCAGGAATAGGTTGAAGCTTTTCAAAGCCCTTATTCTCCAAAGCATTTCAGTCCTCAGTCTTCCCTCCAAAGCTTTTTGGTTAGTCTATTGCTTGCACCAACTGTTATCCATTGCCTCAGGTATTAGCAGCTGAAACATTTACCCATATATGTTTCTGACAAATGCCCCATGTAGCTGCTGTAGTACCTGGTGGGCACAGTTAGGTGAGGTAAAGACAAGGCTTTGAGCTGGTCTTCCAAAGAACCACCAGTGGGTACTCAGCTAGTAATTACAATTCTTGAGGCTTATCCTGCTCCTCTTATGCTGGAGATGAGAATATGGGATATTATTTTTAAGGCTACTACTTTGAGGAGTGGTTAGTTTTTCTTAGTTTGATTGTCAGACATTGATTGCGACCATTTTTGCCAGTTTGTTTTCATTGTTTGATACGGTGGTCGACTTTTTTTTTTCTTTTTCTTTTTTTGAGATGGAGCCTCGCTCTGTTGCCCAGGCTGGAGTGCAGTGGTGCAATCTCGACTCACTGCAACCTCCACCTCTCGGGTTCAAGCAATCCTCTGCCTCAACCTCCCAAGTAGCTGGGATTACAGGTGCCCGCCACCATGTCCAGCTCATTTTTGTATTTTTAGTAGAGACAGGGTGTCACCATCTCGGCCAGGCTGGTCTTGAACTCCTGACCTCATGATCCACCTGCCTTGGCCTCTCAAAGTGCTGGTATTACAGTCGTGAGCCACCATGCCTGGCCTCACTGGTAGACTTTTAGAATCCCTTAATTCACTATTTTCACTGACATCACTCCATGACAGAGATTTTTTTAAAACACTCTATTTAATGGTTGCATCATATTTACTACGATATCCCTAACTATTGTTACATTGAGGGACATTCATCGGTTGTTTTCATTACGTCGTTAATGGACATTCATCGGTTGTTTTCATTACATCGTATCTAGTGCTGCAACACTCACACATTCATCTTTGCCCACATCTCTGATTATTTCCTTGGTCTAGATTTCTAAATGTGAACACATGGGTGAAAGGATATAAATTTTCAAGGCTCATGATATATATTATGTAAATAATTTCCAAAACGATGCTTTTCATTTACATTTCCACCAGCTGTGTTGGAAAGTGCTGCCTTGCCACAGTCTTATCTTCGGTGAGTATTATCACTCAAGACATTTACTAAGCAGGTAGGCAAAAAATAGTGTCTCATTATTATCAACTAGTCCAAAATATTTATGGCATTTATTTGATATTGCCATTTCCTCTTCTCTGAATTCTTATAAATGCTCTGTGTTGTGAGGTATCTACCTTTGTATTTATTTATTTTTTAATTATTTATTTTTTTTTAAATTTTATTATTATTATACTTTAAGTTTGAGGGTACATGTGCACAACGTGCACGTTTGTTACATATGTATACATGTGCCATGTTAGTGTGCTGCACCGATTAACTCGTCATTTAGCATTAGGTATATCTCCTAATGCTATCCCTCCCCCCTCCCCCCACCCCACAACAGTCCCCAGTGTGTGATGTTCCCCTTCCTGTGTCCATGTGTTCTCATTGTTCAATTCCCACCTATGAGTGAGAACACGTGGTGTTTGGTTTTTTGTCCTTGCGATAGTTTGCTGAGAATGATGGTTTCCAGTTTCATCCATGTCCCTACAAAGGACATGAACTTATCATTTTTTATGGCTGCATAGTATTCCATGGTGTATATAAGAGCTATTTACAGAGGATAATAACCCTTAGTAGTAATAATCGTCAATATTTAAAATACAGGGCTCTATCCCAGCAGTTTGGGAGGCTGAGGCAGGCAGATCAATTGAGGTCAGGAGTTCAAGACCAACCTGGCCAACATGGTGAAACCCTAGCTTTACCAAAAATGCAAAAATCAGCTGGGCGTGGTGGTATGCACGTGTGACCCCAGTTACTCAGGCAGCTGAGGCAGAAGAGTCGCTTGAACCTGGAAGGTGGAGGTTGCAGTGAGCTGAGCTCGCACCACTGCCCTCCAGCCTGGGTGACAGAGCGAGACTCCATCTCAAAACAAATAAATAATAATAAATAAAAATACAGGGCTCTAAAAGTACTTTTTATTTCACATACCCAGCAAGTTTTCTTTGGTAGCTCTTAGTCATTGTATTAGTGTCCTATTGCTGCTGTAAGAAATTACCACAAATTTGGTGGCTTGAAACAACACAGATGTATTATTTTATAGTCCTGGGGTTCAGAAGGCCCAAAGTCAAAGTCAAGGTGTGGGCAAGACTGGCTTCTTCTTGAGGCTCTGAGTGGAGAATTTGTCTCCCTGCCTGTTGTAGCTTCTAGAAGCTGCCAGGATTCCTTTGGCTGTGGCCTCCTTTTTTCCATATGCAGATCACATCTCCAGCCTTGGCTCCTGTCACCACATCACATTCTCTGATTCTGACTTCTTCTGCAGTTCCTTTATAAGGACCCTTGTGATTACACTGGGCCCACCTAGATCATCCAGGATAATCTCCCCAACTCAAGACCCTGAATGTTATCACATCTCCCAAGAAACAGAATCAATTAGATAGATAGGTAGATAATAGCAATGATAGATAATAGACAATGATAGATAATAGGTAGATGATAGATAGATAGATAGATAGATAGATAGATAGATAGATAGGGAGGCAGATGGATAGATTAGATAGATAAATATAGACAGACATTTATTTTAAGGAATTGGCTCACATGATTATGGAGGCTGACAGATCTAAACTCTGCAGGGCAGGCTCGCAGGCTGGAGACTCAGGAAAGGGTTGATGTTGCAGTTCTGAGTCTGAAGGAAGTCTGGAGGTAGAATTCTCTTTTTCGGGGAAGCTTATTACCTTCTCTTAAGGCCATGATTGATTGGATATGACCCACCCATATTATGGGGGGTAACCCACATTACTCAAAGTATACTTATTTAAATGTGAATCACATCTAAAAATTACCTTCACTGTAATAGGTAGATTGGTGTTTGATCAAAAAACTTGGTACCAGCTGGGTGCCCTGGCTCATACCTGTAATCTCAACACTTTGGGAGGCCGAGGCTGGTGGATCGCTTGAACCCAGGAGTTCAAGACCAGCCTGGGCAACATAGTGAGACCCTATCTCTAAAAAAAAAGTTTTCAAAAGCTGGGTACCACAGCATAGCCAAGTGGACAAATACAATTAATCACCACACCACATAAGGTAACGTTCACAGCTTCCAGCGATGAGGACTTGGACATATTTGGGGGTCATTATTTAGTCTACCTCAAGTGCCTGAGGATATTTCTTTAAACAAAAAGAGACCATCTTCTTTTGAGAAAAAGTAGATACTAATTCAGACTAACTAACTAAAACACTTCTAAACTCTCCCATGCTCATCAGAATTTTACAGTAACAGAAGGGAATTTTCCCATGATTCATTTTACCTTCATTATGTGCAGTTTTGAGGAGAATTTCATATCATATTATCCTCAGTAATAAAAAGAAAGATCTGCTTCTCTGATTAAAAGCCTTTTTTCCATACTTTTGAAGAAGAAAATCTCTCTCTCTCTCTCTCTCTCTTTTTCTCTTGAATTGCTATTCTTGGCAGGAAATATTTTATCAGCTCAAGCTCCTAATTGGATAGGAACATGGCTATTGTGGTGCTTTTCTGTTGCAGACAGGAGACCTTTAGGTTTGGGAGACTGGAGACATACTTAAGCAGGAATCTTTTCTCTCACACGATTTGAAAATGACTGTGAAGTGGGGGGAATAGGAGGAATCCCAGAGAATGCTTCCAAATTGCCAGAACTTTGTTTCTGAGCCGTCTGCTTCCTCCAAAGACAAAAGAAACTGAGATTCAAGGAAGAATATACTTTTAAAAAGACCTTATGTGAAAAACATAAAATAACATGCATTGATATTATCTTAATTATTACTTCTGCTTCATACTCTTTGCTGCCACAAATCTTTTACTTCTTTACCAAAGGAATTTTAATTGCATTGGAAATCTTTGTTCTATTTTAACATAGCATTTCCTCAAGCCTCGAGCTATGAGAGACTGGGTTAGACAC
This sequence comes from Homo sapiens, assembly GCF_000001405.40. NCBI lineage: Eukaryota > Metazoa > Chordata > Mammalia > Primates > Hominidae > Homo > Homo sapiens. The sequence continues at coordinate 49,047,915 of NC_000016.10, forward strand.
CCACATGGCTGGGGACTAGGTCTGGTCTCTCCTTTCCCAGTTACATGGACAAAGACAGTCTGATCTCTGGATCAGGTGGACAGGTCCCTACGTGGCTGCATGGGCAGAATAATCAAAATAGCAACTGCTGTCCCTTGAGGACTTAAATTTTCCCAATTCACATGTTTAATGTATTGTAGACATTATTTTAGCTTGCCTTAAAATATCCCTCTCAGGGATGGCCTCTTCCTATTCACATTTTACAGATGAGGAGACTGGGGCCTCGTAATGTTGAAGGGTTCTTCTAAGTAAGGTCCCACATGGTTGGAATTCAGGACTGTGTGACAGCAGAGCCGTATTTAGCTCTGTTATGGGTTTAACTTGTGTCCCCTCCCAAGATTCATATGTGATCTCATTTGGAAATAGGGTCATTGCAGATGCAGTGAGTTAAGATGAGGTCATCCTGGAGCAATGTAGACCCCTCATCCAATATGAATGGTGTGTTTATAAAAGGGGAAATTTGGACACAGAGACAGATATTTGTAGAGGGAAGATGACATGAAGAAGCACAGAGAGAAGGCAGCCATCCACAAGCTGAGGAGAGAAGCCTGGAACAGACACTTCTCAAAAGGAACAACCCCACCGACACCGGGACACTGGGTTTTCAGCCTCCATAACTGTGAAGCAACCCACTGCTCTTGTTTAAGATGCCTAGCTTGTGGCACTTCATTACTGCAGCCCCAGAAAATGCATATGGCCCCTAAACTATACTGCTTTCAATACTCTTTCATGTCCCCATGAGTGAAATGCCTGGCTGGCCTCTGCCTCCAAATGTGACTCACCCTTAGAAGAACAATGGGCTCTGTGACGAGTGCCTGAAACACGTCACCTCCTTTCCACGCTAGCATCCTCCAGATCTTTGCATGGCACTATTATCCCAACCTCTTATTTTCGTGCAACCCTGAATGCTCAGAACTGAGGCCCAGAGAGGCTGTGGCTCATTGAAAGTAGGCTTTCTCTCTTTGCAATGTTCCCTCATGTGAGTAGAGCAGGTACTCTCCCAAAGGATGTGAGGAGCCCATCACAGATGTTTCCCTCACTGACCTGTGGGGCTGCTAAACTCCTACCGGTATCAAGAGTCACAACACAGGGGTTCCTGGAGGGGAGACACATTAGGGGTCTAAGTCACCAGCATGGACTGCTGCAACCGATTAACTGCTTCCACAGGTATGAATAAAATCCCGAGAAAAATGGAAGGAGTTTTGAGGGAGTGAGAGAGAGACAGAAGCTGCCAAATTGGAATGCAGCATGCTAACCTTGGAAGGTGCAGGAGTCAATGGTTGAAGGTGAAGAAAGTTGAGCAGCGGAACCTTAAAAGCACCAGGACAAACTCACCAACTTCCCATTTTGCCAGAGCAGGTCCTGGCATGGGGTTAATTGGCCTCTTTCCCCACACTGGGCCTGGAAACCTTCCCAGACTGCACATCTGTCGAGGCTGGGCAGCGCCCCCTCTGGAGGAGAAATCCGAGGGGGGCAGGAGGTGGACAAGTGGACTCTTCCCTCACACACCTATGCTGCCACAGCAAACACCTGGGCTGCCACTCCCGGCCCCCTACCTCCCAAGCCATCTGGCCCAGGACCATCTGCCGGGGTAGTGGGGTGCTCTGAAATAGCTCAACAACCCCTTTGTCAGTTTGTATGTTTAACTATCTACTTGGCACAGCTAATAGGCTCCCAAAGAGGCAGGGCTTCCCCATGGAGGCAAGAGGAGCTGGCTTACATTTCCCACGATGAAGGATTTAGAAAAAGAACCAGCTCGTTTAAGCGGTGTCTGCTCCATTTTCTACAGTGACCTGGGTGTTTTCATAATATGTTATCTCACTTAACTCTCAAAATAGTCTAGCAAGGAAATTATACCCATTTTATGGATGAGTAAACTGAGGCTCTGAAAGTCTCCATGACTTGGTACTTAAAGGTCTAAAGTTCAAAGTGAAAGCCTGAGGTTGGTCAACTTGCCCAGCTCCTCCCCTGATGCCTCAGTGAAGAGCTGGAGGGAAGTTCCAACAAGAAAAAGATGCCCTCACATGCCTGACTCAATGCCTCTTTCTTTGAAGCTGTGCTAAGTACCAGCTGAGGGGCAGGGGCCCTTCAAAAAATCAGGGTCCTGCCATGAAGGCAGTGTCATTGCAGCAGAGTCAACACACATAGACCCAGCCCATCACTGTGTTTTACAACGAGGCCTATCATCTGGAGTTTTAAAAATGTTGGTTTGTACCCAAATCACATAATTGCATATATGTTTTTAAAAATCCGGAGCATAAATACATATATTTTTTTTAAGCCTAGGGCATTTTTTTTTTTTTGAGACGGAGTCTCTCTCTGTTGCCCAGACTAGAGTGCAGTGGCATGATCTCAGCTCACTGCAACCTCTGCCTCCTGGGCTCAAGTGATTCTCCTGCCTCAGCCTCCCGAGTAGCTGGGATTACAGGCATGCACCACCGTGTTTGGCTAATTTCTGTATTTTTAGTAGAGTCTGGGTTTCACCATGTTGGCTAGGCTGGTCTCGGACTCCTGACCTCAAGTGATCTCCCCACCTCAGCCTCCCAAAGTGCTAGGATTACAGATGTGAGCCACTGTGCCTGGCCTAAAACTAGGGCATTTAAAAAATATCTACAGCCACCAAAACATAATCAGTGGTATCACTATGATTTTGCTCCAACAAGTTCTGAGAGGTGGAAAGCTTTTCTTTTTCTCATTTTTCACAGCAACACTTGAGACATGAACCTTGGTATTTGCTTCCTTTACTTATCTGGTGAGCTCCCTGGTAGACACGCCATGTGCCAGGAACAAGATAATAAGCAGACGTAGGAGCATGTCTGGCTCATGCTGATGCTATCGTAGTATTTGATTCCAAAGAAGCACTGGAAAGAGGGTGGAGCCGAGTGCATGGAGCACCCTGGGATGGAAAAGTACCCACATCCCTCCAGACCTACTGAGTGCCTGGCCTGAGTGTTCCTTGTACACATCACCTCATTTCCTTCCTCAGTAACACAGTCATGTCAGGACTCTCACTGTCCTTTGCACAGTTCAGGGAAGAGGCTTGCAGAGTCTTTTTTAAACGTTCACCTAAGAGGTCACACTGTCTGCATAGACTTTCAAAACAGAACTTGGGCCCAGGCAATCTCACTCCAGAGCCTGGGCACAAAATCACTGCACTGACAAAGACAGTCTGGTGGCCGGGAGGCCTCTACTGCCCAGAGTGTGATGAATGCTCATGAGAGGAGATCACATTGCTTCCCACAAACCAAGCTTTTAACCTGTGGTTCTCAGCTGTGACTGTGCACCAGAATGACCTGGAGAGATGTTTTTAAATGTTCCAAGCCTGGCTCTGACCTCAGGGTTTCTGATTTTCTCATTCTATGCATTGGAACTTTTCAGATATGTACCCTTCCAGGGGTTGAGACCCACAGTTCTAAAGGAGAGGAGCAGGCAGGGGAGCTATTCATCTCCTGAGTAAGGAGTGGGTCCTGCCTCACCCATCCAAGTATTGAATTTCCCCGTGTTTTAGTGATTTATGTACGTGGCTTAACCCTCTGGCTTGATTGTGGCCAGGAGTGAGGGGTGGCTATTGGGTAGGGTCAGTGTGTGGAGAGGACTGAGTACAAGAGGGAAGGGGTGACCAACATGAGATTGGGTTGAGGCATGGGGCTAAAATTTGAGAGTTAATGAGTTAATACAGTGGTGGCTGCATCCAAGCCCTCGGACCTGCTGAGGGAAGGAGAGCGGCCTCATGTTGATTTGCTGTTGGTGCAGATAACAGATGTGAAGGTTTTAATGGCTTGTGTGCCAGGAGCAGCTGCCAGGTGACTTGGCTGAGTTATGGGCCCAGACTGCCCCTTCCCCTGCCTGGCCTGGCCTGGCCTTGCCAGGGAGCCAGTTTTGGAGAAGGATGTGAGCCCCAAGGGCCTGGGATGGAAACTGGAGTCAGCAGGGGGAGATGGGTGGGTGGGGTGGCCCAGCTCCAAGCCTGAGATTCCTGGCTCTGCTCATTTCCCCTGTAAGATTGGACAATATCTTGCTCTTTCTAGTTTCATCCGTAAAATGGCCAGAGGAGCTCTCCTGTCATTTTCAGCTCTGAATTCCTGGGACTCTCAAGGTGAAGTTGGAGGGTGATATTGGACTTCTGTGACTGAGGCTGCAAGAATAGGCAAGGACTGGGATCGGCAGAGAGAAGGGAGAAGAAATTGCCATCATCATTCACAGAAAGGCATTTACTGAGCGTCTCTTATGTGCCAGGCCCTGTGCTGATAGCAGAACAGCTTTAATTCATTTATTCTTTATCCTTAGCATCTTTACTCCTATTTTACAGATGAGAAAACTGAGGCTCAGTGAGGGCATAAGTGTCAGAACTCTGACTCAAAACCAAGGTTGTTGGCCTCTCAGGGGTAAGCTCTTGGCCCCCACGGTGGCTGCCTGCCATGGTCAGAGGTTTGCTTGCACAGTGGTTTAGAGCCTGGACTGGCCACTCAGCCAAGGCTCAAATTTTGTGTCTGGCACTTTCTGGCTGATTCACATTTGGGGGAAATCACTTGGCTTTCTGTGCCTCAGTTTCTAAGTGTGTAAAATGGGATGATAGGAGTTGTACCAATATCAGGGCTGCTGTGAGAAACAAATGCCTTCGCATATGCGGAGCACTTAGGATAGCACTTGGTGTACAGGGGCCAGGGAAATGAGCTGCCACTACTCTACGTCCTCATTGGGCATTCTCCCATTCAACCTTGTGGTCCTCAAGCTAAATTTGGAAAACATAAGTAATTAATGCTTAGTCCCTGGTAATGAAGCTGTTGGTTTTGTGTCTCCTGAGCCATTCCTCATCTTTGGGCAGGGCCAAGTGTGGTCCTTTAGTTCACATGTCCCCAGTGGTGACCATAGACAATCTGATGGGCAGAGAAGAATGGTGGGAGGCCTTTTGCTGCTGCAGCCAGAGAAGCTGTGGGCGGGAGGGCAGTGGTCAGTGGCCCCAGGTGTGTGGAGAATGAAGATCTGGCTGTCATGGGAGCACACCATGCCGGCATTTCTTTGTGCCCCTAAAGCAGGCCCTTGCCCCGAGGGTGTCCAGCCTTGTGTTTGTTTGCTAGAAGCACATCCCGGCTTCCCGGAGGGGAGCTGTTGTGGCCGAAGAATGAGTCGATCTGGGGGTGCAATGGTCTGCAGTTAGCTAATACGAAAATAGATCTGTTTCCCAGCCCTTTTATTCCACACACAATAGGATCACCCGGCCACTCTTTCTTTCTCTTTCCAACAACAATGATGCCATCAATACCCTCCTGGGGACATCTTTATTTGAAAGCTGGGAGGTATGATTTTATCATTGTAGATAATCCTACTAGTTACAAAATATTCTAACCAAAGTGAGCCACTCCAATTGCTCACGGAGGCTGGTTTTCTGGAATCAAGTGGACTTTTATTTGCCGAGTTCACCTCCTGCCCAAGCCCCCACCCCTTCTTCACACATCTTAATGACCTTTGCCAATGGAAGAAGGCTTTCCAGAAAGTCTTGAAACTTGATTTCAGCCCAGGAATGAGCCTTCTGTGGAAACAATGATGTGTTTGAACAGCTCTTAGAGGACACATTCTCAATTTCAGTGTGCAGCAGTTTGGTGGATGTAATATCGTTCACCAGGAATTGAGTCAGAGAATCTGAGACTTGGAAGGACCCAAGAGATCAGCTGGTAACTAAATTCTAGTCTAAACTTGCATCTCAGGTAGGAAAACTGAGGCCCATTGAAAAGAAGGGACTCAGGCTGGGCGCGGTGGCTCAAGCCTGTAATCCCAACACTTTAAGAGGCCAAGGAAGGCAGATCACCTGAGGTCAGGAGTTTGAGACCAGCCTGGCCAACATGGTGAAACCCTATCTCTACTAAAAATACAATATTAGCCGGGCATGGTGGCATGCACCTGTAATCTCAGGAGGCTGAGGCATGAGAATCGCTTGAACCCAGGAGGCAGAGGTTCCAGGGAGCCAAGATCATGCCCACTGCACTCCAACCTGGGGGACAGAGTGAGACTCTGTCTCCAAAAGTAAAAATAAAAATAAGTGACTTGCCTAAAGTCACAGAGTGGGTGGGTGGCACAGATGAGACTTGAAGCCCTGCTCCATTGTCCCCACCCCAGTGTCTCCCAGGGTCCATGATATTAAATGCCTTTAAGAACATTGATTCATTTAGAGAGACAATAATTCCCTTTCCAGCTTTATTCTACTTCAGCTCTTGATGACATCAGGAAGAAAGGCTTGACTTGCTGCTAATCTGGCCTTCACACCTCTGTAACGTTATCGTCTCCCTTTGCAACAAACACAGGGCAGCCCTCTGGTTGAGACTAGGGAACAATATCTGGTTTGAATTTAATAACATTGTTTTGTTTTCATTGTGTTTATAGTTAATGTTACCACCTAATATTACTCATTTTCCACTTATAGTTTTTTAATGACCATTTAAAAATAAGTGTATTTTTCATAAATTTAAAATAATTGTATTTTAAGGTTTTTTTAAAGTGAGTTCATTTAAAGATAAGGTGTTAAGTAATTAACAGTACAGGTGGTCTGTGGGCATGAGAGAACTCATGAGTGTGGCAACAGGAATGCCAGGAGATTAGAAATTACTGCTTTGCATCTAGTGCTTCTTATAAGTAGTTTCAGAGTTAAATTAAGTCTGTTGGAGAAAATATCCAGAAAAAAAGACGCTGAATCTGAACTCATTGTGTGTGTTTTGTGTGCCTGCATAGGTCTCACCCTTCTTGACGTATGCGTTCTACCAGACATTCACTTATTGTTTTTATTAGTGAAATTTTGCTCTAACAGAAGCAGGATGGTGCCCATTGTAGGTGCACACATGCAGTGTTTCTTGGGTACTGTGCTGGCCTAAGGGTCCCGGCTCAGCCCCTCCCTGGCTGTCCCACTGCAGACAGATGACTGGCTACTTGTAGCTGACTCTGGCTTCAACTACACATAAGAAAGCTTGTGACGAATGAAATAAGTGCATCTTTAAATTTTTTTTTAACTATGATATTGTATAGTGTAATGGGTGTTCCAGAGCCAAGTCTGGATGGATTCAAATCTTCTTTCTACTCCTTCTTAGCTATGTGCCTAACCTGTCTTGGCTTGGTGTCCATATCTACAATTAAGGGATTGTGACATGGAAGCTGAGGCCCTTATGCCATTCAGTTTTGCACCATGGAATGCTACGCACATCTCAGATTCACAAAATTCCAGCATCCTGAGGGCATCTGATGAGCTAGTCGGGCAAGTGGGAGAGCCAGAGGAGGCTGGCAATGTCATCCGCACACAGGCTTCTGCTGCCACAGCCACCATTAATAATCTTCCCTGAGGTTGGGCCCCCTCAGCACCGAACACATTGCCAAGAACCCAGTGTGCATTGATTGAACTGAATTAACTGAATTGAATGGGTTTAAATGGGATCGTATTGGACCGAGTGGTTCTAATCATTTATTGATTCAACAAATTCTTTTTGAACATTTACTGTGTGACAGCATAGTGTCCTAAGAGGGCCAGCTCTGACATCAGCCCCACTGAATAGGCTCATGAATCTGCTGCTTCCTATGTGACCTTGAAGAAGTTACTGATGTCAGCTTTCCCGTTGCCTTATCTATAAAAACAGATCTAATGATAGTGCTTACCTCATAGGGCTATGAGGAAAGGAGGAGGTAAAGCAGAGTCATTCCTTAGAAAAGTATCAGCACAGAGTGAGGCACCCATACATTTCACTCTAGCCATGGCGACTGTGCAGTAGGGCTGGGATGGAGCAGTGAGCAGTGGGTGAATGCATGTGGCCCTGCCCTCGTGGTGCATACAGTCTAGCAGGGGAGGCAGACAAAAACAAGCAAAAATGTGCAGTGAGAAATTGCAGGACATGCCATGCAGAAAATGAGCAGGGTGTTATGAGAGAGAATGATGGTAGGGGCTACATTTTTAGATTTTGGCATCAGCTCCAACCCCTCTGGGAAGATAATACTTAAGGTGAGTCTAGAAGGGTGAGAATGGACAGACACTGCAAACAATAAGGGGTGGAAAGAAAGGCTTGTGTGCCTGGGGCTGGAGGAGAGGCATGAGCTGGAGAACAGCAGGGGTCTCTCCCTGGAGCATTCCAAGGAAGGAAATTCTCCTAAGGCCAAAAGAGATGCCGCTGTCTTAGCTGAACTGACTCTGTGACATCAACCCAGGAGCGGCCTAAAAGCACCTCTCTGGGAAGGGTTCATGTATTTGGCTTTGTTGCGCCCTGTCATTGTCTGTCAAGCGTGATGCTAGAGAGAGCCTTCTTCCACCTGGCAACACTTAGCTTCCTAATTCTGCCATTTTGCTCAAGTCAGGAAACAGACTCTGTGGGGAAGATGTTGCTGTATGAAAAGTGCTGGTCCCTGGGGACGCCAGGGCTCTAGGGACCCTGCAGAGGGTGAGGCTGTGGCCAGGCTGAACAAGGCAGTCTGCCCAGTGATTCAGGCACCACAGAGCAACTCGCACCAGGGCTGTGGAAGGAGATTATGGCTCTAATTTACATCTTTGTATGTCAACCTGAGAACAAGTCTCTTGTTTAAAAAATGCTTTGTTGTAGGCAGCCCACTCTATCCCATTTAAATCATAAAATCTGGGTGGCTGTTGTCTCTTGGCCTCCAGTGTCTACGGTTTGAGTTTTGAGCAGCTGCCCTGGAATTATTCTTCTGGGTTGAGGTCCGGCAGAGATGTAGTTCCGTTTGTGCATTAAGCAACAATTAAGAACAGCAGAGACTGATCAGTGCCTAGGACTCCACCAGAGTGTGTCTCCTGTTTAGTCCTCCCAGCACTGTGAGGCACGTGTTATAATTCTCTCCATGTTAAATGGGGGCATCTGTGGCACAGGAAGGTTGAGTAACTTGCCCAGGACCCCACAGGCGGCCAGTGACAAAGGCAGGAGACAAACCTACACAGATTGGACTCCAGAGCTTAGCATGTCACAGCAGGGCTATGCTGCCCTCATACTAGTGCAGTCCTACCTGTGTATTATTAATAGGAAGGATTTCAACAACAGCCTTTCATTTAGGGTAGAACTTACCATGCATGTAGAGCATTTCAAAAATGTTCTAAAGTCTGTGCTGACTGCTCAGCTGCTCCCCCAAAATTAAGAGTGTGAACAAGATATCAGGCACCCTGACCAACTCGCTTCATAAAATAAGGGTGGGGGTAAAGCCTCACTTCTCTGCGTTGGTAACAGTGCATGTACATGTCTTTTATGGTAACATGGACCCTTGCTATTTAAAGTAGGGCACCAGGACCAGCTGTGGGGATCTTACCTGGGAACTTGTTAGAAATAAAAATCCTGAGAATCAGAATCTGCATTTTAACAAGGTCCTCCAATGAGTCTATGCACCTAAATGTTTGCGATGCCCTGGTGTAGACCATTATTGATTCACTGATTCATTTATTACAAGTATTATGCGGTGCTTAGTATCTGTGCTAGGAGACCAGAGATGACATAGAAGATGAGACGGGAGATGACATAGGAGATGAGAATCAACAGTGGATGAGACATTGTGGCCTCTGCCCTCCTGGGACTGCATGGGAAGCAGGCCAAGTGCAGGAAGGGCTAAAGTGGAGGCTGATTCTACATACCTGGTGCTCTGAGAATGCCAACAGAGACGCTGAGATAGTCTAGGGCAGGGTAGGACATCAGAGAGGGCCTCCTAGAGGAAGTGGCATTTGCTAGTCAGGTGGGAAGGGAGAGACTGGGGTTCCACAGGCAAAAGGAAGTTAATTTAGAAGCTTGTTAGTGCAGATGAGAGGCCCCTACCTTTGTGTGGCCCTGGGTATAAGTTCAGATGAGCCCTCTGCCCTTACTAGCTATAAAAATGTATTATCTGTGAATTTATGTTTAACTTTAAATGTTATCACTGTGACCTGTCAGGAATGCAGTCTGGCTTTCTCTGTGTGAACCCCAATGCTATACTCAATGGTCACCCACTCCCTAGTCCACCCAGTGCCCACTGAAACTGTCCTGTGTGGACCTCTCCCAGTAGAGCCTGCCCAGGGAGTACAGTTTCCCATAAGGGTCGCTCCCATGAGCCACCCAGCTGGGAGCACAAGCAGCTCCCTTTGGCTGCTCCTAATTTCATCATCTGTTTCAATGGCAATGATGCTAATTCAGTAATGATTCCTGCCTATTTCCACAAGCTTGTCAGTTGTTAAATTGTGCAGAACCGTAGGCCAGATCTGTAAAGATTTGTTTTCCTCCTCTGGTGCTTTCTATGGAAACGGCACAGGGCACGCTGGGAGTCTTCCTAGAGGTGGCTTGCAGGGAGCCTTGTCTCAAATGAGAAGGCTGGGCCTGCAGGACACAGGAAAAGAGCTCTGGGGGCTTGTCTTAAGTTTTGAAAAGAAGCTATTACATGCTTCTCTTGAGCCTTCTAAGAGTCCTGTAATTGCTGGTGTCTTTGCAACTGGTCAGGTTTTGATAGAATCATTTGTTTAAGATTGTGATTTTCATTCTTCTAACTGCTCCCCATGCCTATTTTTTTTTTTAAGACACAAGGTCTCTCTCTGTAGCCCAGGCTGGGATGCAGTGGTGTGATCATGGCTTACTGCAGATTTGAACTCTTGGGCTCAAGCGATCCTCCCACCTCAGCCTCCCAACCCAAGTAGCTGGAACTACAGGTGGCGCCATCACACCTGGCTATTTTTTTTTTTTTTTTTTTTTTTTTTTGGTAGAGAAGAAGTCTTTCTCTATTACCCTGGCAGGTTTCAAACTCCTGGCCTCAAGCAATCCTACCTCAGCCTCCCAAAGTCCTGGGATTACAAGCATGAGCCACTGTGCCCAGCCCCTTCTACCACTTTCTAATGCAGCCCCAATTCTTGCCATCAGACACTTTGGTGAAAGTGTTTCTGCATTTTTCATTTCTGAAAAAGCACCAGACAAAACCATCCTAGATTTTAATTTTTTTATGATTGGATTTTCCATCACCAATTCCTTTTCCCAGGATGGTTGAGTTATGGGAACACCTGACACTTAGCAGAGAGGAAGTAAATGGCACTTCCTAAGTGGTTCGATCCCATCTTTGGGGTACCTGGAACCAGGCATGAGAACCATCAGACTAGTTTCATACAACTTCTCATTTAAACATTTGTTGAATAAGATAATTTATTTGACAAATATTTACTGAGCACCTACGATGTGCCAAGCACTGCTCTAGCCACTAGGATAAAGTGAATATTCTAGTGGGGCACACAGGCCACAAACTTTTTTTTAAATGAATTGATAAGATTATTTCTGAAAGTAAAGGATGCCACGAAGAAAATGAGATGAGATATTTCTTATGTGAAAGCTTTGGCTGTATAGTTTGGCCCACAGTAAATGCCCAACTTGGGCTGAATAAATCAAACTTTTCAATTCAAATGGCCATCATTTGGCATATAGAAAAGACATTGGAATTCAGAGTTAAATGGCCATGAATTGTACTCTAGCTCTCTCAGTGCCTGTGTGTCCTTGAACAAGTTACTTAACTTCTCTGTGCCTTGGGGTCCCTATCCAGAGCTGGAACTAGAGTGTGGCAAGAGGCACTTAAGGAGCAAAGTTTAAGGAGGCTGTCATGTCAGGGTCATGCAAATGAAGAGTTGACACTGATAGGACCTTGAAAGTGAGTGCTTCCTTAAATCTTGTAGCCTGGGTGCTTCTTTTGCTTTGCTCTAGCCCCAGCCCTATTAAAATAGGAGAAATAATTGCACCTACCTCCTAAGGTTGTCATGAAGTAAGGATCAACTGAGATGTGAAGAGAGAAATGAGAGAATGTCTTGCAAACTGGCAGCTCTTTGTGACTATTTGGAGAAGCAAGCTGCCAGATCAGGCTGTGCCAAGGTAGCAGGCTGGGATTCAAACCCAGCTCCTTTGTGCCATTTTTCCAGTGCTAGAGAGAAAGTGGAGAAAGTGGGAGAGCTTTCACATGCTGTGAGTTCTATTAGCACCAGATCCACACTCGCAGTTGGGCTAACCATGTGCTGAGTGCATTTTGCCATCATGGCCAGGGCAAATCTGAATGTATGTCTCTGGACACACACTCACACTCACACTGGATGCAGCCAAGACTGAAGGATTTTTGTTTTTTTAATTTCAATTTGTGTTTTAGATGCAGGAGGTACATGTGCAGATTTGTTACGTGGGAATATTGTGTGACGCTGAGGTTTGGAATACAGATCCCATCACCCTGGTAGTGAGCATAGGATCCAATAGGTAGTTTTTTTTACTCACTACCCCTTCCTCCACCCTCTAGTGGTCCACAGTATCTATTGTTTCCTTAATTATTTTCATACGTACTCAGTGTTTAGCTCCCACTTATAAGTGAAAAATATGGTATTTGGTTTTCTGTCACTGCATTGATTTGCTTAGGATAACAGCCTTTGGTTCTATCCATGTTACTGCAAAGGACATGATTTCAGTTTTTATGGCTGCATAGTATTTCATGGCACATATGTATCATATTTTCTTTATCCAATCCACCCATTGATGGGCACCTGGGTTGATTCCGTGTCTTTGCTATTGTGAATAGTGCCGTGATGAACATATCCAAAAGAAAATAAATCGTTGTACCAAAAAGAAACATGCACTCATATTTTTTTTATTGTTAATATTCTTTTGCAGGCTCACCTCCTAGCTTTAGAATCAGGATTTTAGCCTTCCTCTGAAAAGACTGGGTAAACCACACAGGGTAGACTTCCAGAAAGTCTGCCCCTGTCCCTCCCCAGCCTGGGCACTGGAATCCCCCATGAAGAGACCCTGCCATGTATGACCCAGCATGGGGTTCCTAATGGAAAATGGCCAGGCTATTAGAGCTTTGCAAATTAAGGGTCCTTTCATTTATTACTATGCTCTGCTAAGGATGAGCATTAATTTTTTTCTCAAAGCAAATTCACTGGAAACAGACAGTTTAGAATTTATGCTTGTAATGATGGCTACATGGGCCATTAAGACCACCTCTAAGTGAGCTTAATTTGTAGCAGATAAATGTATATGTCTACATATTTTTCAACATAGTTTATGGTGCATCTTGCACAGCTGCGCCCAACTGATTAAATCCTCACAAAATTTAAATAGGAAATCCATTACGTAGACAGTATTATAGCCATTCATCATGGAAGCTGTTTCAGGTTAACTCTTTCAGTGCCAGGCTGAGGGAAGTGCCAAGATTTTTTCTGGGGTGTGGGGCAGGTCAAGAATGCAGGGGCTCCCTGTTCCCTTTCCCTTTTTGTTTCTACATTCCTGGGGGTGCAGGGAGCTCTTAGTACAGGGAACTTTTGAGCACAGGGAGAATAGACTCCAGGCTCACAGAGGCAGTTGGATCCTTGCTGTCTAGTAGTGGAGGTCTTCACAGCACCTATGCATACCCCAGGTTGTTCACACAGCGCTGGTCAGAGCATCCAGACCAGAGCAAATCCATCTCAGCAGTTCCCTGCCAGCTACTGAACCTGCTTAAATCTCAGCAGAGCACAAGAAGCAGCAGAGTGGAGTAGTGGTGGAAGAGTGATCAGAGCATGTGCTCTGGCCTCAGTAGCCATGGGTATAAGGTTCCGCTCTGCTGCCTGCTGGCAGAGTGCAATCCTGGGCAAGTTATCAGAGTGCAGTCCTGCCAAGTGCTTAGTCCTGTGTCTGGAACATCGTCCATGCTCAATGATTGGAACCTTGTTATTATCATTGTTACTATTTCTAATAGACACTGTCACTGCTCCACACACAGCCCCCTGGTATTTGTCATTCCAATGCTCACCAACTGCAAACACCCAAAGATTTTTGCTTGAGGAAATTTATGCAAGTAAATGATCAGAATTTACTGGGATGGACCCCAGGTTCTCCAAATTCAAGCTCTTTCCATGACTCCAATTTCAAGGGAGTTTTGTTATGGAAGAGGTTATACAGGTGGTATCCCTTTGTTACTTTTATTTTTAAAATTTTATTTTAGCTTCAAGGGTACATGTGCAGATTTGTTATATAGGTAGATTGCATGTCACAGGGGTTTGGTGTACAGATTATTTCATCACCCAGGTAATAAGCATAGTGCCTGATAGGTAGGTTTTTGATTCTTTCCCTCCTCCCACCCTCCCCACTCAAGCACACATGGTATAGTCATTTAATACAAAAATATATGTCCAAACATTTTCATTAGGATCCTTTAGGGTCTTTTTCTAAATGTATCTTCAGGATATGGGGAAGTGGCAATTTAAAAAGAAAATGAGCTCCTGATGAACATTCAATGAAGAAATCAGTATTTCTTGAGCACCTCTTCCCAGTCAAGTCTTTCAGATCTGAGTTCAAGTCTGTCTCTGACACTGCCTGTGTGATTTTGGACAAGCTACTTAACCTCTCTGAGTCTAAGTTTCCATCTCTATAAAATTGAGAAAGGAATGTCCCTACTTAACATGAACATTGTGATGGCAAAGTGGAATTGTCCACCTGAAGCCTACTGTGCTTGGCACTGGGGTTTTATGACTCAAGGACACTGACGTCAACTTGTTCCCAGTTTGAAATAGAGATCAGACTTGAATACAGAGAATTTTAATTCAATGAGATGCATTCAACAATTGAAATATATTCATGTCATTTCAAGAGAAACTGTTTCTATGAGAGGTGACTGTCAGAGAAGGCTTCCTGTAGGTAGTGATGTCAGAGCTGAGTGTCAGAGGAGGGGAAGGGATGAAGTTTTCCAACCCAACAAGGAAAGGAGGGCATGCTGGGATGGAAGTGATGTGTGCATGGCAGGGCAGAACCGTGAGTCCTTTGCAGCCACCACTGCTTTGGTCTTGCTAAAGCCTCTACCTTACAGCAGCAAGGAGGGAGCAGGAAGGCAAGTCAGGGGCTGGAGGCAAGTGGCGTCAGTATCTTGATGGGCCCTGCCTGCCATTATCTAAAGCTGAGACTTGATCCTGATGTTAACAGGGAAACTTTGGACAGTTTTAATCAGGAGCATGATGAAACTGAATTTGCATTTTAGAAGGATCTCCTTTGCAGCCACACGGAGAATAGCTTGAAAGGGAGTAGAATAGCATCAGGGGGAGCAGTTAGGAGACAATGGCAGGTGTCTCATTAGTGGTGGAGATGAGGGTCTGGGGCAGTGGGAATATGGGTGGAGAGACTCTCTGGAAGCAGAATCATCAGATTTGGTGATTGATTACAGGTGGAGAGTGAGGGTGGGGGCAAAGAGGACACTAAGTCTACAGCTTGGAGCCAGCCAAGGCAGAAGGGTGGCTGGCTGGGAGGGAGGAGGACAAGGACATGGGACCACTTGGGACCTGTTGTGTTTCAGATGACTTTGGTGGTAAATTTGTATTTTTATCTTTTGGTCTCAATCTAGCAAGGATCCTTTGGCCTGACACAATACCTCCCAGAACAAAAAAAAAAAAAAAAAAAAGAAGAAATTGATGGATGCGTAATTTACTCTAAAACCCCAGCAGATGACTGTTGGCACCCAGCAAATCTCCTTCCTGTAAACTGTGTTTTGATACAGTGAAGACTCTGACTGGCTGTTTATTAACTCCGGGGTCACAAGTAAACAGCGTGCTTCAAAATGTGGCCAATTAAGGACAAAGTGGAGGTGTGGGCCGCCTCGCTCTCTGTTTGAAAGGAATCAAGTGAAATGTTCTAAGTGTTCAATTTCACCTGTCAGAGATACTGAGCCATCACTACTGGGTGCCCAGTTCTCAGAGTCTGTGCAGTTTATTAGCACATCATCCTTCTTCTAAAGAACTGTGCAATTCACTTCCTGGACATCAGTTAAGGGAGCAGAGGGGAGGCTTCCTCTTCCTCTGTGACCCTTATAAAACATTCTTTCCTCTATCTCGAATGAACAGGCACAGGAAGCAGCCTTAAGAAAAGGGAAACTAATACAGAAATACCTGGTATGTGGCAGACATCATGCTTATAACTTCATTACACTCATGAATGAATGGTGACGGGGGTGGCATTCACCACCGCTTGCTTGGGGCTTATCCCTGGCCAGCACTGTGCTAAGTCCTGTACATGCATTATCCCATCTAATACTTTCAACAACTCTAAAACTCTGCAGATCCTATGGTTATCCCCATTTTACAGATAAGAAAAATGAGGCTGGATCGATTAAATAACATGATCACCATTATAGTCAGTCAGCGGCAGAGCTGACTGATTTATATATAAATCATGATTGTGGGCTCTTTACAAATGTGTGGCTGCCTGAGCCACATGGGTTGATGTCCCTGCATTCTTCTTATTGTCCCCAGTGGACACTGAGCAGCTATGGACTGCACAGAGTAGGTGCTCATGAAATGTTTGCAAATTGGGATACCCCAGGTTCCCTCTGCCTCTGTGCTTACACAGCTATTCCTCCTCCTTCCTGGAAGGTCACCTCGTTCACTATCTGTCTTTCCCTTTTTTCAAGTTTAGCCCAGTTTCACCTTCTCCAGGAAGTGCCACCTGATTAGCTTCTTTGTCTGGTCTCTCCAGGTACATCAGTCAAGACTGCTCCTGCTACTACATCCATCTATGCTGGTCTAACTTGGGTTCTTCAGTGCCTGTGTGTGAGTGTGTGTCTATGCATGTGTGTTTTAGTGTGAGTTTACCTGTGTGTGTGTGTGTCTGTCCTTGAATAGATCCCCTGATCTTCTAGTCCAGGGATTACTTTCAACATTTCCTCCATTGGATAAAATTCATCTCTGTGACTGGCAACCCAGGCATCTATTATCCGGCTATTTTCAATCAAAACTTACCTGTTTTTTGCCACTTTCTGTGTAATCTTGGACAGGATTAATTTACCTCTGTGATTAATATTCTCATCTGTAAAAATGGGGGTAATATTAGCACCCACCTCCAAGGATTATTTTGAAGATTAAATAATATGTAGACAGCTTTTAGTACATCACCTGATCCTAAGTAGGTGCTTAATAAATGGTAGCTACTATCATCGTGGGGTCAACAAAGAGCTATAGAACAGCTTACATGTTAATAAGAACAGTCCCTTTCATGTGCAAAGCACTTCACAGGTTTTGAGGAGTTTCTCCATACATTGCCTCCTTTGATTCATATAACAACACTGAGAGACAGAGAGAGCGGGAAACAGAAGAGTTTATCATCTCCTTGTGCAGTTGTTATTTCTGGAAAGAACCTCACAACTGTCCTGTGGTTTATCAATGGGCTCTAGAAGATTTCTGAACCGCTAAAATTAGATGTGGATTAGTTATGCATGCATGTTTGTGATATTATTCTGAAGAGAGGACCCCATTGCTGCCTTAGATTCTCAAAGGCCCCTCAGATCTCAAAAGGCCAAGAACCATTGGTCTAAGCCAACTGTCCTTATTTTATAAGTGGAGCTACTGTGGCCCAGAGAGAGAAAGGGACATGTCATAATGCTCACAAGTTAAACAGAGCAGGGCCTGGGGCCTGGTGTTTTGAGCCCCAGGCCAAGGTTCCATCTACCCCCGACTCAGCCTAGCCTAGACAGGTGTGTGGTGAGGACAGCCACCAGCCGGGGCCTGCCAGGGCCTGAATGAGGGCAGCCTGGCTGAGGACCATCACAGCATCAGAAGAGAACTTTAGG
Organism: Homo sapiens; assembly: GCF_000001405.40. Taxonomy (NCBI): domain Eukaryota; kingdom Metazoa; phylum Chordata; class Mammalia; order Primates; family Hominidae; genus Homo; species Homo sapiens. The sequence continues at coordinate 49,065,492 of NC_000016.10, forward strand.
GCAGGGGACCTGGAAGCCCCTAGTGCCTGCTTTTTGTGTGAGGTGGACACCAATTCCACTGGCAGGGAGTCATTGACTGGCCACTGGGGCTGCTGTGATGAGCTCACTGAAAAAGCTCTGGAGTTGTGGTGACTTAGGGAGAGCAGGGCAAGAGGGCCAATGTGGGAACAGGGCCTATCAGCCAGGTGAAGGATAGCTCCAGGCTTTTACGCATTGTTTCTTTATTTTCTCATTAAGGAGGAAATGGGGGGCATAGATTAAAAACCTCGCCTACCCCACACATGCAAACATGTGCACACAACTGCCCGGGCATGCACACACATGCACACGCACATACTCACACCAGCATTTGCATGTTAAAGAATTGGGCTTCTTTCTAAGAAGAGCCTTCCACCTGCTCTTTTTTCTACCCAAAATAGTCTGGTGTGAAGGAAATGGGTTTCAGCTACTGGCAGAGAGAAAGGAGTTTTCAGGAAGCCCTTGGAAGGGTTTCCAACCCGGTAGGCATGATGACAATGGCCGTGGCAAAAGTAATGATCTTTTGATGCACAAAATACATTTCCAAAGTTCTTTCATATACATATTTCCATTTGAGTCTCAAATAACCCAGAAAGAATAGGATGCATGTTTAATATTTACACCACTTTTATTTACTTCGTTTGAATTATTCACCATTTAGTGTGGTTTCATTGTCACATACATGGGAACTAAAAACAACCATAGAAGCAGAATTTTAAAATTTCATTTGTAGGCACCAAAGGTGTTAAAGTTTATTAATTGGGGCACGGTGGCACATGCCTATAATCCCAGCACTTTGGGAGGCCGAGGCGGACGGATTACCTGAGGTCAGGAGCTCGAGACCAGCCTGGCCAACATGGTGAAACTCGATCTCTACTAAAAATACAAAAATTAGCCAGGTGTAGTGAATGGTGCCTCTAATCTCAGCTACTCAGGAGGCTGAGGCAGGAGAATTGCTTGAACCCAGGGGACGGAGGTTGCAGTGAGCCAAGATCGCGCCACTGCACTCCAGCCTGGGCAACAGAGAGAGACTCCATCTCAAGAAAAAAAAAAAAAGATTATTAATTGAGAGTATGAAATGTATATTTAAGGTTATAAGAGTATTTATAATAAATATTCATAGTATTATGCCTTGGGATGATATAAGGTGGGATCGATAGACCAATATTCCCAGCAGTGATATGGTGTATGTTAATATAATAGTGATATAAACAGAGGGCATTTGGTAAATATGGTCTGTCATGTGTGTGGTGTGTTGTGTTTAAATTTACACACAGCATAAAGTTTAAAGAGTAAAGAAGCATATCAAATAAACATTAAAGATGTGTTCTCCAACTTTCTAAGACCCATTCCCCAGAGGTAACCAAAGGAAGGTATCATAAGCCCCCTCTTTATAGTCTCAGAGAGGGTAATCGGTTAGCTCAAAATCACACAGCTGGGCTGGAGATCACTGAACCCCTGTTCTTCATCGCATGTGTAGCCTGCTGTTGCAGGCTTATTTTAGCATATTTTCTTAGCCTGGCATCCAGGAATCGGCATGAACCAATTAAAATAATATACTCTGGACTCAACGACAGCAAAATGCAAGTAAAATTCTGTGTGCACCTGTCCACATGAACTTTTCTGTGGCGAGGACTCATACAATTTTAAAAATCAGATTTCCAAAGGTTATTTTAAAACAAACAAGATTAAAAGCCATAGCATTAGAGGAAGCCACTCGGGAAGTTTAGTCGTTGTCAGTGTTACAGTTGTCGCTCTAAATGAAAGATGTAACAAGAACCAAAAAAGAACCTGTGTAGTTCAGGTTTGGAGAATATGTCGCTGCTCCTAGATAATTCTAGGAGAGGGATTCTAAGTATGATCCTGGACCAGCATCATCAGCATCACTTGGGAATGCTTTAGAAATGCAAATTCTCAGGCCTCGCCAGACACCTGCTGGATTGGAAGCTCTGGGGATGGGGCAGGAGAGTGGCATCTATGTTCTAACAAGTCCTCCAGGTGCACTTGATGTCCCTTAATGTTTAAAACCACTGACCAAGTCACTAATTTAAATATATATATGTGTGTATATATACATATATATGTGTGTGTATATATATGTGTGTGTATATATATATGTATATATAAGTTTCTGCTTTGAAATTGTTCACTGATGTTTTAAAATGATCTATTTAGGTTAGGTTTCTAATTCAATTTCTAAATTAGATTTTCATGGAGGGTTTAACAACTTAGTGCAGCTAGTTTGAATTTAGGGTCAGTGTTCAGACTGGCTCTGGTCCTGCCCCTTCAACTCCCCATCCACTCCTGCAGTTGCAAAATCACCTCCGAAGCAAGCTTCTCCATCAGCAGCTTGCTGGGAGGTCAGCCAGGGACACTCAGAAAGCAGGCTAATAATAAATGGTTCACACACTTCCACCAGGACAGGGGAGGTGAGCAGAGGGAACAAACATCCTGAAGCCACCACTTAGAGAGCCCTGTGTGACTGTGTGGACTGAGTACTGCTAAGTGGTGAGTTGTTGAGTGCCTGACTGACAGCAGGGCTGAGAAGAACCCCCACCTTGTTTCACAGTTGTCATCAGCAAGCCTTTATTCCACCTGTCCCCATAGATGACTATGTTATAGACCAACGGGCTGGTATGACGGCTGTGCAGTAACGGACAATTACACTGAGACAGCAGAGTTTGCTGCAGAGAAAGAGTTTAATGATCACAGGGTGCTGAATGAGGAGATGGGAGAAGACCCTCAAATCCATCTCTCACAGGATTCTGGGCTGGGGGTTTTTAAGGGGATGGTGGAGGGTGAAGGGGCTGAAAAATTGGGTTGTTGATTGGTTGGGGAAAGGGGGATGAAGTCATTAGGATGTGGAAACTGCATTCCTCAGTGAGTCAGCTTCTTGTGGGGGTCCATGAGACCAGCTGAGTCAGCAGTTTCATCCGTATATAGGAACTGAAGGGATCTTTTGAGGGGAAAACTTAACATTTCATAATGTTCAAATTGTTACCTATAGCTCACTTAAGAAGATCGATAATCCTGTAACGGGGTCTATGGGATTCTAGGACAATAGGCACCAAACAACCCTGAGCAAGCAGCTCAGAGAGCGGCTGACCTCGTGATGAATGCTGGGTGTGCAGCAAGCTGGGCTTGTTTCCTTTATCCCCCTCCCTTCTTCCCTAATTAATTTTATAAAGCTTATAGGGACGATTTCAACTACTAACACAAAGTATAATATGGCTCAAACCAGGCTTCCCTCCAGAGTCTTTTTCTTCTCATCTGAATCTTCCCTTCAGCTTAGCTCTGTTTTCCTCTTATTTAGCCATCAGTATCTGAACCATTTTAGAACCATGGTTCAGGGTTTACCTCCTCCAGGAAGCCTTCCCAGACTTCTCCAGCCCATCTTCTTCTCTAAGCACCTGTTCACATCAATAGTATCTCATGATTTGGAGCGTACATGCTTTGTTTTAACTGTGATCTGGGTTCATTGATTTCCTTCCAGTTCACTCATGCATTCCAATTCAACCATTCAATAAAACATTTTTATAAATGTGTCTGGGCACTGTACTTGAGGCTAGGAATGATTCAGAACCAATTTGGCCTTCCAGGATCCCATAGATTGATAAAAAACGACAGCAGCCGCCACCACAATAACCTTGCTAAGCATGTTAAAAACATTATCTGATCAGATCATATCTACAATCTGAAATGATCTTGTTTCCTTTGTTTATATCTCTATTCACTGCCTATTCCGTTAGCAATTAGGTTAACTTTGGAAAAGATTTGTTGGGTCATAGAGTAGTTGTATAGTTAATTTTATAAGAGACTGTCAAAGAATCTTCCAAAGTGCTTGTAACATTTTACACTCCCACCAGCAAAGTATGAAAGTTTTCATTGCTTCACATTGTTTTCAACACTTAGTGATGACAAGTTTTTAATGTTAACCATTTTAGTGGGTGTGAAGTAGGATCTCATTATAATCTTATTTGAATTTCTCTGATGACAAATGATGATAAATATCTTTTCATGAGACTCTTGGTCATTTATATATCTTTTTTTGTAAGATGAGTTTTCAAGTCTTTTTGTTCATTTTTTGGAGGGTGTTATACTTGTTTAAATTATTATATGAATTATATATATACTGCAAGTCCTGTGTCAGATATACGTCAGATATACAAATACTCTTTGCCCAGTGAATTGTTCACCTTTCCTTTTCTTTTCTTTCTTTCTTCCTTTCTTTCTTTCTCTTTCTTTCTCCTTCCTTCCCTCCCTCCCTCCCTCCTTTCTTTCTTTTTCTTTCTTTCTTTCTCTTTCTTTCTTTCTTTCTTTTCTTTCTTTCTTTCTCTTTCTCTTTCTTTCTTTCTTTCTTTCTCTTTCTTTCTCTCTTTATTTCTTTCCCCTTCCTTCCTTCCTCCCTTCCTTCCTTCCCTCCCTCCCTCCCTCTTTCTTTTTCTTTCTTTCTCTTTCTTTCTTTCTTTTTTTCCTTTTCTTTCTTTTTTTCTTTCTTTCTTTCTTCCTTTTTTGACACAGTCTTGCTCTGTCACCCAGTCTGGAGTGCAGCAGCATCATCATGGCTCACTGCAGCATCAAATTCCCAGGCTCAAGCGATCCTTCCACCTCAGCCTCCCAAATAGCTGGAACCACGGGTGCACACCACCACACCCAGATTTTTTTTTTTTTTGTATTTTTTGTAGAAATGGGGTTTCACCTTGTTGCCAGGCTTGTCTCAAACACCTGAGTTCAAGTGATCCATCCACCTCCACTTCCCAAAGTACTGGGGCTACAGGCATGAGCCATCATGCCTGGCCCTTTTCTTTTTCTTAATGATGTCTTTTGTTAAGGAGGTGTTTTAAATTTAGAAGTTTAATTTACCATTTTTTTAAATAATTTGTGCTTTTAAGGCCCACTCTAAAAAATCTTTGCCTACCTCAAAGCCATGATGATTTTCAAAGATGTTTTCTTCTAGAAGCTTTAGAGCCTAAGCATTTACATTTAGTTCTATGATCTAGTACAAATTGAACTTTTGCATGGTATTATATAGGGGTAGAGGTTAGAATTTTTCCCATACAGTTATTTAGTTGTTCTAGTACCATTTGTTGAAGACTTTCTGTTCCCCCTTTGAACTGCCTTGATACATTATTGAAAATAAACTAACTGTAGATGTGTAAATCTATGTTAGGCTTTAAATTTTATTTCATCTTTCCATATATCTATCTTTATGACAATATTACACTGTCTTGATTTTTGTTGCTTATTAGCAAATCTTTAAGTCAGGTAGTGTGACTCCTCCAACTTTGTTCTTTTTTAAAATTGCTGTAACATTCTAGGTCCTTTGCATTGCTGTACATTTTACAATTAAGTTATTCATTTCTTTAAAAATGCCCATTGGTGTTTCAATGGGGTTTGCATTTAATATATACACCAATTTGACAAGAATTACATGTTAAAAATATTGAGTATTCTAATCCATAGTATTGTATAGTTCTCCATTTATTTAAATCTTCTTTTAAATTTATCCCAGCAATGTTTGCTGGTTTTCAATGCAAAGGCCTTGAACATATTTTGCTATATTTATGTCTAAGCATGTATGGTTTTACATTTTGCAAGTGGAATTGTTTTTAAACTATGTTTTCCTGTTGTGCGCTGCTACGATAGAGTTTATTTTTGTATACTGACCTTGTGTCTATTGACATTGTTATCTTCACTTCTCTCCTGTCACATGTTCCGTGTGTCTAACTGACCTGCATCTTATATTTAAAGAGCATGTCTTAGACAGCATATAGTTGTGTCTAGCATTTTTATCTATTCAGACAGTTTCTGTCTTTTAACAGGAACGTTTAGTCCATTTACATTTAATGTAAATATTGACATAACTAAGTCTGTTATCTTACTATTTTATGGGCTTTTTTTTCTTCTTTCTTGCCTTGTTTCACACTAATTAAATATTTTGTAGTGTTGTAGTTTATTTTTTCAGTTGGCTTTTGGCTATACTTTTTGTATATTCTTATTTGTAGTTGCCCCAGATAGAAAAAGATGTATCTTTAATTTTCCATAGTCAATTTAGAAGTAATATGGTGCCACTTTTCATAAAATGTAAAACCAAAACAGTATAATTCTTTTTACCACTCCCCCAATCTTTGTGCTATTACTGTCACATGCTTTACTAATACATAAGCTACAAATTCTACAATGCAATGTTATTATTTTTTGCTTTAAATGGTCAGGTGTCTTTTAAAATTTTTAAGAAATAAAACTGAGTCTTTTATTTTTATACATATATTTACTATTTATTAGTAAAGCTCTCCATTTCTTTTCTTACAATAGATTGGATTTCCTATTTGTTGCTAGTTCCCTTCAGTTTGAGAACTTTATTTGGCACTTCCTATAACACATATTCCCTGTTGGCACACAGCTTCAGCTTTTGCTTATCTGAACGTCTTTCTATCCCTCTTGTTTTTGAAGAATATCTCGTTTTGTTTGTGCTTTGCTTTGGGGGAGCGTAGGACATAGAATGTTGCACTGGTGTTGTTCCCCAAGCACTTTAAAGATACCATCCTTCTGTCTTCTGGGCTCAATTTTTTTTCCTGGTGTGAAATCGGCTATTATTTAATTAATCATTCCTTCATACATGATGTGACTTTTTTCCTCTGGCTGCTTTAAAGATTTTCTCTTTATTTTTGTTTCTTAGCAGTTTGACCGTGATGCACCTAGATACTGTCTTCTTTGTAGTTATCCAACTTAAAGTTCTTTAGAATTCTTGGATCTGTACATTGACGTTTTCCACCAATTTGGGAGATATTTTGGAAATTATTTATTCCCGAATTTTTTTTCTCCATTCTTTCTTTTTCCTCTTCAGGAAATTCAATTGTGCATATGTTTGACAACTTGATTTTGACCCACTAGTTACTGACTTTCTGTTCATCTACTTTCTAATATTTTATTATGAAATTTTTCAAACATATAAGAAATTGAAGAAATTATAGACCCATATTCTCACCACTAAGATTCCATAATTAACATTTTGTTTTATCACATATCTAACCATCTGCTCATTTTCTAGCCATCCATCAATCCATCTAATTTTAGGATGGCTTTCAAAGTAAGTTGTGGGCATCAATACAGTTTGTCCTCAAATCCATGTAATAGCATAGACACTATTACAAGAGTTTAATATTTGTTTGTGGTTTCTTTTCAAAGGTAAGATTTATATCTAGATACAAGTACATACGTATAAACCTTATACCTATAGTTTGTCAAAACTCATCAATGACACACTTAAAATTTTAAGTGTACCACCTGATGAATTTTGACAAATGCATACACTTGCATAACACAAACTTCTATCAAGATGTAGAACACTATCATCACTCCGGAAAGTTCTCTCATGCTCTTTCCTAGTCAATTTCCTCCCCGGAGACAACCACTGTTGTAATTATTTTTCACCAGTTTAATTAATTTTACATTAACCTATGGAAAATTGAAGTTATTATTAAAGTTTCTCATAAAACTTTATATAGGCTTAGCATGGTGGCTCATGCCTGTAATCCCAGCACTTTGGGAGGCCGAGGCAGGTGGATTATCTGAGGTCAGGAGTTCAAGACCAGCCTGAACGACATGGTAAAACCCTGTCTCTACTAAAAATAAAAACATAATAAAAATTAAAACATAAAAAATATTAGCCAGGTGTGGTGGGCATGCCTGTAATTCCAGCTACTTGGGAGGCTGAGGCAGGAAAATCACTTGAACTCGGGAGGCAGAAGTTGCAGTGAGCCGAAATCATGCCATTGTACTCCAGCCTGGGTGACAAGAGTGAAAATCTGTCCAAAAAAAAAAGTTATATAAATAAAATAATGCAGTATATACTCTTTTTTGTAAGTTTTTTTCTTTGCTTAATGATTTTTTGAGAGTCATGTTGCTGCATGTAACAGGAGTTTGTTCGTTTTTGCTTCTGAGTAGGATTCCACAATGTGAAGTTGCCACAGTTTAGTTAGCCAGTCTACTATTAATGACACGTGGGCTGTTTTCTGCTTTTAGATATTGTAAATAAAGCTACTATGAATCTTCTTGAACAAGTCTTTTACTGTGAATGTGTATTTCCCTTTTTCTTGGGTAAATACCTAGAAGTAGAATTGTTTGATCATAAAGCAGGTGTTTATTTAATTTTACAAGGAAACTGTTGGAACTTTTTTCAAACTGGTTGTACTTTTTTATATTTCTACCAACAGTTCACAAGAGTCCTGATCGCCCCATATTCTTTCCAACACTGAATGTTTTCTGTCTTTTGAATTTTAGGTATTTTGTTGGATGAATTTGTACAGATCGTGGTTTTAATTTTCATTTTCCTGAAGACCAACAATGTTGAGCACTCTTCATGTGGTAATTGACCAATGATGGATCTCCTTTTGCGAAATGTCTGTTCAAATTTATTTTGCTTATTTCAAAAACTGGGGATTTAGGCTGGGCACGGTGGCTCAGGCCTATAATCCCAGCACTTTGGGAGGCCAAGCCAAGAGATCATTTGAGCCCAGGAGTTTCAGACCAGCTCAGCAGGTTGGGCAACATAGGGAGACTCTTGTCTCTATAAAAAAAGAAAAAAAAAATTGAGCCAGGTGTTGTGGCATGTGCTTGCAGTCCCAGCTACTTGGGAGGTCGAGGTGGGAGGATCACATGGGCCTAGGAGTTCAGGCTGCAGTGAGCTATGATCACACCACTGCAGTCCAGCTTGGACAACAGAATGAGACCCTGTCTCTAAAAAGTTGTATGCATTCTTTTTATATTTTGGACACCAGTCCTTTGTGAAATATATGTTTTGGGAATATTTTCTCCCAATCTGTGGCTTGCTTACTCATTTTCTTCATGGTGCATTTGAGAAACAAAAGGTTTTAATTTGATGGCATGCAATTTATCATATTTTTCTTTTATAGTTATTGTTGGTTGCTGTTTGTGTCCCACTTAAGAAACTTTGGCTTACCAAAATCACATCCTCTTATGCTTTCTTTCAGTTTTTGTACTGTTTTAGACTTCACTTTTAAAATCTAAATCATCTTTGATTCATCTCAGGCTGATTTTTGTATGTAGTGTGGGGTTCTTTTTTCCCATGTCACTATCCAATTTCTTCTATACTATTAATATTTGCTGATAAGACTTTCTTTCTCCATTGAAAATCTTGACACATTAAAGTCAATAGCAATGGTTATTCATTTTTTTCTAAAAAAACTCTTTTTACTCTCTGTTCTTCAGATTGAATAATTTCTATTGATCCATCTTTACATTTCCTGACCCCTCATTTATAATAGCTATTGTAGTCTTTCTGTTAATTACAATACCTGTGCCATCTAAGTGTCTGTTTCTATTGACTACCAATTGCTTGATTATAGATCATATTTTTTTGTTTGTTTCACTTGTCTCACTGTAGGTGGGATATTGTGGATGATACCTTGTAGGGAGATTGGATTATGTTGTTTTCCTTTAAATGTTATGAGTTTGGCTATTAATTTAGACATTTAAATACTGATGAATTCTCATGATCCTATTACACTTTGTTTTCTTTTGTTGTTTTGTTGTTGTTGTTAGGACTGGTCTATTTTCATTTCATCATTAGTCATAAGATGTGGCCGTTATACTAGGACAGTTATTCTCAACTGAGAACAATTTTGCTCCCCATTCCAGGGACATTTTACAATATCTGGAAACATTTTGGTTTCTCATAAATGGGGGTGGGGTGCTATTGGCATTTTGTGGGTAGAGGGCAAGGTTGCTGCTAAACATCCTATAATACACAAAACAATCCCCACAAAAAAGATGACCTGGGCTGAGCATGGTGGCTCACGCCTGTAATCCCGGTGCTTTGGGAGGCCGAGGTGGGTGGATCACCTGAGGTCAGGAGTTCAAGGCCAGCTTGGCCGACATGGTGAAACCCCGTCTCTACTAATAATACAAAAATTAACCAGGCGTGGTGGTGCACACCTGTAATCCCAGCTACTTGGGAAGCTGAGGCAGGAGAATCCCTTGAACCTGGGAGGCAGAGGTTGCAGTGAGCTGAGGTCATGCCATTGCACTCCAGCCTTGGCAACAAGAGTGAAACTCTGTCTCCGGAGGGGAAAATAAAAATGACCTGTTTAAAATGCTAGTATTGCTGATACCAAGAAACTCTGTGCTAGGGTGTAGTCCTTCTCCTAGAAGCGTAGTCTTTATTCCTAATACATGGCCTTTATGCAGTCTCCACTGAGATGCACACCAGAGTTTCTCCATTCTAGCTGAGCTGGAACTCCCAGCCCTGCAGAGAGTCTCCCTATGTTTCCATTCTGTTCCCAGGCCCTTAGCAGCTGCTCTCTGCTAGGCTCCACCAAGTCTTGCTCTGTTCTTCAAAGCCCGGGCTTCAACCAACAGCCCACAGGACATGCGCATACACATTTCTGGGGTCTTTGTTCTCTCCCTCTGCAGCTTTCCTTTCCTGTTTTCTGCCCCCACATATGCCAGCCACTTCAGCAGCCCAAGCTCCGAATTCTGCTCAGCTCCATCAGACCACTGTGGTCTGCCTGGGTTTCCCCTCCCTGTGCTTCACCTGGGCAGAACCTGGGCAAACACAGGTCTCCCTCCCTTGAGTGTTGCCCTCCTCTCAGAGATCACAGTTCTGCACTGTGCCTCTGGTCCAGTGCCTGGAAATTGTTGCCTTGTTAATTTTGTTCATTTCTATTTTCATGATGGTGAGAAGGTAAGTAAGGTACTTGGAGTTTTTAAAAACACAGCTTCCCTGAGCCCCATCCTGAGAGATTCTGATTCATTGGTGTAGGCTGAGAACTGGGGGTTTCTATTTTAAAAATCCTTGGAAGATGCTGATTCAGTACCCAGATCGGGACCACAGTGGGGCAGGATAGCCATGTTTCCTTGCTCTAGGTCCTCAGATGCCTTCCATGTGATCGCACTACAGATTTAATGGGGAGAGAGGTCCTTCCACACTCAGCACACTGTACATACTGTAGCCACAGAGGCTGAGAGAAGATGTTGTCTGAGGGTAAGGCCTCTTAACACTTAATTTCTCTGGGCCTCCCTGAAGGAAGAGATTCTAGGAGCTGCAGTCACTTGCTCTGTGTTGGGGGACCATGGATCCTTTGAGGTTCTTCCCTGATGTCACTTCTGGATTCTCAGAGAAAGTCCTTTCTGCAGCCACCAAACCTTCCCCGAGGGCTCCTGAGACCTGGATCTAAAATAGAAGAGATGTTTCCAGGTTCACTATGTGCTCACTTCAACATTAATAGTAATTTATGAGTTTTAATCATTCTGTCACACAGGGAAAATATGACCAGGAGTCATTGCAATAAGGAAATCCATCTATTTTTATACCCCAGTCCTCATCTCTGCAGCATCCTCTCCAAATTATCTGCTCCAAAAGCCTCATTAAATGTTTAGAGAGGAGAAGCTCACAGGCTTCCTTTCCTCCCTACCTAAAACAGGGATCTCTGAAGCTGAGGTACAAATTATCCATAAACTCCAACCAGGCTAACTTTCTACAGCCCGGTATGCAGGACAATTTTGCAGAATGAGCTGACAGGTGAATTCACTAGTAATGCATTAGATGGGGCCAGCCCAGGATTTTATAAACACATTTTACTCACGTATTCATACTCAATCATTCTTTGCTCATTCATCCCCTAGTATATTCACTTATTTGTTAATGATGTACACATTCAAAACTATATTCACCCTTAGTCTATGCTCCACACTGTGCCTGGCTCTAAGAATGTGGACATTGATAAGCATTAATTCGTTTACTAATTTATTTCATATATGTATTTCACCACTGGGCCACTGATGCCATGCAGGGTACCTGGCACAGAGTAGGTTCTCAATACTGGAATCAGTGACCCAGTGGTGAAAAGACAGACAATATTACTGTTCTTGTGGCATATTTTTTTAAACTAGGGGACAATGCAAATAAACAAATGAATAAGCAAGTAAATGAGATCACTTTAGAAATAACAAGTGCGATCAATAAAATAAAACAGGTCAAAGGAATAGAGAGTTGTCAGGGTGATCCAGGAGGACTTCCCTGTAGTGGTGACATTGAGCTGAGACCTCAATGACAAGAGGCAGCTGACTATGCAAAGAATCGGAGGCACAATGTTCCAGGCTAAGGCAATAGCAGATGCAAAGGCCCCCAGAAATGCACTGTGGCTGGAACACTGTGCATAAGGGGAAGAGTGGCAGGAGATGAAGCCAGAGATGCAGGGAGGGGCAGATCAGTCTGGGCCTTGTAGATTAGGGAAGAGCTGTTGGAATTTTTTTCTACATGGGAGATTTGTCTATTCTTCCCTATTTATGTATTTATTTAATCATGTTTTTATATCAGTTTGAACTTATGGATGTTTATTTTATACTTTGAGTTATAATCCAATATTATTTTTATTTCGTTGCTGAAATTGTTCCCTATTTGGCCATTGGGAGCTTTTTTCAATTGGCTTCTATGTCCCTTTGACATATTCCCATAGTTGTGTTTTTGTTTTTCTTTTTTCTTTTTCTTTCTTTCTTTCTTTCTTTTTTTTTTTTCTTCCTTACTTTCTGGCACTACAAGATGCTTCATGCTAGGAACTTTGGAGAAGTACCTGGAAGCTATCAGAATGCAGTAGGGTGACTTGAACAGGTTTGTAGGGAAACCCCAGAAGCCCTAGAAGTTAATATTAATGACAAGGATATGAGTTCTCCCTGGTACCCCACAAAAAAGTGACTTTTCTATCAGCCATAATTCTGTTTGACACTTATTCATTGAGTATCCATGAGGGGAGAGGAGACGTAAAGAGATTTAAGACTTATATGTCCCTGTACTTACAACCCCTTGAAGAACTGGGTGGATCTTGCAAGAAAAAAAAAAAAGAGGACTCACAATGCTTATCCTCTCCTTCCCCATCTTGAATAAACTGAGGCCTTAGGAGAAAAGACCTGTCAATCATGGGGTGGTGTGGATGCTGGAAGTTTCCTTCCTTTTTTTTTTTTAAATCTAAAATGGCTAAAATCAAGCACAGGGTAATTTCTCAGTAGGTCACCATGCTATGTTAAATTGTTAACATCATTCTACCGTAATACTATGAGGCCTTGGAATCTAACCACGTCTCAACTCCTCCACCAACTTGTGCTATTTTAAGTAACATGCCGAGTTTCTTAACCTCTCTGGGCTGGGGTTGTCTCATCTTTCATAGACTGCGATGTGACATTCATAGCCATGTGGCATGGACTGCCTGGACTTTGGGGGCCCACAGGGCAGTGAAAATATCCAAAGTCGTTATATGCTGCATTCAAGGATATATTCCCAGCACCCAGGACACCCGGCATGTTGGAGGCCCTCAGTGAGTGTGTGTTGAATGAATGAATTGTTAAAGCCCTAATGAACTTGGTGTCCAGCTCACGCCTATAATCCCAGCACTTTGGGAGGCCAAGGCAGGTGGATCACTTGAGGTCAGGAGTTCAAGACCAGACTGGCCAACATGGTGAAACTCCTTCTCTACTAAAAATACAAAAATAAGCCAGGCATGATGGTGCATGCCTGTAATCGCAGCCACTCAGGAGGCTGAGGCAGGGGAATCAATTGAACCCGGAGGCAGAGGTTGCAGTGAGCCAAGATAGCACCACTGCACTCCAGCCTGAGCAATAAAGCAAGACTCTATCTCAAAAATAAAGAAATAAGTTAACTAATTAATAAAATGAACTTGGTGTCCAAGAGAAGTCTGACAGATTTCAAAGGCCCTTGAGTGATACGTACTAAAACAAGAATCTTCCTCTTCTTTCCCCATCCAGGTCCAACAAAAATCCTAACAAGAAATGAGCCCACTCCACCAAACAGAACTGTAATCATTCCGTCCCATGCTCCACAGCTTATCAATCGCTCTTGCATGCATCGATGTATCATGTTACTCAGTCCACCTGAGATAACTGTGAATGGCACCATTTTACAGAGAGGGAAACTGAGGCCCAGAGAGACCTCAAGTCTCACTGAAGGTCCCATGGCACAGCCAGGACTAAGAGCTAGGCCATCTGGCCACATGTCTGAGCTGTGGCTCTTGATGCTCTGAGCTTCTGTGAAGACCCAGTGGACAGTGCTGTGGATGGAAGGAGGAGGTCTTCACTTAGAGGACGATTGTGCCTCTTATTCTGCTTGGCATCTGACCCTCACTGCAGGAGCCACACACTCCTGGACTGTGATGGGTACCTTTTTCTGTTTCTGGTAAGGATGACTGTCAGGTAGGAAGGTACAATAGCAGCCCCCATTAATTGAGCCTGCATGGTGTGCCTGGCACAATTCTAAGCACTGTTTAATTCTCCCAACCAGCCCCATGAAGAAGCTTCTGTAAATATCTCAATTTTTTAGATAAAGAAATTGAGTCTTGGTAAAGTCAAGAAACTTCCTTAAGGTCATGTGGTCAGTGGTGGAGCCTGGATGTAAACCCAGCTCTTCTGGATCCTGTACTCATCTTCTTAACGTGCCTTCTCCTCAGCCACCCTGAACTCCCCTGGACAACTTGATGCAGATGACCTTGTGTCAAGTCCAGGCACATAAGGAGCTCCCCATCATCTTGTCCCTCACTCACAATCCAGTGGTCACTGCACTGCTATTGATGGGAGCTTGTGGCTGGAGCTGGAACCTGTCTCTCCTGGTTGCTTCAGTTCCTCATCTATATCTCATTGCCCATACTAGCAGAGGTCTTTTTTAACTGGGAAGGGATTGCAAAAGCTCCTTGAATTGACCTGGCTCTGGGTTCTTTCTCTGGGGCTCAGAGTAGCCCTCGGAGAGACATCATTTATCCCTGTTGGTCCAGTCTTTGCAAAATTGCCACGTTCTCTAAGCTTTCCTTCTCCCAATATCCCAATTCACATCTGTTGTCCATTTTTTACTTATGGATGTTTAAGCAGCATTGAGAAAAGATTTGGGGCTATATTTCTAATATTCTTTAAATCATGATGCATACTTAATAAAAATTCACTCTTATTACTTGACTAAACTTATTCACAAAATAATATTCCATCTCAATTCCAATAGAGTAGAATTTTCCCTGCAGGTTTATTGAATACCTACTGTGTGCTAAGAAATGTTCTTGGTGTAAAAATGCAGACAAAAATAAGTTAAATAATCCCTGCCCTGGAGGAATCCCACAAACCCCAGCCTCAGTTCAGCATGAGAAATGTTCAGGAAAAAGCCAAGTTATACACTATAGACAGGGAGAGGAGAGCTCCACACACTCTGCTGGGAGTACCACCGTGGGCTTCAGGGAGGAGGCACAACTGCAGCTGAGTTCTCCAGGAAGATAGCAGAAGGGGAAGGGCATTCCAGGCAAAGGGAACAGCATGTGCAAAGACGATGTGAAGGGACATGTGGTATCTGTGGACAAGGATGGAACGAGTAAGAGATGAGGAAAGCGTCCCATGACTGTGCCTAGAGGTGGGGGAAAGGAGACCCAAAGGTCAAGCAATTGTGCATGGATTTACCAGTGCCTGTATCTTTCATCTGTCAATGGGTCTTCCCCTTACTCCCAGAAGAGGAACCACAGGAAAGAGCAAGGCAATGAGTTGTTCTGAGGAGCTATACTGTGTGCTCCATAGATGGGTGGGCGCGCAAACACACACGCACGCGCGCATGCACACCATTGTACACAGAGGTCTGCAGAGTTCAGAACAGGGTGAGCCACCTCCAGCATCGATGGGAATTCTGACGGCCATGATGAAGTCATGCCAGTGTCTCACCACATCTTAGCTACTAGCAAGGAATCCCAACAGAACAATTAGAGTTAATTGAAATCGGCCTGATTGATTGGTGTGTATGAACTTTCATCAGAGCAGCCTCATGATGTGGGCAGAGGTAAACAGCTGAATCGGCTCTAGCAGACCTCAGCCTGCAGGAGTAAATGCAAACCGAGGTCTGTTCTGGCCTCCAGTGAGGCAGATGCCAGAGTCAAGCTCCCAGCTCCCCACACTTGGTCATGGTTTGAGTCTCTACTGCTGTTGGAAAGGTCTGGGGGTTACATGTGGGGGAATTTAGGTTAAGAAGGATCTTTTCTTCCTTGTAAACGTAGTGTGGGTGTGGGATCTGCCTTTCTAGTCTCATCTACCATTGCCCCTGGCTGGCTCCCTGGCTAATCTAAGCTTCTTGTAATTCCCTGGAGAGGCCCAGATTTCTATCTTCCCTTCCTCTGCTCTGTTCACTCCTCCTAGACGAGCACTCTCAGGTCTTACTGTGCCTATGAATCAGGCAGAGATCTTGTTACAATGCAGATTATGATTCAGCATATCTGGGAGGAGGCTTGCGACTGTGCATTTCTCATAAGCTCCCAGGTGATGATGATGCTGGTCTGTAGATCACACTCTGAATAGGAAGATCTGAGAACACTTCTTCCCTTTATTCATTTTCCTACCTCTCTTTCCACCTGCAGAATTCCTATTCAATCTTGGAAATCCAGGACAAATATGTCCCCCAAGAGACCTTTTCTGACACCCTTGCCCCCTCCTCTGTGCGGATACATCATGTGATAATTGCTTTCAGTATAGTACTTATCCTGCTAGATGGACTTTCTCTTTGTTGGATTAATCTTTTTTCTCCCCCACTTTACTTGTGCCTTTTAAGGCCACTGACAGGCCTTTATTCACTCCCAGTGCCCAGAGCAGGGCCTGGCATGCAGCAGGCATCAATACCTGTTTGCAGAACTGAATTAAATACAGCAATTCTAACTTTTTCATGTTCTTCCTCCTTTATCCTGCCTGAATTTGTCCTACATATCATAGGGGTAGGGTTGCATACGGGTAGGGTTAGGACAGGGGCCTCTGAGCCCAAACTAGATTCAGAGTTTGACTGTTTACAGAATGATAGGCAACTATTTTCCTGACTTGAAATGAGGCTTCTTTTATTTTGGCTAATAGAGAAGGAAGATGCTTTAAGTAGAGAGACTGATTCTGGAAGATTCAACAGGATACAATGGGGACAGTGATTTTTTTGTTTGTTTGTTTGTTTTTGTTTTGAGATAGAGTCTTGCTCTGTTACCCAGGCTGGAGTGCAGTGGCATGATCTCGGCTCGCTGCAAACTCTGTCCCCCAGATTCAAGCGATTCTCCTGCCTCAGCCTCCCGAGTAGCTGGGATTACAGGCGCCTGCCACCGCACATGGCTAATTTTTGTATTTTTAGTAGAGACGGGGTTTCACCATCTTGGCCAGGCTGGTCTTGAACTCCTGACCTCGTGATCCACCTGCCTCAGCCTCCCAAAGTGCTGGGATTACAGGCGCAAGCCACCGCGCCCGGCCAATGGTGGTCTTTTAAGCTACCTGGCCCCTTGGGTGACCAGGCAGATAAAGTCCTAGACTATAATTTATATCTTAGGAGAGGCACTAGAGTTAGCATAGCTGCACTGGGGCAGGCACAGGGTCAGGAAAGGGCCATTGTCTGTGCCTGAGTACAGAAGCCAGCCCTGCTTAGGCCCTGGAGGCTGGGTGGCTTTGGAGAGGTAGAGGAAGCACCATCAACACACACAGCCCTTCCTTTGAATGCTCTAAAAGTTCCTTCCAAATGGACAGAGCTAGCTCTATTTGCTTCAAAGGCACAGGACCCAAGATTTTGCTGGGAAAAAGATAGAAAAATAAAATCATATGGGAACCTAATTAGATACGAAAATGAACTATAAGATTTTTCTAACCTGGGTTAAGGTAAGGGTTAAATTACCCCCTAAGTCTGACATATGTTTAAAGCTTCTCCTTTGGGAAAAGCAAGAAACTGACCAGATATACTCACTTCTCTGGGATGGTACCTAAACATTTCTAAACATGTGAATAGAAATGGAATGAAATCCACAAGTTGTTTTCAAATGTCCAGATATTTGGATTTGTGTTGACCCTTGATTTGGCTACAGAATTAGTTTTTAATTGATTCTTTATGTCTTCTAATTAATAAAATCTAATAACCAGCATTTGTGAACACTTAGTAAAAACTAAATACCATGCTAAGCATCTTACATATGTTTTCTCATTGAACCTCCTAACAATTCCATGAGGTAAATATGACTTTCATTTTACAGCAGTGGAAACTGAGACTTTAACAGGGTTTTAAATAAACTGTGAAAGATCACACAGCTAATAAATGACAGAGTCAGAATTCACTCCCAAACAGTCTGAGACCAGCACCCACTCTTTTAACCAACATGTACTTTTCCCCAGGACTCCTTGGATCCTTGGATGGCCCCCATGTAGTCTAAAATATGCTTTTATACGCTTTCTCTCAAAGCAAGAGAGTACATGGAGGGGAATATGGCCTTTGTGAAGTACTGAACCTTCCAGAAAATCATTTCTGTCCTCACCTTGTATGTTTTACTTCTCTCATCCTGATTGTCAACCAATTTGGGCCATCTCTTTAATGACCTGGTCAAGATTGTCCTTCAAGTTATGTCTATCTCCCTTGGAGATGTAAGTACATCAAGACTACGTATTCTTTGGTTAATATTACTGTGAGCCACTTACTATATCAAGAATAATTCTAAACTCTTTATATGTATTTATTTACTTAATCCTCACAACAACCATAAAAAGTAAAGATTAACACCTTCATTTTATAGATAAGGAAAGGAAGGCACAAAGTGATTGCAGACTTTTCCTATCTTGGTGGAACTGTTTAATTAGTTGCTTTATTTAATATTCTTTCCTTCCTTTCTCAAGAACAGTCAATGGCTTCTGAAACTCCTTATCCTGTCCCCAATCTGGCCTCAAATTACATTTTCAGAGTTATTTTCTGCCACTTGTTCCCTTCACATGTCCTCGTCTCTAACTAAAGTGTGTGTCACAGTTGTCAGACACACCTCATGCTTTCTGGTCTGCACACCTTGTTATTGCTGATCTCTCTACCTGTACCACCATCTAAGGTGTGGAGAGATTTATAGCAACTGATCTATAATTCTCATGATGCCCCAGTAATCCTCTGCCATATGGCATAATTCTGTAGGGCTTTTTTTTTCCCCCAATTAGGCTGTAAGTTCCTTGGTGGGTGTGCTCATACCCCTAAATCTCTCTTACCAGCAAGCACCAGTGCCAATACATGGGTGTAAGGCAGATACTGCCAAGTGTTTGCATCTACGCATCTGCTTACATCATCTAGTTGTGTGCTTACATCATCTACCCATGTGCTTACATCATCTACCCATGTGCTTGCATCATCTATCCATGTGCTTACATCATCTACCCAAGTGCTTACATCATCTACCCATGTGCTTACATCACCTACCCATGTGCTTACATCATCTAGTCATGTGCTTACATCTAGTCATGTGCTCATATCATCCACCCATGTGCTTGCATCATCTACCCATGTGCTCACATCATCTATCCATGTGCTCACATCATCTACCCATGTGCTTACATCATCTACCCATGTGCTTACATCACCTACCCATGTGCTTACATCACCTACCCATGTGCTTACATCATCTAGTCATGTACTAACATCTAGTCATGTGCTCACATCATCTACCCATGTGCTTACATCATCTACCCATTTGCTTACATCATCTACCCATGTGCTTACATCACCTACACATGTGCTTACATCATCTAGTCATGTACTAACATCTAGTCATGTGCTCACATCATCTACCCATGTGCTTACATCATATACTCATGTGCTCACATCATCCACCCATGTGCTTACATCTACCCATGTGCTCTTCTACATTTCTCAGACTCCCTTGCAGCTAGGCAGTGTCAGGTGACTGAATTCAAGCCCAGAGAATGTGAGTAAAAATAATGCAAGTCACTTCCAAGCTAACTCTTAAAATCATCCAATACAATTTTCCACTCCTCTCTTCCCTGACACCACAGTCTTGGAAGTTCCTTGTTCTGAAGGCATAGCTATAAGATGAGAGTGGCCTGGATCCCTGTGTCACCACCTGCAGCATAACTATGCAGGGGAGACACCTAAGCTGCACAGGAATTTGTACAAGTGAGATATAATCCTTACTGTTATAAGCCACTGAGATGTGAGAGGTTTCTGTTGCAGAAGTCCACATTCGCTACTTTGACTTACGGAAGTGGTAGCTCATAACTGCTTATAACGCAAAAGAGATAAATAATAGGCATATCAGACATGTTCTTGGCTAAGTGGTATTACTTTTGATAACATATCTTACCTCCATTCATTTATCTCCAGAAAGAAGAGCAAATGTCAGGCAAAAAAAAAAAAAAAAAGATCGGCTTTATGCTGCTATAATCAGTGCCTAACATCATTTACAAATACATATCCTTCCTCCTTTAAAAAAATAGGCTTAACTTTATTTGTAATCAAGAAAACTAACATGAGAAATGATGAAACCCATGAAATTGGCAAAATTACAAGGTCTTAGGACAAGAATAATAAACGCACACTCTGCTTTTTAAGAAAAGAGGATTCCAGGTTTGGGTGACTGCCCAGGAATTCCATCCCAGCTTGAACTCCTTACAGCCAGCATCTGTGAATGATTTAATGTCTCTGATGCACCTTTACACTTTATTGCTTTGCTCTTTGCAAATATTCATAGGATTAATCCAGAGTTAGGGCCTGCAGACCAATGTGTGGCTGTGCAAATCCTCAGGACCCTGCTTAGCAAGTTTGTAAATTCACGGTTCTGCATTTCCTTTTGGTATGGGGGGGAGAGTATTTAATGTAATTTCTTTATAGGCTACACCAACTACCAAGAGGAAATCTCTGGGTGCTTAGAAATGAGACTCTCCTCCTGAAACTACCCAAGCGCATCTTTAGAGTGGTTATGGCTATCTTGCAATGGCCCATTACGTATTTCCAAATGGCAGGGAGCAGGCCTTATTTTAATAGCTTGTTAGTTTGGAAAGGAATCAGAAGGGGCAATTCCTGGGGGCTACCTTATTCTGGGCTTCTACTACCTGATCAGTTCCTAGCTCACAAATCTTTGAAGGACAGGGCTGGTCCATTAACAGCCCATCTGGAATCCAGGAAACAGCTAGGAGTGCTTTGAATCTGAGTTCCCTGAAAAAGCCCCCTCTGGACATAGACCAGCAAAGGGGGAGTGTTAAATGAATGAATAAACGAATGAATGAATGAATGACTAAAATAACATACCACATAAGTTTAATGTTTTACAGTTCATAAATGGCTTTGGGCTAATTATTTAATTCTCATGGCCACCACATTCACACTAGAATAAAATTTAAACTTCTTACCACAGTCCTCAGGAGCCCAAAAGTCTCACCCTGCCTACCTCGCTGATGTATCTCCTACAGCTCTTTCCTCACATGCTCTTTGGTGTTTGTCACACACACTGAGCAGGTCCTGACACTGGGCCTTTGCATGTGCTCACTCCTCTGCCTGGAATGCCCCTTTCAGATGTCTACTTGCAGGGTTCATGCCCCACTTTAGGTTCACTTCATGGCTCACATAGAGTTCCCTCAGAGAGGCCTGTCCTGTCTACCCTTCCTAAAAGAACACTTTTTGCTTTTTTATCCCCACTCCAGCCTATGTTTAATCATCTGTAATAGGGATCATAACAGAGCATAACGGTTGCAAGAATTAAATAATTGATGTAAAATGCTTACTTAACACAGGGCCAACCCATAATGAGTATTCAATAAATATTTGATAGTGCTGATGTTGTTATTATTTTTATTCTCTGTTTTTCCAACCATGCTTCTCCTGCGGCCTCTGCTCTGGACAAACTTAATCCCCAAAAACTGATGTTAAGTTTAAGCTGGGGAGTCCCTTTGCCCCAGCAGTGTTATAAAATGTGAATGAAGGAGGCAAGGGGGCAAGTAGGATGGAAGGACCAAATGGTATGTGTCAAGGACATGAAGATTTCCAGAGCTGTTCCAATGTGTCAGCAGATCCATATTACAGCCTTACTTAGAGGGTGCTTCCGTGGGGAAAATTATTGTTGCTTAGCAGATGACACAAATGAAACCTAGAGGGACCAAATGTTTGGAAAAATACTCCACAGCCCAAGGAAGGAAGAGCAGAGGACTCAAACCTCCAGCAAAAAAGAGATCTGAGACCCCAAAGCACATTTTTCTAGCAGAACCAAATTCCTCTTGACATGATCCTTACTCTGCTTTCCCGGGGCCTAGGTCTAGGGCGGAGGAGAGGGTGAGTCCTCAGCCATGCTAGAGCATTGGCAAACGCTCAGCTCGAGTACCTTTCCCAAGGGCCACAGGTATGGGTGCCTGCACTCACACACATCTTGACCAACCTGGCTTCATGTTGATATAAATGTATTTAAAATTGGTAATTTCTTTTCTTCTGAAAATCATGTTATTTACTAGCTATATTGATTACGGTCATGTTTCTACTGGTGGAAAAGTAATTTATCTCATTGGAGTCATCTGTGTGGAGGTAGTGAGGGCCCGGTGGAAGCCAAGTTAATAGCTGGTTTTGCCAGCAGGCCCATCTTTATTAGCAACAACATCTCTCATCAAAAATCCTATTTCAGAGCAATGTAAGCTATAAACCTGTGGCTCGTTGACCATGCAGAGACCAGCCACAGGGCTCTGAAGACACAGAGTTCAAACATTACCGAAAAGGCAACCACTCAAGAAGCATAAGGCAAGAGTGGAACGGAACCCGTACTTTAGACAAGGCTGGGAGGTGGGAGTTCCTCATCACGGGGACGGCTCCAACAGAATGCTGCGTCTTGAGTCACGGCATAGGGAGGAAGAGGGCAGAAAGTTGGGTCTCTATGATAATCCTTAATCCTGCAATTCTATGAAACTAAGAATCTACGTTTGTGATTCTAGGGTTTGCACAAAGAGCAAAAGGGCCAAACAACTAGTCAAACTTTCCTTATGGAAACTTTAATAAATACATAAAATATTACAGAATCCACTTTCAAAATTCACAGCTTGGCTCTAAGTCCATTCTCCTTCTGAGACACTTCCTGCCTTCTTCATGCTCTCTGCATTGTCAGAGACCCGCCCTGCAGCAAAGAGAAACAGACTTACACCTGTCAGAATGGCTATGATTAAAAAGACAAAAAATATCAGATGTTGGCAAACATGTGGAGAAAAGGGAACACTCGTACACTGCTGGTGGAAATGTAAATTAGTTCAGTCTCTGTGGAAAACAGTATGGAGATTTCTCAAAGAGCTAAAAAATAAACAACAGCAGCAACAAAAATCTACCATCAGATTTGGCAACCCCACTATGGATATCTACCCAAAGGAAAAATAAATTATTGTATAAAAAAGATACCTGCACTCATATATTTATCTCAGGACTATTCATAACAGCAAAGATATGAAATCAACCTAAGTGTCCATCAACAAATGATTGGATTAAAAATGTGGTATACATACGCCATGGAATACTATTCAGCCATAAAAAGAATAAAATCATTTCTTTTGCAGTGACATGGATGGAACTGGAGACTATTATTAAATGAAACAGTCAGACACAGAAAGAAAAATATTGCATGTTCTTACTTACAGGTGGGAGCTAAATAATGTGTACACATGGAAGTAGAGAATAAAATGTTAGACAACAGAGACTTGAGAGGGTAAGGGGGTAGGAGGGAGTTAGAGGATGAGAAATAAGTGATTGGGTACAATGTAGGCTATTCGGGTGATGGATACCCTAAAAGCCCTGACTTCACCACTACACAATCTATGCGTGTAACAAAATTGTACATGTAGCCCATAAATTCACACACACAGAGACTGCCTCCCTCATCCAAAGGCCCACGACTTGGGTATTTGATGGCAGCAATCCCACTCCCCCGAGATGAGGCATCACTGCCTTGTCTCCCCTGGCCCCACTCCAATATGTCTCATGCCTCTCATTACTGTAGGGAGTCCACACAGGGATACAATACTTATTTCCCATATACAGTTATTCATCAAAGACTTACTGAGCCTCCACTGTGTGTCTGGCACTATGCTAGGTATTGGGGATCTGCTGAGGAACAAAACAGAATCTCTTCCCTTGTGGGACTGCCAATCTAGTGAGGAGAGGACAACCAGAAAATTACCAAAATAAATACATTATTACAACGGCTAAATGTGCTGAAGTAAATAAAGCTTAAGGGTGTGTAGAATGTGTCACAGAAGGGCCTGCCTTGGTCTGGTGGACATGATGTCTGAGCTGAGATCCAGAGAGCGAATAGAAGTTATCCAGGCAACATGGGAGTGCAGGAGAACATTCCTAATAAAGATAGCTTCAAGAGACAAGACTGGGACAACCAACAAAGGAAAACCAGGGTCAGTGTGGCTGCAGCAGAGGGTCCACCTTGTGCAGCTCAGAGGGGGACTTGCAGTGAATTAGTACAGACTATTTTGGGTCCAACGGACAAAACCCAATTCAAACTGCTCATGACTAAAAGAGACAGTGATGGCTCACACAACTGAGAGTCATGCAGAGCATCTAATTTGAGGCTCAACTAGATCTGGGTGTCTAAACTAGGCCAACAAGAGGATTGTCTTCCATCTCCTCTCTGCTCTTCCTCTTCATTGGCTTTGTTCTTAGGCAAGCTATGCCTATGTGGTACAAATAGGGCCACCAGCAACCCCATACCCACTTCCTATCAGCTGAACTTCCCCAAAGGAAAGGGCACCTCTTTCCCAATTATTTATTTTAAAATCCTAGGGCTGATCATTGACTTGAATCAGTCATGTGCCCAACCAAAGAAACTGCAATAGTCCAATTTGTCAGTGCTGGTACTGGAGGTTTAGGGGTCAGGGGTGTTGTCAACCCTACTGAAATCACAGCAATGAAAGTGGTTCCCAAGAGCAAGAGACAGCTGCTAAGACCACAGAGAGGATAGAGAGCAGGCAAAAGCACCATGACAGTCACCTTCTGTGTGCTACATGTTATGCTTCTATTGTACAGGTGGAGATTATTTGGGTACCTCTAAATAATAGCCCTTTCTTGCCCTACCCCTGGATAAGCCATCCCACTTCTGCTGAGTGGTAGCACATGCTGCCTCCTCAAATACGTTAACTCCTAAGGGTTCTCATCAAATGTGAGACCAGACAGAGGGCTCTAAATACACAGTTCAAGCATTACCCCTAAGGGACCCCACTCGGGAAGTGTAACCGAAGAGTGGAAAAGGGCCTGCCTTTCAGAAGAGGCTGGGAGGTGGGAGTTCCTCATCACAGGGACTGCTGCAGCAGAACACCAACTCTTGAGTCATGCCAGTGGGGGGGTGGGGGTGGGCAGGAAGTTGGATTTCTATGATAATCCTTAACCCTGCAATTCCAGGAAACTAAGAATCTACGTTTTTGATTCTTTGAACATAGAGCAAAAGGACCATATAAGCGGTGGAAGTTTTCTTAAGGAAACTTTGATAAATACATAAAATAGCATTACATAATATAAATACCTAAATAGTAAATACAGAATCCAACTTCAAAATTCCCAGCTTAACTCTTAGCTAGCTCTTTCTCATACTGAGTCAGTGCCTGCCTCCTTGATACTTATCTGCATTGTCTGAGACCCACCTTGCAGGAAAATAGAACCAAGACTGCCTTCCTCCATCTGAATGCTCACTCTTTGGATTTTTGATCACACCAAAGGAATTGTCTATCATGCTGGAGTTACATATCATGGGGAGATGGAATGTGGGAATGCCATACTAATTGCCAGTCGCTGGCCTGGGAATATGAGCTGAGCCTAACGAGCAGTCTTAGCTAAGGGAATTGCAGCGAGAAGCAGGATAAATGGCCCTAGGGATGGCAGTAGAGGACAAGTTGCCAGTTTGGAACAAGTGGAAATATTGATCCAGGTCAAGGTGAAATTAAAGCATGTGTTATTTAAAAGCCAGGCTTTCCCCACTGTCTTGAGAATGAGCTGGAGAAGGAATTAATAAATGAAGAGGCAAAGGCTCATATAAGGCAAAGAAGCTCTTTAGGGAGAAAATCTTCCTGAAACACACCAGAAAGGAAGGCAAACAGGCAGGAAAAGAGCAGAGTCTTTGCTATTGAAACCTATTTGTTTTCTCATTCCTTCTAGAAGAAACTTCATAATGTCCTCTGCTCTTGAGTGGAGCAGAGAAGAGAAGCTTTAAGATCAAAAAAACCAAGAGTCAGACTTGGAAACTGCCCTCTACAAACTTAGTGACTCAATAAAGCTGCTTATACCTCTTGAATCTCGGTTTTCCTATCTGTAAAGTAGGAATAATAACTCCTAGTTTTAAGAAAATATTTGAAAACTATGCATCCAATAAAGAACTAATATCCAGAATCTACAAGGAACTTACACAACTCAACAAGAAAAAAACAAATAACTCTATTAAAAAGTGGGCAAAGTACATGAACAAACACTTCTCAAAAGAAGACATACAAACAGCCAACAAACATATGAAAAAATGCTCAATATCACTGATCATCAGAGAAATGCAAATCAAAACCATGAGACACCATCTCACGCCAGTAGGAATGGCTTCTATTAAAAAGTCAAAAAATAACAGATATTGGCGAGGTTGTGGAGAGAAGGGAATGTTTATACACTGTAGGTGAGATTGCAAATTAGTTCAGACCCTGTGGAAAGCAGTTTGGAGATTTCTCAAAGGACTAAAAACAGAACTACCATTTGACCCAGCAATCCCATTACTAGATACCAAAAAGACATCTGCACTCATATGTTTACTGCAGTACTATTCACAATAGTAAAGTCATGGAATCAACCTACATGCCTATCAACAGTGGGCTGGATAATGAAATGTAGTACATTGTCATTACATATACACCACATACACTGTAGTGTACATATACACCTTGGAATACTACACAGCCATACAAAAGAATATATCCTTTGCAGCAACATGAATGCAGCTAGCAGTCATAATTTTAAGTAAATTAATGCAGGAATAGAAAGCCAAATACTGCATGTTTTTACTTACTAGTAGGGACAAAAGTTTAGGTGCACATGGACATAAAGATGAGAACCATAGACACTGGGGACTCTGAAAGAAAGGAGTAAGGGAGGCAAGGGTTGAAAAACTGCCTATAGGGTACTATGTTCACTATTTGGGTGACAGAATCAATATAAGACCAAACCTCAGCATCACACAATATAACCATGTAGTAAACCTGCATATGTATCCCCAAATCTAAATTTAAAAAAACCTCCTAGTTTTAATAGTAGCAGTAGTGATGATTAGATGAAATTATATATGTAAAATACTGAGCGCAAAGTTGGTAAACACTTGATCATTTCTGTCCCCTGCAGGTAGGGTAAATGGATAATAACTTACATTTGTAGCACTATTCGTGAGAAGGGGTAACAAGGCAAGCAAATCAGGAGATGACTGCCACTAAAGAGACAGCTCGTTATTCATGGTTCCCAAGAGGAGGGGGCATACCATGGCACAGGGGCCACACAGGGAGGCACCAGGGTGGGTCAAGAGGCAGAGGCAGTGAGGAAGGGCAGCAACAGCCTTGATTGTGGTTTCCACTGGAAAGAAGTGGCAAAACAGGGTTGGCAGGTTTAGGACTGGCTAGTTTGAATAATTTCAGCAGGCTCTGGGGCACAGGACTGTGGGATGATTAAGGCAGAGGGATAGTGACCCAGAGTGTGACAGCCCCATAAAGGAGGTGATTGCAGGTGTGGACTCTGGGTTGGTTGGTTTGTGTATAAAGAGCACACCCTCAGGTGAACTGCTTGCAGTCTCTAGGAATTGGCTAACCCTGGAAGAGGTAGTCTCAGGGTCAGCTTCAGATGTCAAAGCATCAGAATACAGAAAATAAAAGCCATAATAATACATTCAGGTCTTTTCATTGACTCGTCACAAGAAGCTTGTGGGAGATGCATTGCTTTATTGTTATTATTATTTATATTTTATTATTTACCAGTCTTATTTTACTATTAATTATTATTATTCTTTGGCAGTTACCATAGAGGTTAAGAGTGGATTCTGGAGCCAGACTGCTTGGGTTTGATTTGGATCATTTTGACCCAATTACTTAATTTGCCTGTGCTTCACTTTCTTCATCTTTACATTGGAGATAACAACAAATACCTCATAAAATTATTATCATGATTCATGAAGTTTATAATGTAAAGCAATAAGGCAGCATCTGACATGTAAGAGCTAGCTATTATTTATGCAACTTTGCAGCTGAATAAAGTGAGGCTCGAAATGGATGTGCTTTGCTCTGCACTGCCCAGTGAGTGATGGGGTCAAGTTTAGAATGTTGATCTCCTGAGCCAGAAGCCACTTGCCCCTCCCCATCTCATCTCTAGGGCTTTTGTCTCCAGGGTTCCTTATGTGAATATGGAGTCTCCTCATCCACAGAATGGCCCAACTCACCAGCCCCAGGAAACCAGAGAGAGGATCCAATGTTCTATATAACGAGTAGCCGTGTGTGCCACTCTTAACCACTCTGCTACCCTGCCCTGTGCATTGGGAAGAACAGTGGCTGAAGTAACAGAAGACCTTGACTCTACCTAGGGTCATTCAGGCATTAACTTTGCTGAGTAACCTGAGGAAAATGTCTGGCTCTGTTTAGGCCTCAGTTTCCCTAACAGGACTAGCAGCCCCTAAAAGGCCCTTCTGGCCCTTCGTCTTAGAGTACTGTAAGCCAGCTAGCTAGCTGCTAGCACCATCCCTGTCTATATCCTAAGCCCTGTCTAAGGTCAAAAGTTAGATGTTTCCTTTTTTCTTCCATGATGCCTCACTTTGTCAGCAGGGCTGAGAGCTGGACTTGCAGGTTCCATTGTCCTCAGGGCAGTTGGCCCATTTCTGAGCTGCTCTCTGACTTCAGCCACTTAAGCTGCAAAAGCCACAAACACAGACATGAGTCTCAGAGGCCCCTAAAAAATGGCTTTGCTGTGTAGCTTAATGGAAGGCTTTCTAGGCATCAGGAACGATTGTGAAAGGCAAAAGCACTGAGATATCACGGCCCCCTCCCCTTTGGCCCATTAGGGAGGCAAATGGGTGTTTTTGGCAATGATTAGACTTAGCTTTGTTAGGTTTTATTGGTTCTCTTTGCTGTTTACCCCCAAATGGATCATAGTATTGGGTTCTCAGGAGTTTGCAACTCAGGCAAAAATGGATACGTGTCAAGTGCAAGAGGGAGGTCTAATAAATACTAAATTCATAAAAGGGCTTTACATAAACCCTCAGAGGATGTCTCAGAGAGAAATTGAGAAGGAAACTGCTGAACAGGAAAGTGTGAGCTCTCATTGGCTATAAGCTCAAACAATAGGCGCTGACAAGACAACACAGCTGCTGACAACAGTGAGGACTTGCAGCTGCATCCATTGGGGTATCATGATCTATTCAAGGGAGGTGATAGCCCCACTGTTCTCTGATTGGTCTATCAGCTAGAATTCTTTTGATAGGAAGTGTCAGAAAACCTGACCCATTGGCTCAAGCAGAAAAAGAGAAAATGTATTGATTCATTGAATTATTCAGAACTGGGCTTTAGATTGTGCTTAATTCCTATGTACAAATGACATGCCTTCATTCTCTCTTTCTTCATTTCTCAGCTCTACTTACTGGAATGGTTGTCTATTCTTAAACAAGCTCTCTTTTCACAGTCCTTAGGAGCTTGAAGCTCCTAAGACTCCATATTTCAAGTTGAATTCAGTGACAGAGGATGACAATCTGAGCCCAGCATTCCCAGCTAGATACCCTTTCCCTCTCATTGATTCAGATTAAATTATGTGGTCCTCTCTGGATCAATCACAATGAGGGATGGAAGGCACTGACTGGCTTAGACTCAGGTCTTGCATTCTGTTTCTCAGCCAAGAATGGAGCCCACTCTACCTGGTGCACATGAGCTAATAGTGGGGTGAAGGAAGGCTTCCCTAGGGCAGAGACTGGCTGCAAAATGGCAATACCCACACATGAAGTGTGTGGCTGCATGCTGGGTTCTACGTTTAATGAGACATGGAGCCAGGAATGGGTGGTAAGGGTGATGAGGGAGATTTAAAATTGTGTCATGTGGAGAAGAGTTGGAAGAAATGGGACTGCTTTACCCAGAGAAGAGGAGATAATGGGGAATCGTAAACACTGTCACCAAGTGTTGGGAAAGGCTAGATTCACTCTGTCTTCATGGATGGTGACAGAAGCAGGGAGGGAAGAACTGATTTCTACAGACACACATTTTGGCTCAGTAGATCAGATGGGGGTCAAGGCACTATCATCTCTTGTTAGAACTGGCTCCAAAAGCCATACAGTTGGTTTCTGCTATTACTGACTTGTTCCCCTACAATTCAGTTCCCACCCTGCAGCCAGAGTAACCATTTGCAAGTGTAAATGAGCCTCTGTGGTTCCTCAGCTTAACAACCTTCACAGTTCCCACTGCAGCGTTTAGATCTCCCAAGGCAGGCATATCTGGTCTGTCCCTGCTCACTTCGTGGGTTCATTCCAGAGCTTGCCTCTACTCATTCTTGAAGCTTCTACCACACTAACTAGCTTTCCCTCTGTTTCTCAAAAATGCCAAACACATTTCCACCTCAGGCCTTTGCACCTGTGGTATGCTGTACCTGAAACAGTCTCTGGTCTAGCTTCTACATGGCTAGCTCCATCTCCCTAATCAGATCTCAGCTCGATACCCACCCGCAACCTCAGAAGTCAGTGCACACATCACCCCCACCATCCCACAACCGTTCTCTATTACCTTTCCCTGTTAGACACAATAACCAATGCTCCTCACTTTCTAAAATTGTTGTATTTAAATTGTTTAGTTATTAACTTAAAGACTATCAACAGTCACAAGATTGAAGCTCCCTGAAAACAGTGATATTATTTCTCTTGTTCACTATGATATGCACAGTACCTGGGGAGTCTCTAGACACATAGATATTTTGTCTCACGAATGCACAAATGGATAATTTCTACAGCTGTTTGGCTGGGTGAGGTGATAGACTTCTAACACAGAGCATGTCATAGCTCAGACTGAGTGAGCATTTCTCAGAGATGGATTTCTGCAATGAGCGGGAGCGGGGCGCTTCCCAGGGCTCCCAGATGGAAGGAATCTGTAATGTACCTCACAACAAGTAAATGACAATCACCTTGGATGTAATTCCTCTGCTCCTGCCACATGCCAAATGCCAATTTCTTCTTGGCCTATACTGCTAGTAGCAGGTATTTTTTAATTAAAGACACTCTTTGAGGAATTGTGCTAATCCTGCCAGGATTAACGAATTCCTCTTTTCTCTCTATGAAGGGAAGGCATATTGGCCACTCTGGCCCCAACTGAGTTGTTTTCCAAGAGAAGAACTTTCAATCCTTCCATGCACAATAATGAAATATGATACAAAACAGGCTCGTGTCAATAAATCTACAGGAGAAAGGTCAGGTTTACATTGCTGGACAGGATTGGCAAATACATTTGTTCCTGCAATGTCTGTGTTTTAAATGCCACCCTCCAGTGAACCTGGCGCTGAAACACACTTTGGAGTTTGATGAGATGTCAGTTTTTCTCAGCCCTGATCAAATAAGATGAATGAAAGTGAAACAAGAACAAAAGTATTACTTCTGTCATTTTTTTATGCATTACAGGAATTGGGTCAGTCGGGGAGATTTCTCTTAAGCAAATACCAATCGCTGCACAATGTGACCCACTGCTCTGCTAGCCAGCAGACAATGATAGGTTTGCATAGTAAAGGGCACACCACTGCAAGAGCAAGGACCAGGGCAGCACCTGTATCAGACCATCCACCCTTTCAAATCTTCAAATCCACCCATCTGTCTTCCATTCTCACTTCAAATAGTGCCGTATGAGAATATGGATTTCACCCTGTATTGAGCAAACATAGTTAAAGAACAAAGTGGAATTTCTCCTGCAAGGAGGAATTATAGTCACTAATATTCCATCTATCCAACTTAAAACATGTGGACTAAATTAAACAGAAACCCAGAGACCTCTCCGACTTAGCCTGAAGGACACTGGGGTTATGGCATGAGGTCAAAATAAATGATGAGATCTGACATGAGAAATAAATAGTTATTCAAAAGGAACCAAAGACTAGGAATCAGGAAGGTGTATGAGGCAACAGGAGACAGTGGGCAGTTGGAGACACATGGACCATGTAAGCCAGGGACTGCTGGGGACCATCTTTACCCCATGTGGGTAAAACCTGGAAATGAAGGCAGCACAGAGCCAAGCAGAGCCAAGAGAGAGATAGAGGCAAATTCCCAGTGACATCACTTGAATACCTGGATACAGCCTTGGCTGCAGCCTGGTGCTCCAGACTTTTCAGTTACATAAGATAGTATTTTTTCTTTCATGTTAAAATTTTAAATCAAAACATAAATGAAATAAGGACATGAGTACTTGCCTGCCTGATTATGCCACAAAGGATCTTAGAGCACCACACAGGACCTAATAACTTGTGTGCTGGGAAGGCAGGCTGACTCTTCATAATCAAGGTCCCTGGATTATACAGGGAGAGAAAGAGCTTTGAGTGTTGTGTCTGTACTGTCATAGGTCCTCTGCCTTCCCAGGCTAGACCAACATAAAATTCAAGGGCCGATCTGAGAGGTATGTCCCAAAGTGACTATTGTGCTGGAAGATTAGTGCGTTTATTCAGCTCTTTACAACTTTAAAGATTCACCAAGAGTCACTGTGGAAAGTACTTTCCATGTCTTGTGAACAGAAAGGTCCCTAAGCCTCTCAGGACACAGAGATGGACAATCCTAGCTCTGAAGCCACAGCTCTTGGCAGTATTCTTTCCAGATCAAGGGCACAGTTCACCTCGGTAACTCTGTGCTTGGTGTAGGATCTGGCAGAGTTCAAGTATATATATCTTGTAAGTGAGCTTATCTGTGTCAGAAGTCCTGCTCCCAGTTTGGCTATTTCTCAAAGAACTAAATATAGTATTACCATTCAACCCAGCAACCCCATTACTGGGTACATATCCAAAGGAAAATAAATCTTTCTACTAAGCAGACACCTGCATTTGTATGTTTATCCTGCACTACTCACAATATCAAAGACATGGAATCAACCCAGGGGCCCATCAAATGTGAACTGAATAAAGAAAATGAGTACATATACACCATGGAATACTATACAGCCATAAAAAGATTGAAATCATGTCCTTTGCAGCAACATGGATGCAGCTGAAGGCCATTATCCTAAGCAAATTAATGGAGAAACAGAAAACCAAATACCAAGTGTTCTCACTTAGAGGTAAGATCTAAACATTGGGTACACAGGGACACAAAGATAGGAACAATAAACACTGGAGATTCCAAATAGGGGGAAGGAAGGAGAGGAGGGTAAGGGTTGAAAAACTACCTATTGAGTGCTATTTTCACTACTTGGGCAATGGGATTATTCATACCCCAAACCTCAGCATCATGCAATATACCCATGTAACAAAACTGCACATGTACCATCTGAATCTAAAATTAAAATTTTATTAGATAGATTCTTTTTATTTTTTATTTCTTTGCATCTTCATAGCTTAGCGCCCACTTGTGAGTGAGAACACACAACGTTTGGTTTCTCATTCCTGAGTTACTTCACTTAGAAAAATAGTCTACAGTTCTATCCAGGTTGCTGCAAATGTCATTAATTCATTCCTTTTTATGGCTGAGTAGTATCCCCTCATATATATATAAAAAAGATATCACATATATACACACACACACACATATATATATCATATGTATCCTATATATCCTATATATCATATATATATCATATATATATGATATATATCATATATATATCATATATATATATCATATATATACCACAATTTCTCTACCCACTTGTTGATTAATGGGCATTTGGGCTGGTTCCATAGTTTTGTAATTGCAAATTTTGCTGCTAAAACATGCATGTGCAAGTATCTTTTTTGTATAATGACTTCTTTTCCTCTGGGTAGATACCCAGTAGTGGGATTGCCAGATAAAATGGTAGTTCTACTTTTAGTTCTTTAAGGAATCTCCACACTGTTTTCCATAGTGGTTGTACTAGTTTACATTCCCACCAACAGTGTAGAAGTGCTCCCATTTCACTGCATCCATGCCAACATCAATTTTTTCTTTTGTATTTTTTGATTATGGCCATTTTTGCAGGAGTGAGGTGGTATTGCATTGTGGTTTTGACTTGCATTTTCCTGATAATTAGTGATGTTGAGCATTTTTTTCTTTTGTTTGTTGGCCATTTGTATGTCTTTTTTTGAGAATTGTCTATTCACGTCCTTAGCCCACTTTCTGATGAGATTGTTTTTTTCTTGCTAATTTGTTTGAGTTCATTGTAGATTCTGGATATTAGTTATTTGTCAGATGTATAGATTTTGAAGATTTTCTACCACTCTGTGGGTTGTCTGTTTACTCTGCTCTGTTCCTTTTGCTGTGCAGAAGCTCTTTAGCTTAATGAAGTCCCACCTATTTATCTTCGTTTTTGTTGCATTTGCTTTTGGGTTCTTGATCATGAAGTCTTTGCCTAAGCCAATGTCTAAAAAGGTTTTTCTGATGTTATCTTCTGAAGTTTTTATAGTTTCAGGTCTTAGATTTAAGTCCTTGATCCATCTTGAGTTGATTTTTGTGTAAGGTGAGAGATGAGGATCCAGTTTTATTCTCCTACATGTTTGCCAATTTTATAAAAGTTTCATTTAATTTAATTTAATTCAAAGAAGAATCCCCTGCTTCCCCACAGAGGAAACGCTGGATTAAAGAAAACAAAATCGTTATCTGAGCCATGAAGCTCAAATTAGAAATGTTTGAAGATATTGGGTATCTTGCAATCAGAACTGTGCTGGAGAGGGATTCTGGACTACGATGAATCAAAGCATTGATTCGGTCACCAATTCTTCTCTATTACCACCATGGATTTCAGAATTTACTAATTTTTGCGAGAGCTTCTGAATAATAATACTAATATACAATTCATTTTTCGCACCTAGAAAATTTGCCTTTCACTTTTTATCAGCCAATATGTTAGATTTATGGATTTTTCTATTATTTTGTCCAACTAATATTAGACCTGAGAGAAAGAAGCCAAGAGATACCTTGGTGCCAAGATTTTTAGGAATGTCTGCATTTTCTAGGCTTGTGAGTGGAGTCTTGTGACTTCTTGTGGGCCCATAAGAAGAGAACAGAAGGGGCCATTCACAAGAGTGTAGGAAAAATGTCATGGGGGCAGTTCTCAAGTCTCCCCTGGTAATGTGACTCCCACTCCCTGGCTTACAAAATGGATTTCACAGAACTGAATAATGGATGAGACTGTCTTAGGTCTGGTTCCCTGGCTGGTAAGCTATAAGACAGAGATATGCATGCAGGAAGTTGATCAGGGAGTGACCTAGGGATCAACATCTGTAGAAGAATAAAGACAGCAAGATTGGGGCTGCTATATCCCTATTAACATGTCACTGAATGCAGGCTGCACCCCTCCTTTTCCAGGTGGTATGTGATATAGGGTAAGTTACCTCTCTTTGGCTAAGGGTGATTCCTGGAAAGGGACTCAGCTGATATCCATTAGCCTCCAAAACTCCCAGCAGTAGAGAACACATGCCTTCATCTTGAAGGGGAAATCTGAGCCAAGCACCACAGAACCACAAAAGATCATTTCTTGCACCATTCAAATTTACTTTCTTTACACAATAAGTTCTAGGAACAGTTTCTCCAAAATTCCAATTGGTCTGTTTTGCTCACACCTGATACTCATTACTTCCCTTCTCTACCCATTCTAGATTCCCCTTATCCTTGGATGAGCACTTCTGCTGGTCTAGGTGACTTACCTGGTTGGTGACCCAGACCCTTGTCCCTGAGAGGTCCCATATCCTAACCAAATTAGAATGTTGTAGTTGTTCACTTACCATCAAAAATTGAGATAGGAGGTACCAAGAGACATAAATCACCTGGATGCCAAACATATTATTTTCCGCCTTCATATTGACATCAGCATGACCCCCACCTGATGATCTGGGTCAACATCCCTGCCAGAATGGTCTCCTTTGCTTGACTGCTTGTCTCTCAGCTTGAGGAGCTCAAAGTGACTAAGTTGCAGCTTTAGAGTTGGATGGGCCTAGACCGCATGCTGCGTCACCTAGTGGAAACATTTATCTCACTTCTCAGAATGAGAACCTCTAGCCACACAGAGCCCAGAGTCATGGGGCAGGAAGCACAAATTCCCCAATAGGGCCACTGAGGGCCATGGCAAGTAGGACCACCTCTGCTTCCAGCCCTTAGTTCTCAAATCGTTGGGTTCCACCTACTAGAGACAGAGCATCACATAATGGCCATTAATTTGGGGTTTCTATTGTGACCTAGAGGATAATGTCCCATCTTCTCAGGGGTGAAGGGACTGCCTCAATTGTGCTTTCAAAAAACCCTCATGTGACTTCCTGGTGGAAACTTCCGACAGGTCCAGTTTTGAAAGGACCAGTGAATCCCATGGTCATGGATCCATTCCCATACTTCTTTGCTATAAAGTGGAGCCTTGTTTAGAGGTGGTATTATGTAGGGTCCTATGTCAATGGATCAAGCACTCATAAGCCTCACATAGTGATATTGGCTGAGATCTTGAGAGGAGGAATGGCAAACTGCTACCCAGATATGTGTCATGTACAGTCAGGACAAATCACTGATCCTTCTGGGGAGATGAGGTCCAAGGTAATCAACTTGCCTATGGTGGATGATTGGTCTCCTCAAGGGATGGTGCCACATTGGGGGCTCAGTATCAGTCTTTGTTGCTGGCAAGTTGACATTTGGCAGTGGCAGTAGCAAGATCAGCCTTGGTGAGTGACAGCCCATGAATAGCCTCAGTCCTGTTGGGCCCATGCATAGCCTCAGTCCCTGCCATGTGGTTCCTCCATTAGTGTGCCAGCACTTTGGCAGCTGATGGCAGAGACTGGGTTTTCTTTTTATAGTTGGATGACATGTCCTTCTGTTTATTTGGTTATTTAGTAGCCTGTTCATGGTGAATGTTCTCTCATGAGCATTCACATGATGCACAAAGACCGTCAAACTTCATATTTATTTATTTATAGCAACATGCCTCTTCCTTCAACCCCTTTGACTATGATCTTCCCATTTTTCTCCCTCCAGATCCCTAAGTCAGACATTTGCCACCATGCATGAGTCCATAAATACACACCCTCTTACTTCAGGCCACTTCTCTTTCCATTTAAACCTAGTGCAATGTTCAACATTCCACCAATTGGGAGAATTTCTGTATTACAAAGACACCCCTACATGAGGCTGTAGTTAAGTGGCAATCCATTTTTGACTCACAGTGACCTGATGAGTAAGTACATCCATGAACCAAGCTCAGCCTTTTCCTCCTCTGTCCCTGGTTATAAAAACCTTCCTATGGGGCTGTATGTATAAACAAAGGGAGATGTGTCAGTGCGACAGTTTTAATAATGTGGGGGTCTGGGTCACACTTATGCAGTCTACTTGTACCTCTGTCTCTGATAATGTCTGAAAGTGCCACTTCAATTATACATTGGATTGCTCCTGGGTCTGCTCCACCAATAACCAGTCCTGGCCATAGGCTCACTTTGTATCCCATGTTCAGGAGCTTCATCCCTGCCAGAGGCCTGCAGCACACCAGAAGTATTTTTTTTTTTGGATGGTGTATAATTCTTTGCTGCCGATGTCATGGTTTTTTTCTAAAACTCTAAGAGTTGATAAACTTGACACAAACTCCAAGTGAAATCCTGAGAGCCACTACCGCTACCTCTAATACCGTAGGGTCGGCTGAGTCATATGGCCCAAGTGGCAGAGCTACTTACACTACAGCCTGTACTTGCTGAAGAGCCTTTTCTGCTCTTGGCTCTACCCAGAGTTAGCAGCCTTTCATGTTACCTGATAAATGGGTGGTAGCATTTATCAGCGTTTAAAATATGCTGCCTCCAGGGCCCATAGTGGCCAACTGGGATTTGTGCTTTCTTCATTGTAAGAAGAGGAAGATGCAATATTTCTTTTTATAGTTGGATGAGATGTCCCAGCATATTTCAAACTTCTGGACCCCTAAAATGTTCACTAATATTGTAGGACTGAAACTTTGAGGGGTTTATTTTCCACTCTTTTGAGTACCTGTGCCTCCAATGGATTTGCCAGTTCTTGCTCACCTAGTATGATCAAT
This sequence comes from Homo sapiens, assembly GCF_000001405.40. Classification (NCBI taxonomy): domain Eukaryota; kingdom Metazoa; phylum Chordata; class Mammalia; order Primates; family Hominidae; genus Homo; species Homo sapiens. The sequence goes on from NC_000016.10 coordinate 49,103,502, forward strand.
ATGATGTCATCAATTTGGTGAACCAATATGATGTTCTGTTAATGTCAGAATGATCTATATCCCTCCGGACACTCAATTATAACAGAAGGTGGGAGAGTTAACATAGCCCTGGGGCATGACCGTAAATGAATACTATTTCCTGCCCTAACTGAGTGAAAACTTATGGGAACGAAGAAGAGTACACTCATTCACCAAACACATGGGACCATGCTATGTATCAGAGACTAGGTTAATCTACTTTGGCAAATATACCACATCTGGCATAACAGCTACAATTGGGATTACTGTCTGGTTGAGTTTCCATGGTATATTTTCATTTTCCAAGATCTGTATGGCTTTTTTAGGAGCCAGACCTATGAACCAGAATATTATGGGGGCCACCACATCTGCGTCATTTAGATTTTAAGGGTAGCACTTATTTATGCCAGTCACCTGGTTTGTGATATTGTTTGATTTACTATATTGGGGGACAGTTTCAGTGGCCTCCACTTGGCTTTTCCACAAGCATAGGAACCAGTATGGTGGCTCTATTATTTACCAAATATGTCAGTTGGCATTATATATTTGCGAAGTGGGGAAATGACCCCTGGGTGAAACTGTGGACCCAGTTAACCCAATATGATCTACAACTGGGTTAGACTGCATTTACTACCTGGTTCCTAGCTACTCTCACTTAATAGAAGGATTATAATGTTGCTTTGAGTTGCTGGTGCAATGTCAACTCCAACCCTGTGTCTAACTCCAATGTTTGACATTCTCTTTTCTTTAGAGTGACTGTTAAATGGTCATAGGACCCTTTTTTTTTTTTTTTTTTTTTTTTTTTTTTTTTTTTGAGACGGAGTTTCACTCTGTCGCCCAGGCTGGAGTGCAGTGGCGTGATCTCGACTCACTGCAAGCTCCGCCTCCCGGGTTCACGCCATTCTCCTGCCTCAGCCTCCCGTGTAGCTGGGACTACAGGCGCGCGCCACCATGCCCGGCTAATTTTTGTATTTTTAGTAGAGACGGGGTTTCACCGTGTTAGCCAGGATGGTCTCGATCTCCTGACCTCGTGATCCGCCCCTCTCGGCCTCCCAAAGTGCTGGGATTACAGGCGTGAGCCACCGCGCCCGGCCAGGACCCTTTTTAAAAGAGCTGTGTGAATCATTTCCATATATACCTGCCCTTGTATTACAGAATACTTCTTCCTGGAGCCCTGGCCTCCCCTTAAGTCAGTTACAGGTCTAAAAACTAGTCAGATGCAGATCTGTTCTGTGGACTATAATTTTTTATTGTGACAATTGCTCTCAGCCTCCTGATCATTCATTCTTCATTTCTTTTGATTGTATAGGTTGAGCAATGTAGTTGTTGGCTGTCCATCTATCTCATCAATAGGAATGCTGGGTTCTATTAACCATCTTCATATCTCTCAGAGGGTCAAGGCCCTGACCTTGTCACTTACTACAATAATTGCATCTTCCTTGCTTCTGATGGCTGAGTACTGCCATCTCACCTCTGCTGACTGGAGATTCTGTTGGCATCAACCCTACTGCTATCAAGGAAATATGATAGGCTAATGACAGCATTTCTTACCGTTACCCTGGACTATAGAAGTCAGCCATCACTGGACTTCTCAACAATGTTCATGCCCCTCTCACCAGTGCATTCCTTTTCATTTTGTAAATAGAGTGCCTTCTGGTCCCACCTGCAGAGCATAGTTGGCTGATGGATTTTTGGCTTTAGGTAATATATCAATTCCAGCTTGCCAACTTCCTTAAGCTTTTTGATCCCTTCATTCAGAATTATCCTAGAAGTTCTATCATTTTTATGTAACTTGGACCATGATTTTGTCCATGCTTCCAAGAGCAGCACATGAGTGTGTTACAGTCTTTTGTGTTCCCATATTGATAAGTTCTCCCTTATTCAACTGTCCCTTTGACCCGGGACCCTCAGTATCCAGTCTCATTCATACTCTTCTATCTCCTGCTGGAATACGTTTGCCAGGTCCTATGGCTCCTTCAAGATATATGCCTGTCCTCTCTTAGCAGGCCCAGGGTTTCCTCTGCTGACTTTTTTTCATTTGTAACTTAACCCTAGTAATTTGTCTGGTGACAAGGAGATGAGGTGAGGGTAGATCCTGAGGTGGGAGGAGGCAGTGTATGTTTTCATGCAAAGCAGGGGCTTCTACATAATCATCAAGCGAGGAGACTGCTATGGACTGAATTGTGTACCCGCCCCCCCACCCCAAATTCATGAGTTGAAGCCTTAACCCTGAATGTAACTGTATCTGAAGATAGAGCTCTTAGGCAGTAATTAAGGTTAAATGATGCCATTAGAGTAGGACCCTAATCTGATAATATTGGTGGCTTTATAAAAAGAGGAAGATAATCTCCTCTCTCTCTCTCTCTCTCTCTCTCTCTCCATCACATGAAGACACAGTGTGAAGGCAGCTGTCTGCAAGCCAGGAAGAGAGCCCTCCCCAGAACCTGACTATGCTGGCACCCTGATCTCAGTCTGTAAGAAAAGAAATTTCTGTTGTTTAAACCACCCAACCTATGGTATTTTGTTATGGAAGTCCAAGCTGACTAAGACAGATTTTGGTACCAAGGAGGTGCTAGTCTTTAATGGGGAGGAGTGGACCCCTTCTTTCAGCTCAGGGTATTAAGAAGGATCTGTGGATTCAAGACTTTTGAATGCCTCAACCAGATGTTCCCACATCCCTTATCTTAGTGTCCCATTCCTTCCTAAACTTGACCCTTGTAAAGCAGATTTGTCAAGGTTGAGAATTAAACCACCACTAGTCCTTGATGCTCTATTAATTAAATATGGGGCTTGATCCTTAGCTTTTTATGTCATTTGGTCACAAAGGATGAAAGCCTCTTTTACATACAGCCAAAGATGCCATATGACTTTCAACTTTGCCTTTACAAACTCCGCCAGCCATTCATTGTTTTTTCTTAATGCATGGACTATCACAAAAACCATCTAATTCTAGGCAGGGCATGGCGGCTTAGCAATTTGGGATGCCAAGGCTGGAAGAGTGCCTGAGCGCAGGAGTTCAAGACCAGCCTGGGCAATATGGTGAAACCCCATCTCTACTAAAAATACCCCAAATTAGCAGAGTGTGGTTGTGCATGCCTGTAGTCGCAGCTAGTCAGGAGGCTAAAGCACGAGAATCGCTTGAACCTGGGAGGCGGTTGTTGCGGTGAGCCGATATTGGGCCACTGCCACTTCAGCCTGGGAGATGGAGTGAGACTCTGTCTACATAGATACACACACACAAACACACACACACACACACAAAACCATCTAATTCCACAGTCCTTATAATCATGACTTCCCTTACACTTTTCAAAAGCCTGAGACAATGCCCCTTCCAGGATATTCTCTTCCACTACTATCCCACCTTGTTCAGCACTGGGGAGTTTTAATAACTGCATTGCTCCAGCATTATCCATGCTTCACCCCTCAGCCAGTGGCGGTGTTCTCACTGTCAGGTGGTTAACAGGGGATCCAGCTCCAAAACTCCATTTTGGGGTCTGCTTCTTTAAACCACTCTTGACACCAATTGTCTTAGGCTCGGTTTCTAAGGAAACTGACTCTGAAATAGAGTTTCCCCAGAGGAAGCTGATTGAGGAGGATCTTCAGAACCACATCTGTTGGGGAGGGGAAGAAGTAGGATTGTTCAAAAGGATAGGTTGGGCTGTGATGCAGCCACAGTTAGCATCAATTAGCTTCAGTTAACCCCACAGGAGCTCTGGGGCTGGGAGCACCCTCTTTGCCTCACTTTGAGGCAAGGGGATTGGGTCTTTATATCCCACATAATGGAGTCATTGTCTGGAAGTTGTTCCTGTGAAGAGGTCATAACCTTGGGTGAGACAGCTCTCTTCATCTGAGGACAACTTCTGGAGAGCATCTCAGCTGATATCTGTCAGCCAACGACACTCCAGCAATGGGGGGATGAGCACCTTTGTCCGATAGGAACCTGGGTGGCGCATCCCAGCATCCACTAGAGAGGGGATTATCAAAGGCTTCACTGGGATGAAGTATTGTTTTCCTTTCTCTCATGAATTATGTCTTCTTCAAGGTATCCATGTGGAGGCTGAGTCAAAGACATTGATTGCCCTGGTTCCTGGGCAGTCCAGACAGAGGACATGAAATCAATAAAATCATCAAAAATTTTGTAAGCTAGAAAAATGGTTATTTCATACATGTGGCACTGACTTCTATTTGTTCAACAAAACCCATTTCCTCCTGAGCACACACCCGTCTCTTTTGTAGTTATGTAGTCATGACTGAATTCTGGCCAAGGAAGTGTGCGTAAAGTGAATGTGTCTGTCCTAGTGGCCCATAAAAACCTTTCCATATGCTATTTTCTCTCTCTTCTCCTCTCTTCCAGCTGAATTTAAAGGATGCAGCAGGCCACTCCAGGGCCACAGAGGATGCTAAAGTTATAAGATAGAAGGACTCTGTGTCC